>NC_000001.11:64099289-64402319 GCF_000001405.40 Homo sapiens | reverse complement strand
AACCCTAACCACTGAGGAGAATCCAGTACTGAAGGGAGGTGGCATGGGGCAGGTAGGGTCCTCTGTTATGTTTCCAAGTGATACTTGGCTGTTGAGAGAGGGCCTGTGTGTACAACCCCACTCTAAGCACTAGATCCCCATCATCCCTGCACATGGCCTCTGCTCTCCTGCACTGGGAAGATTCAAGTACATAAAAGGTAGAATGGAAGATGGTGAACAAAACGATGGTTATGGAAAGGGAGGTGGAAGTGGAAGAATTTGGGGAATTTGGGTCATTGGGATGGGCATGAACATCGACTATGGGTGGAGGGTGAAACTGACCATCTACAAGTTTGCAAAGCTGAACATTGGTGTTAGCATCTCGATGGACATTTTGTTGTTATCTTGCAAAAGGTTGATGGTAAAGATTGGAAAGATGTTTAAACACACACACATGCACACACACACATACATATTCTATAAAGACACAGCTCTTTGGGGTTCATGGAACTTCTTGCTTCTGCAGTAACAAAGCAGTGGACATTTTGTCATACTTTTTGGCCTTCCAGTGTCTGAACCTCCTTCCTGTGTTTGGGAGTTTCTCACATTATGAGGCATAGTCTGTAACGTGCTATAGAAATGAAAATAGACATTTTCTTTACCAGCCTCCATTGTAGCTAGGGAATGGGTTACATAGCCTAGGCTCTGGCAAGCAGATTTTAAATGGAAAGCTGCTGATGTGAAGAAGCAGGGTCTGCCCAGAATCCATGCAGGTGGCAGCAGGGGCGGTGGAGCAGTAGGGATAGAGGTAGTTGTGGGGCAGTGAGGACAGGGTGCAGGGAAATTAATGTGGGCAGTGGAGGCTCTGGGGGTGGTAGTGATGATAGTGGCTGCCTTGGTGCTGGAGGCAATTATGCAATAGGGGTTGCTTTCTAGAGGCAGCAGGGACAGTGGTTTTAGTGGCAGCCCTAGTGCCTGATGTCTAGTGATGCTGTCAGTGCCACCTGTGGCATTGGGTGCCCAAAGGTAGAAACAGTTTTGCCTTGTGATTTTGGGCATTGTACCTGGCTCTGTAGCCTTCAAACCTGGATCTCTTGTCTTCCTGAAGCTATTGCAAGCTACTCAATATCCTTTTCTGCTTAAATTAGCACAAGTAAATGTTTGTTGCTTCCAACTAACAATCCTGACTGACAGATAGAGCAAGGTCTTTAAAAAATAGGTGTAACTCCACATATTATTCTTGTGTGTGGAGAATTGTTTGCGCACTAAGCCAACAATGTCTCAGAGTTAGTTTTCATTCATTCAGCATAACTTATCAGATATGGAATCCATAAAAATGTTGAATATACAGTAAGAGAGTAGAGTGGCAGTTTCCATGGGGTGGAGAAAAAGGGGAGATGTTAGTCAAAGGGCACAAACTTTCAGTTATAAGATCAGTAAGTTCTGGAGACTAATGTACAGCATGGTGATTATAGTTAATAATAATGTATATTTGAAATTTGTTGAGAGTAGATCTCAAGTGTTCTCACCACACATGAAAAAAGGTAACTGTGAGACGATATGTTAATTAACCTGATCGTGGTAATCATTTTGTGATGTAGATGTGTATCAAAACATCAATGTTCAAACCTTATATATTTAATCTTTATTTGTCAATTATGCCTTAATAAAGATGGAAAACAAAAACAACAACAACAAAAAACAAATACTTATTGTGCATCTACTTTGTGGCAGACACTGAACATAACATGACATTGCAACAGATACTGGATATAGCAGTGACCAATACAGACACTGTCCTTGCCACCACGGAGCTTACAGTTTAGCAGAAAACACAGATATTACATAAGTAGTGAAAAGTGTAATGACTGAGACCTATACAATGGTAAATAGTTATGTGCTATGGGAAGGTTAACAAATAGGGAAGCGTAACCTAGTTTTAGGTACCAGGAAAAGCTGAACGTGAGACACGAATGATTTATAGGAGTTAGCAAGGCAAAGGGAAGTAGAAAGAGGAAGAGCATTTAAGATGAAGGAACAACATCTTCGAAGGTCCAGAAATGAGAGACACAGTGGGGATTTTGAGAATCTGAAGGACATCTTGTATGGAAGAGAGAAAGAGAAATATAGGGAGAGCTGAGAGAAGAGGTTGGAGGAGTAAGTGAAGCCAGAGTGCGAAGGGTCTTGTAATCTATGACTATAGTGTAGATTGCTGAGACCCTCCCTCCACTGAGTCAGTCACCACAACCTGTATTCATTTGCCACAGGAAAAGAAGACACAAAAGAGCCCAAAGAACATTCATAAGTCTACCAAATATCTAAATAGATTATTTAATGTTATGGGCTGCATTGTAACACCCCAAATTCATATATTGAAGTTGTATTGCCCCAGTACCTCTGAATCCGACTGTATTTGGAGTTAGGACCTTTAAAGAGGTAATTAAGGTAAAATGAGGTCCTTTGGGTGCATTCCTACCTAATATGACTGATTTCTTTGTAAGAAGAGGAGATTAGGGCATAGACAACACCCAGACTGAGGGGAGACCATGTGAGGACAGAGTGAGAAAGTGGCCATTTGCAAGCCAAAGAGTCAGGTCCCAGGAGTAACCAGCCCCATCAGTACCTTGATCTTGGACTTCTGGCTTTTAGAATTCTGAGAAAATAAATTTCTGTTGCTTAGGCCACCTGATTTGTGGTATTTTGTTATGGCAGCCCTAGCAAACTAGTACATTTAAAATCTAAACAGAAACAATAGTCTTAAAAATCAAAGAGCTTTTGATTTGTAAGACCTGGAATCCTTGAAAGAGAAAATATCTTCCACATGCTCAAACCTGGCTTTGAAAATCCAAAGACAAATGCTGTAAAAGTTAGTACATAAATTTAATATGGCAAATAAAGAAGTTGAAAAGAACCTATAATGATCTTTAAAGAAGGATAACAGTTGGCTGGGCACAGTGGCTCATGCCTGTGATCTCAGCACTTTGGGAGGCCAATGCTATCTTTAAGATAAAATAAATGTGCAGGGGGGGAATAGAGTGAAAGAGAGCTTCACCCAGCATGTGATTGGGAAGAATCAAGCCTTCGAGACAAACCTATATGAAGCATAGTGCTAGACCTTAGAGCAGGAAATGTCCAAGTGAAGCAACTCTCCAGATAGATCTGAGGACAGTTACGTTAACGTCTTAAGCACGCAATGAAGCAGGAAGACAGCCGTGTACTTATGAAAGGGGTGTGGCTCTGGCTTAGAGAGGTTTATAGACTCAAAGAAGCCTAATGATTAGGTAAGGAGGACTTGTCAGCTGGAAGCTGTGGTGGGACAAAGGTAATCTTAACAGAGGCTGGTGGACCTCTGTAGAGGCCAAAGACCAAAAAATGATGGGTAAGAGGTGCAGCTCAGCAGATACCAGCAGGAGACAGAGGATGACTCTGGTCCAGATGCCTTACTATATCCAAACAATCAGAGAAATATAAGGCTTCCCCAACAGGTAGAAAGGGAATTTGACTGAGGAATCAATAATTTAACTTACAATCACAAATTACATTTAGTTATGAAAAATAAAGGAGGTTTGTGGCCTGTGACGTTCATATTTAGCATTCCTGCAGATCAGCACAGCTCTAGTACCATAAAGAGAGGGGGCATTGATCATGAAAAATAGAAGTTTAAGTTTATTTTAGAATCAAGCGGACTCAAAAGACAACTATCAGTTGACACTCTGAGAGTGACTTCATGGAGTGGCTCCAACTCCACACAGTTCTTCTTTCATAAAGCCAGTTATATGACTCAGCAATAGCTTATTTATTTATTTATTTATTTATTTATTTATTTATTTATTTATTTATTTTTGAGTCAGGGATCACCCAGGCTGGAGTGCAGTGGTGCAATCTTGGTTCACTGAAGCCTCTACCTTCCAGGCTCAAGCAATCCTCCCACCTCAGCCTCCCAAGTAGCTGGGACTACAGGCGTGCACCATCGTGCCTGACTAATTTCTTCCTTTCTTCCTTTCTTTCTTTCCTTCTCTTTCTTTCTTTTCTTTCTCTCTTTCTTTTTCTTCTTTCTTCTTCTTTCTTTCTTTCTTTCTTTCTTTCTTTCTTTCTTTCCTTTCTTTCTTTTTGAGGTAGAGATGGAATTTCTCCATGTCACCCAGGCTGGTCTCAAACTCCTGGACTCAAGCGATCCACCCACCTCGGCCTCCCAAAGTGCTGGGATTACAGACATGAGCCACCACACCTGGCCAGCAATAGATCTTTCTGATGAAACAAAAACACGGTGGATATTGAATAGTCCTAGAAAGATTTGAGAACTGATTTTGTTGGCTTAGACCATTACATACTGCAAATACCTTATGTTTGGTAGGACCAATACCAAGAACATTGATGCAACAATATAGAAAGCTATTGGTATCCCTGAATTCACATTTCAAGTTTTTTCCACTTGGATATCTGATTGTAAAACACTCTAGGAATTTTTTCTATGAGTTTATCTTCGATTGATTCCTAGAATAGGATACCATAGAAAATAGAGTTACACCAGGGGGTCTAAGAAAAAAAATCACTGCAAAGCACTGGAAAATTCCAGAGTAATACAAACTCTGAACTAAAGGGGGGTGGGTAATTTAGACACTGTGATGAGCTGTTAAGTTTGGAAGAGGACAAATTTTGCAAAACAAGTTTAGTAAGTTGCTGATTTGCAACAAATACTAGAAATGAACTCCATATTAATAGCTTTCCAGTGATTTCTCAAAAGTCTCACGTTATTTTGGAGTCATAATTGGCATAATTTTGTTTTATTATGAATGTTTAAATTCTATTGTTTTCTTTAGTACCAAAGGTATGTTCAAACTTTCAAGTGAAATTTTGTGAAGTCCAGAAAAAGACACCTGTTTTTTGGATAGCCATAGCCTTGCATTAAAGTACAGGGCTCATATCTATGTACTGGGGTCTCTTATATGACCAACAACCTATAGAACTCTATATGGTGACTCTGTTTTGTGAATTTTATTGATATTTTTTGTAGTTTGGTGTACTAATGAAATGAAGACCCTAGACATTGATTCCTAATGGTGTGAATCACTTTCTTCCTAAGCGGCCTGTGACAGATAGTCCCCGGTGATCCCCAGTTCCTGATATTTATGCCCTTGTGCAGTCCCCTCTTGCACTGAATAGGTCTGACTTTGTAATCAATAGAATATTCCAGGAATAATGGACGTCTAAGGCTAGGCCATAAAAGATATTGCAGCTTCTTTCTTGGCCTCCTGGATCATTCACTCTGGGGCAAGCAAGTTGTTACATCATGAGGCTTCTTAAGCAGCCCTAAGAAGAGCACCTACCAACAACCCTGTGAGTGAGCCATCTAGAGGCAGACTCTCCAGTCGCAGCAAAGTCTCGCGATGTCTTAGTCCTGGCCAACATCTTGACTACAACCTTATGAGAGACCCAAGACAGAACCACTGATTTAAATTGCTCTCAAAGGCTTGACTCACATAAACTGCATGATATAACAAATATCTTTTTATTTATTCTACTTATTTATTTTTTGAGAAAGAGTATCGCTCTCGTTGCCCAGGCTGGAGTGCAGTGGCGTAATCTCGGCTGACTACAATCTCCGCCTCCCAGGTTCAAGCCATTCTCCTGCCTTAGCCTCCCGAGTAGCTGGGATTACAGGCATGTGCCACCACGCCCAGCTAATTTTGTATTTTTACTAGAGACGTGGTTTCTCCATGTTGGTCAGGCTGGTCTCGAACTTCCGACCTCAGGTGATCTGCCTGCCTCGGCCTCCCAAAGTGCTGGGATTCCAGGCATGAACCACTGTGCCCAGTCGATATCTTTAATTTTTTTAAGCTCCAAAGATTTGCAGTCATTTATTATACAGTAATAGATAAATAATTTAAAATCTTTGGGCTACCTCCTCTTTTACCTTTAGTAAATATCTGAGATGTATACAATATATGCAAGCTTTGTGTTAGTGGTACTGTGAGGGAAACTGAGTTAGATCCAGTGTGGGGTGATGTGGGCTGGTGAGAGAGAATAATAAAGCCTGTAATAGAGAATGTCAGTAGTTAATAGTGGAAAAGAAGGCTGTGGCACATATTGACAGGGAAGTCATGAACCTCTTGAAAAAATACAGGCTGCAGAGAACTCCCCCTACTATATAGAAGGGAGACTTCAGCATCTTTTTTTCGAAACATTTTCTCCACTTTTTATTTTATTTTATTTTATTTTATTTTATTTTATTTTATTTTATTCTTCTCAAGATTTACTAAATAGTCTGGTATACTGTTGATGTTCAATTGTTATTTTTTAATTTTTATTTTGATTTTAAAGGAATATAAATCATTCTATTACAAAGATACATGCATGCATATGTTCATTGCAGCACTATTCACAATAGCAAAGACATGGAATCAACCCAAATGCCCATCAATGATACAGTGGAGAAAGAAAATGTGGCACATATACACTGTGGAATACTATGCAGACTTCAGCATTTTTTTAAAGATTTTTAAGAGTACTGAATTTATTCTTTTTTATAAAAGAGAGTATATTAGTTATCTATTGCTATGGAAGAAACAACTCCAAACTCAGTAACTTAAAACAAAAATAATTTATTATGTCTCATAAGTCTGTGATTGACTAGAATATTCTACTGGTTCTGCTTTGGCTCACTCATGCAGATATAGACAACTAAGCAGGGGTGAGTTGGTCTCACTCAAATGTCCAGGGCCTCATCTAGGATGGGTGGAATGGCGGGGGTGCCTGGGACTATATCTTCATGTTGCCTTTCATATGGGACTTCTTCACAGCATGGTTGTTTCAGGGTTTCAAGAGGGTGAGCATGGAAGTCTCAATATATTGCTTCTGTTGAGTTCTATTGGTCAGTATCAGGCCACAAGCCCAGCCAAGATATAAGAGGTGAGAGATAGACTCCACTTCTTGATGAGATGACGTGCAAAGAATTTCTGGCCAATTTTAGTCTAGTACAGTGATAATGATCACTTTTTAAAAATTCAAGCAATACAGAGGAGCAAAAGAGGAAAGCTGTAAATCACCCCAAATTTCATCATCCAAAAATAAGTAATGTTAACATTTGATGAATGTCATTATTTAAGATCTATCTATATGCATATATGTAAGAAGATGGATGGATGGAATGACGGTTGGACAAGTGACTAGGTAGCCAGAAAGTAATAACCTTTAAGAGGGGAGAGTCATTTATTTTCTTACCTACATGTTACAGTTTTAGCCAAGATGGATTGACTACTTGCTAAGAAAGATGCGGAAATGAGCTCTCTTATAATTTTTCTTACCCTTCCTCCCCATCTGTAGATTTATTTTAACCTAGTCAGAGTTTGCAAATTTACTTTTTTGTTTTGTAGTCATAATCCTTCTGGTTGTTTAAACATTATTCTTTATTTAAATGATTACAATGATCATAGGTGCCTCTTCTACTGTGGCTCCTGCATTTGGTGGATTTTCGAGTCATGTGCTGTATCCCTTAAGTACTTCTGAGCTTTAGAACATGGAAGTACTTCTATGTTGCCCTTATCCTTGAATCATCATTTGGCTGGGTATAATATTTTTTCTTTCCCACAGAACATTAGAGACATCATCCCATTGTCTTCTAGCATTCAGTGCTGCTAGCCATAAAGTAGGATGATGTGTTTTTTTTTTTCCTCGTTTGTAGACCCTCCACACTGGGGCAGGGTGGAGACTGGGGGGATGTCCAAATTCACAGGGAATTCTAGAATTTTTATGATTTCACCTGGAATTGTTTTTATATAACTTGGTCTGTATCAGTTTTTTTAGGGATTCAATAGAATTAAATTTAATTTTTTCTTTATTTCAGGAAACATGTATTGCATTATATTCCTGACTATTTTTAATGTTTTATTTGACAGGTTCTATTATCATTATCTCAATTATTATCATGTCAGATCTTCATTATCTTTCATATCTATCATTTTCTTCTAGTTACCTTAATCTCTTTGCCTTGTTCTTTTACATTCATGTTGATGATTTAAAGTGTTTTAATATTACATTAATTTTCTTTTTACTTTTTCTCTTGTTGGGTTTCTAATGGTATGATTTGGTTTCTTAATCTGTCTACTTAGCTTTGCATTTTCTTCATTTTTTATTGTGTGTCATATTGTCACTGAACTCTTCTTTTATTAAACTCATAGTCTTATCAAATCCTTTGCTGACATAAAGCACTATGGCACGTTTATTCACGTTGCTTGTGCTATATTTTCTCAAGAATGCTACATATGTTTTTCTCTTTTGCATGATATAGTCTGTCTTTCTTTCTTTTCTTTCTTTCTCTCTTTCTTTCTTTCTTTCCTTTCTTTCTTTTCTTTCCTTTCTTTCTTTTTCTTTCTTCTTTCTTTTTCTTTTTTTTTGTGATGTCATGTATTTACATACTTACCATGCTCTTTCTCTCTTTCTTTACATTTGTACTTTGTCACTCTTCCCATCTTCTCTAATGCCAGTTTCTTTCATTTCTCTGAGCCATAGTATGAGGACTAGGTTTTGCATTCCATCCACTTTGCTGAGGCCTAAAGGCTCAGGAATCTGGGAGTACTAGATTTTCGTAGGGATTGATTATAGCCCTTCTGTGGGACCTAAGCTCTCTTTTTTTCTGGGATCCCATTAATTCTTCTATACTAGGGTCTCCTTCACCCTGTTAGAGATGTAACCCATTTCAGTGTCCTTTTGAACAATTCTGCAAAAACAGCACAATCTCTGACAAATAAAATCCTGGTGGCCTTGCCCAACCCATTAATGTCCTAAAGTCATGTCAAAATAGTGGAAATAGAATAATATAAACCCCACTTTGGGAAGGAAAATATGAAATTAGAAATAGAAGGTCTGTCTTCAAGAGTGATAATAGCCTGATTTTTTTTTCATACTTGTAGAATCAAGAATTTACAATGAAGAATTCTCTTTAAGAATCAAATCAGCTTTGAGAGAGAATTCTGTAGCAAATTACTTACATAAAATGTCTTTGCTTATAAAGGTACTGTGCTATAAATTGCCTTTTCTGTGCTGATAAGAAAGCTGAAGACTCTGGAATGTTTAATATCCAGGTTGCAAAACAAAATAACTCACATGGCGACTGGTCATGTTGAGGCAAAGCTCTACAGTAACATGAAAATTAACCATGTATGTTTTTTAATCACAAATAACAAAGATTTCCCATTGATTTTCTTGATATTTAATATATAACTATAAGGACTTTTTGTTGTCAAGTTATTTTTCTAGAGTTCTCATTACTCCTGTGATACATAATCCCTTAGCCTCAATGTTTGAATAGACTTCAAGATTTTGAGAAATCTTTTATATAATTACACAAAGTCATAAAGTATGGCTAGTGAAAAAGGTAACGATGGTTCACAAAATATACATATTATTAATTATTTCAGATGTAAATACATTTGCAATGAATTCATTATGCTTTGTTTACCTCTGTTTTGTCATAGCTTTCCAGGTCTTGTTTTCAAACACTAAAAATATCTCAGAATATTTTCTTGTGTTGAAACATTAATTTACTCAGCTGATTCTCTCGGAGTAGTGGTTTATAACAAGCTTGTTAAAAGTGTTTTTGACAGTTTCTAAACCTAACCCCAACATGAATCCAAGATGGATCAAAACAGACAGAATGTTTGAAGAGAGAAAAAATGTCACAACAAAGATAGCTTTGATTCTTCTATAATTAAATAGTGCTATGGATTGAATTAAACACACACTATCCTAGGCTGAAGTTGAGCTGATTTCTTGTGCTTCAAAATCAGCCAGAACCCACTATCTGAGAAAAAGAAATGAATAAATGATGTTGGTAAAGAAATAGTTAATTCTTTGTCAGCAAATGGGCTTGCCTATCCTTGAGATAAATTGAGCCACATGAAGGTTGTACTTCTGTCATAAAATGTGTGTGTGTGTGTGTGTGTGTGTGTATTCTAGTAGAAGTGAATTTTTAATCAGATTAAACTGTCTGAATAGGTAGTCAGTGTGTGAATTCCCCGCCCCCACCTTTTCTTATGCTAATGAAGATGTGGTGTCAGTCACTCTTGGCTTGTGTTCCTGCTAGGCAGTTATGAGTAGTGCGACCTTGGACAGGTTATTTAACCTCTTTTGAGCCTGGGTGTTCTCAACTGTAAATGTGTGGTAGTGAGAAATAAAGGAGTTAATATGTATAATAAAAATGCTAGGCATTTTGTAATATGTATGATTGCTATACTACTGCTGAGTTTCTAGCATATTTTGAAGACATAGGTAATGGCTAGAAGTTGGCAAGGCTCAGGGGTCTGCACATATAAATAAGACATGGACCCTGCCTCAATGAGCTTACCATCTGAAAGGTAAGAGAGCAATGGTGACTAGCAGCTAAGAGAACACATGACAGTCACCTGTAAAAATGGCAAACTTGTTTACCCAGGTCAATGGCTTATACTCATGGCCAAAGGATCTTCTTGAAATAATAACTATTCTCTCTTCCATGAATAATTTACATAATGATAAAAGACTACTAGATGTGACAAAATGGTAAGAGAAGAAGGTGAACACAAAGAGCACATATTGAGGACATAGCAGAGTGGTGGTAAAAGCCAAGATAATTGACATTAACTGGGTGAACATTGACTTCGTTCTTTGCAGAGTATATTTGTGAGACTTTGGGCAAATGACATTCTCTTTGGACTTCAGCTTTCTAAAATAATGCTAATGGGGGTTGGAAGGGAGGTGGGATGGTTAATGGGTAGAAAAAATAGAAAGAAGAATAAGACTTAGTATTTGGTAGCACAACTGGGTGACTATATTCATAATAATTCAATTGTACATTTTAAAACAACTAAAATCATATAATTGGATTGTTTGTAACACAAAAGATAAATGCTTAAGGGGATGGATATCCCATTTTCCATGATGTGATTATTATGCATTGCATGCCTGTATCAAAATGTCTCATGTGACCCACAAATATATACCCACAAAAGTTAACAATTTAGAAAAATAATAAAAATTAAAAAATAAAGTAATGATAACAAAAAGCTTTTACTGAGTGCTTCCTGTGTGCCAAGCATCAGGAGAACCCTCAAGCTGCCTTATTAGATAGGTACTATTATTTTCCCTATTTTACATCTGAGAAAATGGAAGCTCAAGGAGGTTAAGTAACTTGCCTAAAATCACACAGCCAGCAAATATTTCTGCTGTTACTTTCATGGAGGCAGCATGACTCCCAAATCTGTGTTCCTAATCCAAAAAACATAAACTTGAAGATTTCTTTCCCTTTAAATTTCATGTTCTGAATGCAGTGAAAATGCAATTGGCTCAATGATTTTTAATAATGGGAATAGTTTTGGAAATTTTGTTGACCTAAACAAAAATGAGTCTAAACAGTGGAATGTTTAAACCAGAGTCTCTTCTCCTGGTTTCTGTCCCCTCTGAACTTGGAACCATACTGTTGTCAGGATGGGATCTCAGCATGGGTAACTTTGCCTTCAGGTACTTTAAACAATGATTTCTGCTAATTATGTTCATCTGGATTCTCCTAGGCACTAAATTCCTCCCATAGGAAAAATTTACTTTCTTCTTAAGGTTGTTGAATTACTCATTAGTTCCCTGGCACAAAAATTTACTGAATGATAACCGGATGACTTTCACAGTCATGTTTTGTTGTTATTTAGACCATCATTAATAGAATGTTTCTTCCTAGAGAGTATTTTAAACATATCCTTATAAAAGTCCCATTGAGTAGATATTATTAATATTGTCTCTATTTTCAACTGAGCCCCAGGGAGGCTGATTAACAAAGATGACTGAGGTCACAGCTGCTCCCTAAGGAAATTTACATTTCTGGAAAATAGTTAAGAGTTGCCGCTAGACTTTCAGTTATGCCAACTGCTCTATCTAACCTCCTTCTGCTATGACCCCTCCCCACTGTTGTCTGTATTAAAGGACATAGGAAGTACAGGTATATCTGTGATGTCCTATTTGATAGCTTTTCCAGAAATGTGAAGGAAGTAGATAGGTGATGTAAACTCTCACATAGACCTGCATGCACAAACAAGAACAAAAGGGCCATTAAGTGAGGGAGTGGGGAAATAGAGTTAAGAATTTAAGGCTGGGCACAGTGGCTCACGCCTGTAATCCCAGCACTTTGGGAGGCCAAGGTGGCGGATCACGAGGTCAGGAGATTGAGACCATCCTGGCTAACACGGTGAAACCCTGTCTCTACTAAAAATACAAAAAATTAGCCAGGCGTGGTGGTGGGTGCCTGTAGTCCCAGCTACTTGGGAGGCAGAGACAGGAGAATGGCGTGAACCCAGGAGATGGAACTTGCAGTGAGCCGAGATCGCGCCACTGCACTCCAGCCTGGGCGACAGAGAGAGACTCTGTCTCAAAAAAAAAAAAAAAAAAAAGAGAATTTAATGAGAATACAGTTCAAACTATTTGACTCCTTATAGACTAAATAGGCAGTTGATTAAAATAATATTCATTTCAACCAATTGATCTGGACTTTTTGTAGACTGTTGAAGTCTCATGAAAACATAAAACAAGATTGTTGCACTTTTAAAAGTCTCTATCAGACTTCCTTCAGGCTCTAGGCTCATGATAATGATTGGAATAAAACTGGTTTTGACCACAATGAGATATCATCTCACACCAGTTAGAATGGCAATCATTAAAAAGTCAGGAAACAACAGGTGCTGGAGAGGATGTGGAGAAATAGGAAGGCTTTTACACTGTTGGTGGGACTGTAAACTAGTTCAACCATTGTGGAAGACAGTGTGGCAATTCTTCAGGGATCTAGAACTAGAAATACCATTTGACCCAGCCATCCCATTACTGGGTATATACCCAAAGGAATATAAATCATGCTGCTGCAAAGACACAGGCACACATATGTTTATTGCGGCACTACTCACAATAGCAAAGATTTGGAACCAACCCAAATGTCCAACAATGATAGACTGGATTAAGAAAATGTGGCACATATACACCATGGAATACTATGCAGCCATAAAAAATGATGAGCTTATGTCTTTTGTAGGGACGTGGATGAAGCTGGAAACCATCATTCTCAGCAAACTATTGCAAGGACAAAAAACCAAACACCACATGTTCTCACTCACGGGTGGGAATTGAACAATGAGAACACTTGGACACAGGAAGGGGAACATCACACACCAGGGCCTGTTGTGGGGTGTGGGGAGCGGGGAGGGATAGCATTAGGAGGTACACCTAACGTAAATGACAAGTTAATGGATGCAGCACACCGGCATGGCACATGTATACATATGTAACAAACCTGCACATTGTGCACATGTACCCTAGAACTTAAAGTATAATAAAAACAAACAAAAACAAACAAACAAACAAAAAACAAAAAAAACTGGTTTTGAATGGAGCTCCTGCTAAACAGATGAATGGTGGGAGCTGGAAAGTTACTGAAGGACAGCCAGCTTTTTCTGCAAAACCACACAGCAATACACAAAGCCATAATGGTAAAAATTGCGTACATCTGAGAAGAAGGTATAAACTAACATGTTATGGGGAAATGAAGAGGGCTTGGGAGAGAGAGGAGGGTCGGAGATTAAAAGAACTCCAGGGATGGAGCCAGAACCCAAAAGAAACCAAAGAAAAAATAAAAGTAAATGCTAAACAGCTCCCCTTACAAATGACTTTCACATGCATGGTAAGAAGTGAACTAAAAGAAAACAAAACCAAGAGATATAATAGACACATTATGTAACAAGGATTACTAAGGAGGGGCTAAAACAAGAAACAGACTTGGAATAATTTGGATATGGAAAGTTTATGCAAGAGATAGACACAACAGGCTAGGGGGAATTATGCCAACATGGGTCAAGGCGGATATTGTGTCTGAAGGGAGAAAGAATGTCACATAATAAATAAGTTGGCAGTGGGACAAAATATGTTTGGATGGAAATAAAAGATAAAAGGAAACTAAGACTAATAGGAAATTATTATAGACCATCTGGGTCAGATAAAAAGGCAGCTCAGAATGTTTATGCAGATAAGGATGCCCAAGAAAAATACAGTATGGTCTGGGATAGTAACATTAATATCATATTACAGCAAAGTGATATATTGGTTACATTTCTGGAGAAGACAATGGAATTGATTACAGTCTAGTTTTGCAAATCTTTTGGAGGTCAGAAACCTAGAAAATGGCTAACAGAGAAGGATTCAGAACAGTTCAGGGCAGGCTGTCACCAGACAGACATCCATCCCTAACATTCAGTGGTGTCAGAGAAGACTTGATTATCTCACTCTTCCTGTCACACCACCACCCTGGTGACCTGCTGCAATTTGATGTTCTCTATTGACCCTGCCCTCATCATCTCAAAGACTTCTTCCTGCTCCAGACCCTCTCGCTCCTACTCCCTTCTTCAAGTCCAGCTCTTAAATTCATGCAGCACGGTGCCCTCATAAAAACATAATTGGCCTATCCCAGCAGCTTCTGGCCATTTGCCTGGTCACAGGGCTTTGGTCTGGAGGTTGTAGCCAGACAGCCTTGGAAAATGGGAACCAAAAAGAGACAATAGCTGAGATTTTGGCCCACTTACTCCTGGACCCTTGAACTGCAGTAGCAATGACAACAGCATCAAGCAAACTGTATTGTTTTTGTGTGCAGTGACAACCTTACTGACTGCCAGACAAGGTGGCCAGAATTTTGAAAACTTTAACAGCAGGGCTGTTACAGGCATACCTTGGAGATACTTCCAGTTCAGTTTCAGAACACTGCAGGAAAGTGCATATTGTAATAAAGTGAGTCACAAGAATTTTTGGTTTCCCAGTGCATATAAAAGTTATGTTTACATAATACTGTAGTATATTAACTGTGAAATAGCATTATGTCTAAAAAACAATATATATCCCTTAATTTTAAAATACTTTATTGCTAAAAAATGCTAATGACCATCTGAGCCTTCAGTGAGTTGCAATCTTTTTCTGGTGGAGGGTCTTGCCTTGATGTTGATGGCTGCTGAATGATCAGGGTGGTGGCGGCTGAAGGATGGGATAGCTGTGACAATTTATTAAAATAATACAGCAATTCAGTTTGCCAGATCAAATGACTTTCCCTTTCGTGAAAGATTTCTCTGTAGCATGTGATGCTGTTTGATAGCGTTTTACCCTCAGTGCGACTTCTTCCAAAATTGGAGTCAGTCCTCTTAAACCCTAATGCTGCTTTATCAACTAAGTTTACGTAATATTCTAAATCCCTTGTTGTCATTGCACCAATGTTTATAGCATCTTCACCAGGAGTAGATTCCATCTCAAGAGACCACTTGCTTTGCACATCCATAGGGAGCAACTCCTCATCTGTTCAAGCTTTTTTTTTCTTAGATGGAGTCTCACTCTGTCACCCAGGCTGGAGTGCAGTGGCACGATCTCGGCTCACTGTAACCTTGCCTCCCGGGTTCAAGCAATTCTCCTGCCTCAGCCTCCTGAGTAGCTGGGATTACAGGCATCTGCCACCATGCCCGGCTAATTTTTGTGTTTTTGTATTTTTAGTAGAGACGGGGTTTCACCATGTTGGCCAGGCTGGATCTCGCACTCCTGACCTCAGGTGATCCACCTGCCTCAGCCTCCCAAAGTGCTGGGATTACAGGTGTGAGCAAGTTTTATCATGAGATTACAACAGTTTAGCCCCATCTTCAAGCTCCACATTTCTTTTGCTATGTTCACCACATCTACAATTACTTCCTCCATGGAAGTCTTGAGCCTCTCAAAGTCATCCGTGAGGGCTGGAATCAGCTTCTTTCAAACTCCTGTTAATGTTCACATTTTGACCTCCTCCCATGAATCCTAAATGTTCTTAACGGCATCAAGAATGGTCAATCGCCACGAAATACTATGCAGCCATAAAAAGGAACAAGATCATGCTCTTTGCAGGGGCATGGATGGAGGTGGAGGTCATTATCCTTAGCAAACTAACATAGGAACAGAAAACCAAACATTGGGCCGGCTGCAGTGGCTCACGCCTGTAATCCCAGCACTTTAGGAGGTAGAGGTGGGCGGATCTCGAGGTCAGGAGATCGAGACCATCCTGGCTAACATGGTGAAACCCCATCTCTACTAAAAATACAAAAAATTAGCCGGGCATGGTGGCAGGCGCCTGTAGTCCCAGCTACTCGGGAGGCTGAGGCAGGAGAATGGCATGAACCTAGGAGGTGGAGCTTGCAGTGAGTCGAGATTGTGCCACTGCACTCCAGCCTGGGCAACAGAGCAAGACTCCATCTTAAAAAAAAAAAAAAAAAAAAAAAAAAGAAAGAAAGAAAACCAAACACTGCATGTTCTCACTTATAAATGGGAGCTGAATGATGAGAACCCATGGGAGGTACAACACACACTGGGGCCCTTTGCGGGTGGGGAGGGAGAGCATCAGGAAGAATAGCTAGTGGATGCTGGGCTTAATACCTAGGTGATGGAATGATCTGTGCAGCAAACAAATGTGGCAAATGTTTACCTATGTAACAAATCTGCGCATCCTGCTCATTACCCCTGAACTTAAAATAAAAGCTGAAGATTTTAAAAAAAAAGAAGTGAGTAAGGAGCCCCCATGGCTGGCTAGATCCGTTCCAAACCTGTCAGGGGTAGCTTCCCAGAGATGGGCATGCACATTAGAGAGAAAAAGTATTCTTAAAATGACCCCATATGGTAATTAGCTATTCAAGGGTCATGCATATGGACTACATATCATGCATGTACTTAAAATTATGGGATAGAGGCAATACATAAGTGCACAAGGGCCAAAGTAATGAAGCAACCCACCTATCAATCAAAAGACAGAACTGGCTAGAGATTAGACAGCTAGGGAAGAGAAGAGAAAAAAAAAAACGTATAAAAAGACACAAGCTACACCAGACTGGGCTGATCTCATTTTGCAGAGGTGAGTTCACAGTTCACTCTCCCCTTTGAGAGTGTAATACTGTGTGTAATAAACTTTTGCTGCTTTGCTTTGGGAAAAAAAAAAAAGGAATGGCGAATGCTTTGGTTTTAATTTACTTTGTCCATCAGCGGAATCACTATGACAGCTACAACCTTATGAAGTGAATTTCTTAAATAATAAGACTTGCAAGTAAAACGTACTTCTTGGTCTATAGGCTGCAGAATGGACGTTGTGTTAGTGGGCATAAAAACATTAGGTCAGGCACGGTGACTCACGCCCGTAATCCCAGCACTTTGGAAAGCTGAGGCAGGTGGATCACCTGATGTCAGGAGTTTGAGACTAGCCTGTCCAACATGGCGAAACCCTGTCTCTACTAAAAACACACAAATTAGTCAGGTGTGGTAGCATGCACATGTAATCCCAGCTACTTGGGGGGCTGAGGCAAGACGATTGCTTGAACCTGGGAGGTGGAGGTTGCAGTGAGCCGAGATTGTACCACTACACTCCTGCCTGGGTGACAGAGTGAGACTGTCTCCAAAAACACAAAAACAGCATTAATCTTCTTGCATATCTCCATCAGAACTCTTGGCTGACCAGGTGCATTGCCAATGGTCAGTAATATTTTGAAATAAATCTTTTTTCTTTTTAACTGTAGGTCTCAACAGTGGGCTTAAAATATTCATTAAACCATACCATAAACAGATGTGCTATCATCCAGGCTTTGCTGTTCCATTTCTAGAGCACAGGCAGAGTAGATTTAGCATAATTCTGAAGGGCTCTAGGATTTTCAGAATGGCAAATGAGCACTGATTTCAATTTAAAGTCACCAGCTGCATTAGCCTCTAACAAGAGAGTCAGCCTGTCCTTTGAAGCTGTGAAGCCAGGCATGGACTTTTCCTCTTTAGCTATGAAAATCCTAGATGACATCTTCTTTCAATAGAAGACTGCTTTGCCTACCCTGAAAATCTTTGTTAGTGTTATAGCTCTTTTAGAATTTGTCTAGCAGGTTTTCTGGTTTTCATCCAAAAACCCCCATGAAGGGGGGGAAAAAAAGAGGAAAATCTGTTTAGTGTAGCCACCTTCATCAATGACCTTAGCTAGATCTTCAAGACAACTTGTTGCAGTTTTTACAATAGCACTTGCTACTTCACCTTTTCTGTCATGGAAATGGCTTCTTTCTTCTAACCTCATGAACCAACCTCTGCTAGCTTCAAGCTTCTTCTGCAGCTTCCTCACCTCTCTCAGCCTTCATAGAATTGAAGAGAGTTAGGCCCTTGCTCTAGATTAGGCTTTGGCTTAAGGGAATGTTGTGGCTGGTTTGATCTTCTACCCAGACCACTCAAACTTTCTCTATATCAGCAATTATGCTGTTTCTCTTTCTTATCATTCACGTGTTCACTGAAGTAGCACTTTTAATTTCATTCAAGATCTTTTTCTTTGCATTCACAAGTTGGCTGCTAGATGCAAGAGGCCTAGCTTTCAGCCTATCTCAGCTTTTGACACGCCTTTCTCACAAAGCTTAATCATTTCTAGTTTTTGATTTAAAATGAGAGATGAGGCCAGGCATGGTAGTTCATGCCTGTAATCCCAGCATTTTGAGAGGCTGAAGCAGGTGGATCACTCGAGGTTCGGAGTTTGAGATCAGCCTGGCCAATGTGGTGAAATCCTCTCTACTAAAAATACAAAAATTAGCCTGGCATGGTGGCGGGTGCCAGATACTCAGGAGGCTGAGGCAGGAGAATCGCTTGAACTGGGGAGGCGGAGGTTGCAGTGAGCCAAGGTCGTGCCACTGCACTCCAGCTTGGGTGACAGAGCGAGACTCTTTGTCTCAAAAAATAAATAAATAAATAAATAATAAAATGAGGGATGTGTGGCTCTTTCACTTGAATGCTTAGAGGCCATTGTAGGTTATTAATTGGCCTAATTTCAATATTTTTGTATCTTAGGTAATAGGGAGGCCTGAGGAAAGGAAGAAAGAGGGGGAAGTCGGTCGGTGGATCAGTCAGAACCCATCCAGCATTGATCAGTTAAGTTCACCATCTTATATAGGTGTGGTCTATGCTGCCCAAAACAATTACCACAGAAACATCGGAGATCGTTGATCACAGATCACTGTAACAGATATAATAATAATGAACAAGTTTGAAATATCGTGAGAATTGCCAAAATATGACAGAGACATGAATTGAGTATATGTTGTTGGAAAAATGGTGCCAATAGACCCGCTCAGCGCAGCGTTGCCACAAACCTTTAATTTGTAAAGAAATGCAGTATCTGTGAATTGCAATATAATGAAGCGCAATAAAGCGGAGCACAATTAATATGGTGTGCCTGTGGGTCCTCACTTCATTTCACCTTCTCATCTGGGTTCAGAGCCCTCTTCTTTCACTGCACATATCATTGCTGTGTTATAGATGAAGAGGGCTGCATCCCACTCTGGATTTCAACTCCCCGAGGATCGAGATTGAGTTGCTTATGGCCCTCTTGCCAGAGATTAGCATCCTGTCTAGTAATTATGGATGTTCAGTTATGATATAGAGTGAATAGAATAATTAGGGAGTAACTGGAAGGAATCAAGTTTTAAATATAAGATTTCTGTTATAATGGCAATAGGGGAGATAATTTGCCAAAAAGGCTGGTGGAGTGGGAGTGGATGGCAAGGGATGGTACCTGTCTGGTGTCCTTCAATTCAATCTGGAATTCCCTCCGCTTCTTACATGAAGACCAGTCCCAGGCATGCTGTTCTGATCCAAGAGTTAAAAGTACATCCTATGAAGATTTGAAAGATAAATGATTCCGGCATGGATGCCCCTTGTCTATTTTTCTTGTCACTTCTATGAAAATGTCAAGTTACCTGGGAATCAACTCCTCTGGGCCCCCTATAACACCTAATGATTTTGAATGGAATCTTGTAGAATATTTATGTCTTAAAAAAATAGAGCGAACGAGCCTAGGCAACATGGCAAAACCCTGTCTCTACAAAAAAAACAAAAATTAGCTGGGCATGGTGGTGCACACTTGTAGTCCTAGCCACTCAGGAGGCTGAGGTGAGAGGATCGCTTGAGTCCAGGAATTTGAGGTTGCAGTGAGCCATGATCACACCACTGCACTCCAGTCTGGACAACAGAGCCATATCCTTTCTCAATAATAATAATAATAATAATACATAAAATAGAATAAATGTATTGCAATGATCTCAGCCTCATTAATAACATGTTCTAACCTAGTAGTTCCCAAACAGCTATATTAGAATCATCTAGGGAGTTTAAAAAGGAAAAAAACCAAAACAGATTCCTGGTTCCAACCCTGGCTTTATGAAGTCAAACTTTCTATATGGTATCAAGGAATCTATGTTTTAAATCATTAGGTGTTTCCAAAGAATACTTTGATTTAGAAACTACTTCTTTGATCAAATTAATTTCTTAAACAAATAAAGGGCCACTTATTTGGTTTGTGAATGTCTCCAATGAACATCTGTACTATTTTTAGAGACAATAAAAGTCACAGAAGACAGGTAGAGTTAGTAACTAATTAGTAACTACAGTTCTTTTAAATGATAATTTTTTCTCTTATGTGGGCAATTACCAAATAAAATTCATTACTATTTAGCTATATCTCCATTTAGCCTGTATAATAATAATGATCTATTAGTTTGTCTTTCAATAGTGCTTATTAGTGGGTTCGATATATATAGGTCAGTGTGTCGAACAAATTACCCTCAGAAGCAATTATCAGTTCTTTATGTTCTTGCTTAAGGAATTGTTGGATATGACTGGTGTGATTGAGGGATGTGAAATAGAGGTGATGAAGGAGCTTCTTCAAGATTCCAGGAAATTCAGAAAGGAAGAGAATACGGACTGTTTTGAAGTTGATTCTAACAAACCATTTGCCTGCAGTTGAAAGGTTTTGCTATATTTTTTTGAGTAAATAACTGTGATTTGGAAAGGGACACAGTAAAAAAGATTTTAAAATCTCCACCTTCAATGAGTTTTCTGTTTCTTCTGGGAGATAAGTTATGCAGCCATAATTTAAGGTAAAACACAATGTGCTATAGCAGAAGTAAAACCAAAAGTGTTCTAAAAAGGTGAAATTAGCTTAGAACTATGCTAAAAAGACTAATGACGTGCTATCAGAGAGCAAAACACATTATGAAATTACAGTAAATAAGTGTTTGTGGTATCTGTACAAAAATTAGACAGATAGGACAGGAAGAGTCCATAAAGACTGTATTCTATACAATCATTTAAGAATAAAAGAGATAAATCAGTGGTGAAAGAACAGTTTATTCAACAAATAGTTATTAAAACATTGCAAAGCAGATTTAGATCAGAATGAATTAGATTTTTCTGTCGTATCATCACTAAGATCTAATTATTAAAAGTGATAATACTCAATATTAGCAAGAGTATAGTGAGATAAATACTCTCTTATACAGCTACTGGGGATACAAATTAGACTAATCTCTCTGGAAAGCATTTTGTAATATGAATTAATACATTTTAAAATATTCACAATCTTTTAATAGTTCCACTTATATGCATACACATACACATATGTATGTATATCTATGTACATGTATGTGTTCACAGATATACATATATACACACATATCCCTAAGATTGTGAAATTTCAGTTAAATTCATTTATAAAATGGTCACTATAGTGTTATTTATGATGGTAATAAAATTAGAAAATTCATAGTTGATTAGGACAATTATTAAGTAAATTGTATTACTTCAACACAGTGGAATAGGTCTGTTAAAAGTTATCTGTTGGCAGTTTTTTATTGATATGTTCGATAAAAAAGGTAGGATACTATCACCTCAGTATTCAAAACATAGAAAACCAACCAGCTGGAAATATATATTCCAAAATGTTCATCTTGCTGTTTTGGAATTATGGGATTATGGGTGTGCCCCTCCTCTTTCCAAATTTTCTGCAATCTACATTTTAGAGTAGTTTCTTGACATTCACAGGTGATGTATCTGAAACAGTTGCTAATCCTCAAATGTGAATACTTTCACTTTCTCAGACTTTAGTTCTGTCTATTGCAGCACTGTCTCTTTATCATCAGCACTGTCAGTTGGATTTCTTCTCACACAGAATATTTTTGTTACATCCTTAAAGCTACTATATACTTGGTAATGAGAAGAGAACAACAGAGCCACATTGAGCTCAGATTCTGGTCTTGCGGTCAGCTAGCAGTAATAGCAGTAGAGAGCAAATACTTCCCTTTCTAAATGTCCCCTTCCACGACATTCAATTAATAACAATAACAATAAAAAGAATTATTTGATATGGACAATTGACATTCTCTGATTCTAATATAAAGAATGAATACATGTATCTTAAGAAAATGTTGCTATTTTTCTTGATCAAAGTTAACGTAATGTTGGCCAAGCAAGCCCTAAAAGCCAGATTGTATCCTCTAAGTCCCTCCTATAGAGAAATGTAGGAGGCACCGCTCTGCCAGCCTCACTCATCAATAAGCCATTCTGGTTTTGCACCATCTGCAAAGAATTCATGATCAAATTCACATCAAAGCAAAATTACCAACTACCAGGTCATAGAACTTAGGTCTTTTTCTTGAGTAATTAAACTGAGGAACAGTAAGTTTATTATGCCAAAGTCTATGTTAAAATTCAAAGGTAAGGGAGAGCAATGGAAAGAGAAAAAAGAAATTAATTTGATGTGGGATGGTGCAAGTACGATTTTCATTAAGTATTCACAGGTGCAAATGTAATTTTATTTCTCTACGACTAAAAGTAACTATATCCTCAGTCTTCCCCAGCCCCAGCCCCACAAATTCTTAATCTGAAAACAAAACTTTCAAAATTATTAACAGAAGGTGGATTGATAATACAAAGACTCTATCATGGCAATATTCTTTCTTCCTGTGGTAAATCTGAAAGGTTAGTTTTGTTTGATCCAAGTTGTTCCTGATTTTTTTTTAAAAGTGGCATATGACTTAGGTGAAAGGGGAGCAAGTACAGTATGACTGGAGCATATAATATGTGGGTCAGTGTAAGAGGTAGTGTTTGATTTTAGTGGTAAGAAGGAGGTAAGACTAGAAAGGTAGGTTGGAGTTAATCAGGATCCAAGTAAAAAAAAAAAACCGAAATATTTCTAGATATTTTAAACAGAAGGAATTTAATACAAGGAATTGGTTACATGGGTAAGGGAATGAGAGAGAGAGATTTATAATAAAAAGGGGGTGGAGTGGTTAGTAAACAACAGTTTAGTAACTGCATGAAGCGACTACAGTTCTTAGGCCTGGGAGACAAAAGGATGAATCTGGTGTTACCGGAGTCCAAATGTGCAGAGAAAGGCTGTTTGGCTATGCTAGAACTCATGGCTGTTGCCGCTACTATGGAGATAATGTGGGTTGCGGAAGGATACAGCCACTTGCGGAGGAGTTCTAGAAGCGGATAAGAAGGAGGAAGAATGGATTCTCCATCTTTTTATTTTCTACGTCCTGCCAGTGTCCTCTACTGGCAAAAAATAACAACAACAACAACAACAGCCAGTTGTCAAGGAATTCTGGGAAAAGTAGTATGTAGACCCTCAGGTTTAGAATTACAGAGCAGAATAAAGAAAAGTTGATATGGGCTAAAATACTATAGGTCTAAACTGAGAAATGTCAGTAAGGAATTTGGACTTTTAGAGAAGTTGTAAGGACTTGTAATAAGTTTAATTATATGAATAAAGTCTCAGGAAAGAAGTGGGCTAGATTTCTCAGTTTCACATCAAGGTACCCAATCCCATCCCACCCAGCCCACCAAGCTACTATGGGATTTCCTTTCTCTCTACGCATGTGTATTAGAGTACATGCTTTTTCCTATCCACTCCTTTAACTTCTCCCAGGGCCAGAGAAGAAATTTAAGGACTAGGAATAAGACATTTTATAATGGTACCATTCATTGTTAGTGAATGTGGAGAATGTTTGTAATGGAACCCAGAACAGGAAGAGAGGAAAATGCATCATTTTTAGCATAATAATGGCCAGAGTTAATATTTCACAAGAAATAAAATCATACAAAATCAACATACAAAAATCAGCATTTCTATATGCCAGCAGTGAACAATCTGAAAAAGAAATGAAAAAAGTAATTCCATTTACAATAGCCACAAAAAATTAAATACTTAGCAATCAACTTAACCAAATAAGTGAAAGATCTCTCTGTAATGAAAACTATAAAACACAAATGAAAGAAATTGAAGAGGACACCAAAAACTGGAAAGATATTCCATGTTCATGGACTGGAAAATTCAATATTGCTAAAATGTCCATACTACCCAATCTACAGATTCAATGTAAACCAATGACATTCTTCACAGAAATAGAAAAAAACCTATAATTTATATAAAACCACAAAAGACCTAGAATAACCAAAGCTATCCTAAGAACAAAGAACAAATCTGCAGTACCTAACTTCAAGTTATACTACAGAGCTATAGGAAACAAAACAGCATGGTACTGGCGTAAAAACAGACACATAGACCAATGGAAGAGAATAGAGAACCCAGAAACAAATCCACACACCTACAGTGAACTCATTTTCAACATAGGTGCCAAAAACATGCACTGGGGAAAAGATAGTCTCTTCAATAAATGGTGCTGGGAAAACTGGATATTCATATGCAGAAGAATGAAACTAGATCCTTATCTTTTGACCTATAGAAACGTCAAATTAAAATGGATTAAACACTTAAATCTAAGATCTGAAACTATGAAACTATGACAAGAAAACCTCAGGGAAAATGTCCAAGACATTGGGTCTGGGCAAAGATTTCTTGAGCAATACCCCACAACCACAGGCAACCAAAGCAAACATGGACAAATGAGATGACATCAAGTTAAAAAGCTTCTGCATGGCAAAGGAAACAATCAACAAAGTCAAGAGACAACCCACAAAATGGGAGAAAATATTTGCAAACGACCCATCTGACAAGGGATTAATAACCAGAATATATAAAGAGCTCAAAGAACTCTATAGGAAAAAAATCTAAGCATCCAATTAAAAAATAGGCAAAATATTTGAATAGACATTTCTCAAAAGAAGACACATAAATGGCAAACAGGCATATGAAAAGGTGCTCACCATCACTGATCATCAGAGAGATGCAAAACAAAACAACAATGAGATATCTCACCCCAGTTTAAAAGGCTTACATACAAAAGACAGGCAATAACATGCTGGCGAGGACGTGGAGAAAAGGGAAGCTTTCCACCATTGGTGGAAGTGTAAATTAATTCAACCACTATGGAGAACAGTTTGGAAGTTCCTTAAAAAAACGAAAAATAGAGCTACCACATGATCCAGCAATCTCACTGCTGAGTATATACCCAAAAGAAAGGAAATCAATATATGGAAGAGATATCTGTTTGCAGAGACACTCTTTGCAGCAGCACTGTTCACAATAGCCAATATTTGGAAGCAACCTAAGTGTCCATCAACAGATGAATGAATAAAGAAAATGTGATACATATATACAAGGGAGTACTGTTAATCTGTAAAAAAGAATGATATCCTGTCATCTGTAACAACGTGGACCAAATTGGAGATCATTATGTTAAGTGAAATAAGCCAGGCACAGAAACACAAACATTGCATGTTCTCACTTCTTTGTGGGATCTAAAAATCAAAACAACTGAATTCATGGACATAGAGAGTAGAAGGATGATTACCAGAGGCTGGGAAGGGTAGTGAGGGGCTGGCGGTGGGGGGAAGTGGGGATGGTTAATGGGTACAAAAAAATAGAATGAATAAGACCTCCTATTTGACAGCACAACAGGGTGACTATAGTCAATAATAACTTAACCAGCACATTTTAAAATAATGAGAAGAGTGTAATTGGGTGGTTTGTAAAAAGGATAAATGTTTGAGGGGATGGATACCCCATTCTCCATTATGCAATTATGACATATTGCATGCCTGTATCAAAACATCTCATATACCCCATAAATAAATACACCTACTATTTACCCACAAAAATTAAAAATTAAAAAAAAAGAAGTAGGTTTACCTTTTTTTTTTTTTTTTTGAGACAGAGCCTCACTCTGTCACCCAGGCTGGAGTGCAGTGGTATGATTACAGCCTTTAAAACCTGGTTCCAAATGCTCCTCCAGCCCAGCCTACTGAGTAGCTGGAAGCACAGATGTGCACCACCTCACCTGGCTAAGTTAAATAATTTTTTTTTTTTGTAAAGATGGGGTCTTGTTTTGTTGCCCAGGCTGGTTTCAAACTCCTGGCTTCAAGCAGTCCTCCCTCTTTGGCCTCCAAAAGTGCTGGGATTACAGGTGTGAGACACTGCACCTGCCCCCACATCCTTGATGTTAGTAATATGAATTTCTCATGTTGGTTAGATGGCATCATCTTCACAAAATAGAGGAATATTTGTAGTTGCACATTGTGTTGGTTTTAGCTATTTTGGGAGAAAAACAGTTCCAGCTTAGTGAAAGTCCCACTGTTTTGCCATTATTCCTATGGATCACACTTGGAACATACTTGTTAACTTTGCCTGGAATTTTGTTACCAAAGTTCTGGGATTAGTTGAATCTCTTTTCCTTTGTCCCTGAAAGAGCAGGAAGTTATTACAACACATAATCTTCTTGGCCCTTCTTCTGGTCTTCACCTATACTTTTATATGTTGGTTGTCATAGAAATGTGCTGTCTTCCACAAATTGGTTATCTTAGACTTATCTGGAAGGTCACAATTCTGTAACGGAACAAAGACTCTGGGCCTAAATATGAAAGTAGAAAGTAGACATAATTGTATCCTCTCTATCCTGGGTCTCATTACAAAATTTCTTCAAATCACTTTACTGTAAATAGCACTGGGTGCAAAATGCTTCTCTCTTAGCACCAGGTTCCTCTTCCCACTAAAGGAAGAGAGAGGGTTTCAAGTCATCTTACCACTTATTTTTGCTCTTGTTGCCCAGGCTGGAGTGCAATGGCCCGATCTTAACTCATTGCAACCTCTGCCTCCCGGGTTGAAGCAATTCTCCTACCTCAGCCTCCTGAGTAGCTGGGATTACAGGCATGCACCACCATACCCGGCTATTTTTTTGTATTTTTAGTAGAGATAGGGTTTCTCCTTGTTGGTAGGGCTGGTCTCGAACTCCCAACCTCAGGTGATCCACCCGCCTCAGCCTCCCAAAGTGGTGGGATTACAGGTATGAGCCACCATGCCCGGCCCATATATTTTTATATATTAGTAAGATATGGGGGACAGGGAGGCAGGCAAGCAGGCAGCGTTTCATTCTCAAGAGACTGTTGACATACATCTCCCCCTTTGCAACTGCACAAAGAAACAGCAGGGCTATTGGACATGAAGGTTTGGTCAGAGGTGGGGCAGTGGTGGGGATAAGTTAGCTTAGAATAAGGGGAACTCTCTTGCTCCCCTTAGAATATTAGCCTTGAGGGTTGAAATGATCCATTAAGCTGATGGATGAAGATAGTTATTCAAATGAAAAGATCAAGGTCTTCTCTGGGTCTCAAAGCAGCACCTTCTAAGCATAAGACCCCAAACTACAACACTCCTAGAAGAAAACATGGTGGAAAAATTTAATGACATTAAACTTGGCCATGAATTTCTTGGCTATGACGCCAAAAGTACAGGCAACAAAATAAAAAAAAACAGACAAATGAAACTATAGCAAACTTAAGAACTTTTGTGCATCAAAGAACACAAGAGGGTGAAAATGCAATTTATAAGCCTGGTTATGGTGGCTTACACCTGTAATCTCAGCACTTTGGGGGGCCAAGGTAGGAAGATTACGTGAGGCCAGGGGTTTGAGACGAGCCTGGGTAACATAGTGAGATCCTGTTTCTACAAAAAAAAAATTTTAATTAGCTAGTTTTGGTAGTGTGTGCCTGTGGTCTCAGCTACTTGGGAGGCTGAAACAAAAGGATTGCTTGAACCCAGGGGTTCAAGGCTGCCATGAGACATGATCATGCCACTGCACACCAGCCTGAGTGACAGAGAGAGACCCAAACTTGAAAAAAAAAAGTTTACAGAATAAAAGGAAATATTTGTTAATCATAGATTTAATGAGGGTTAATATCCGGAATATGTAAAGAGCTCCTACAATTACAAAAACATCAAATAAGCTGATTTTAAAATGAGCAAAAGTCTGAATAGACATGTCTCCAAAGATGATATACAAATAGCCAATACACATATGAAAAGATGCTCGTCATCACCAATCATCAGAGATCCATTCTGCTTTCAAGTTAAATTGAAAACTGGAGGGGCCAGCTATTTTCCACAAGCTCAAGGTGACCACTGCCATGTGGTTTCAAGTGGTTCTGTACTGGCAAAATAATTAGGAGAACCTTTCCCTGTAGGTAGTTTTTTGGACCCAAACCAGCATGTCTAGAAAACATTCCTAAAATTTTAAGTCCATTTTGCTGAGACTATTTTCCTTCTTCTAATTTTTATTCTTTTATTAATAATCTCAATTTTTCAAACCAGATGGGACCTTTGAGCTATACTAGATCAGACATTTAAAATTTTTTATTTTATTTTATTATTATTATACTTTAAGTTTTAGGGTACATGTACACAATGTGCAGGTTAGTTACATATGTATACATGTGCCATGCTGGTGTGCTGTACCCATTAACTCGTCATTTAGCATTAGGTATATCTCCTAGTGCTATCCCTCCCCCCTCCCCCCACCCCACAACAGTCCCCAGAGTGTGATGTTCCCCTTCCTGTGTCCAAGTGTTCTCATTGTTCAATTCCCACCTATGAGTGAGAACATGCGGTGTTTGGTTTTTTGTCCTTGCGATAGTTTGCTGAGAACGATGATTTCCAATTTCATCCATGTCCCTACAAAGGACATGAACTCATCATTTTTTATGGCTGCATAGTATTCCATGGTGTATATGTGCCACATTTTCTTAATCCAGTCTATCGTTGTTGGACATTTGGGTTGGTTCCAAGTCTTTGCTATTGTGAATAGTGCCGCAATAAACATACGTGTGCATGTGTCTTTATAGCAGCATGATTTATAGTCCTTTGGGTATATACCCAGTAATGGGATGGCTGGGTCAAATGGTATTTCTAGTTCTAGATCCCTGAGGAATTGCCACACTGACTTCCACAATGGTTGAACTAGTTTACAGTCCCACCAACAGTGTAAAAGTGTTCCTATTTCTCCACATCCTCTCCAGCACCTGTTGTTTCCTGACTTTTTAATGATTGCCATTCTAACTGGTGTGAGATGGTATCTTATTGTGGTTTTGATTTGCATTTCTATGCATCCCATTTCAGTTAGTTGTCAACACTGAATTAGTTAGCAATATTTAATTGCTTGCCTGTGCCTCCTACCTGAGTTAGTTGCCAGCATTAGGAAAGCACAGGATTTTTGCCACACACACAAATTTCAAAATCTGCATTTCTGACTATTCTTGAAAAATTAGGCCTGTCAAGGCAAAAACTGATCAGAAGTTATTTGGTGACAAACTCGGACAATTCATGCACTCCTCAATTGGCAACGCTTCCTATCCTGATCATTCTGCTTTTTTTTTTTTTTTTTGAGACGGAGTCTCACTCTGTCGCCAGGCTGGAGTGCAGTGATGCGATCTCAGCTCACTGCAACCTCTGCCTCCCAGGTTCAAGTGATTCTCTTGCCTCAGCCTCCCGAGTAGCTGGGACTATAGGTGCACACCACCACTCCCAGCTAATTTGTGTATTTTTAGTAGAGACAGAGTTTCACCATGTTGGCCAGGATGGTCTTGATCTCTTGACCTCGTGATCCACCCGCCTCGGCCTCCCAAAGTGCTAGAATCACAGGCGTAAGCCACTGCACCCAGCCCATTCTGCTTATTTATGAGACCAGAAAAGCCTCTGGAAAGACAAGAGCACATTCCTGGGAGGCCATTTAGAGCATCACATTGTGGAGAGTCCTTAAATGGAAGCTTGCTTATAATTCCAGCCATGGTGGATTTAACACCAGAGTTGTGGGACAGATTATTTTTCTATGTCAGGTTTGAATTGACAAGCAATATACCACCAATTCAATGAGAATTAGACCATGAAGATCAAGACTAGCTATAATTTTGGAACAAAAGAATTATATCAGTTGGTCTCAGATTTGTTATTAAAAAACAAATAAATGCATGAAACACACAGCCTGAAAAGTCAGCAGGGACAAAGAAATAGCTTCAGCAACCTCAAAGAAGGTTATTTTCTAGGTAAACAATAATACTCTACAACATTTATTGAGTATTTACCATGTGTTAGGCACTATTCTAAGCAATTTATGTGAATTTTCATATTATATATGTACATAGAACCTAATGAGGCACACACCATTATTGCCCTTGTTTTACAAATGAAGAAGCTCAGGCTCAGAGAGGTTAAGTAACTTGACCAAGGTCACATGGCTACTAGGTGGTGGAGTTACAAGTTTGAGTATAGATTAGTTGAACTGCAGAGGCCACTACCACCCTCTAAACCATTCCCTACAGACTCATAACTTATTTTGCAGCTGTACAGCCTTGAGTAGTTTCTGAAATTATTTGGTGCTCTTAAATTCCCCAATGCACGGCTGACATAAGCTCTGAGAATAAAAACAACTAGAACATGAATAATATGTGACTGATGTTCAGTTCAGTGCTCAGTGAATATTAACAATGTAGTGATCAGCACCAACCCCTGAGACAAAACACATTAGCGTGGCAGCATTGTGGAGCGGAGAACTTGGGTATTGTAAGCAATCTCTGCTCTGCACTTCCTAGCTGCATGTCCTTAGGCAAGTCAGGCTCAGTTCCTACTTCTGCAAAACAGATAATGGTATCTTACCTCCCAAAATCATTGTGAAGAATAACTGAGTGAACATCTACGTACGCCTGGTAGGCAATGGGCAGTCCAAAAATGCTAGTGGCAACCTCTTGCACTGCCCTCCAGCAGTTTAAAGTTGTAATTTTGTTACTAACAAAGATATTTGGTGGCATGGATATGGTTTTTGCTTGGATAACTGCCTGATGGTGCTCTGGAAGCAGTTATCACTAAGTCTCAACCTGTTTCACATGAGTGTTTAAAGACGCCTTCTTTGGCTCCTACCAGTTTCTTCAGGTGCATTTCCAGGGGGTGGTAAGTAATAATCCTTAATCCCTCTATTTGAGGGGCAACGCCTTGTCAAGGTGCATTGTACTTGACATGTGGGAACATGGAGAGAGATTAGAGTCACTGAATTTCTGTAAAACTATTATATCACTTCCTTCCCTGAAGAATAGGATCTTGTCTGATTTCTGGTTGAATTTTGTTTTGTTCATCTGCATTGGGAAAATTCACTGATGTACATCCCTCAGTCTACCTAGGCCCCAGGCTACCTAGAGATTAAACATGGAGTTTTTCCCAAGGATATTATTTTGCCTGTAATTGTTTTTTAATTTTCCTGAAGGCCCAGCTCTGCAATTTTCTGTGTTTTTTTTTTCCCTCACAAGGAATGATCAAGCTTAAAGTGAATAGTAATAGAACTATTCATTTGTTCCAAATCTACTTTCCACTGAGACTCATAAAATTATACTTGTAGAGTTAGAGAGGACCTTGTTCAAACATCTTATTTTACTGAAGGAGACACAGAGATCCAGAGGTTGATTGATTCGTCTTCTATCACTCCGCTAAGCTGATAGAGTCCAGACTAGGACCTGGTCTCTTGGCCTCTGGTCTGGGGCTCTTTCCATGTCACCCCTTACAAACAAAAAATTTATTGATTAGGCTCTGCTAATGAAGAGGCTTCTAAACTAGCATTTTGCTTCTGAGAGTGAAAGTAAGTGGTTGACTTCTCATTACCTCCACCCATTACCACCTCCATCTCCCACCAAGCTGCCATCATCTTCTAACAGGCCTTCCTGCATTCAACCTTGCCTTTCTACCTAATCTCTTCTCCACACAGCAGCCAGAGGGCCACATTAAAATATCAGTTAGATCACAGCACTGCTCAGTTTAAAACCCTGCAATGACTCCCTGTTTGATTAAGAGGAAAAGCAAAAATTCTTACAATGACTGATAGTACCCCACATGTTTTCCTCCTAACCCCCTAAATACATTTTGTCCCAAATATGATGATGTCCTTGCCACTCCTTGAACAATATGCTCCCAGTCTCACAGTCCATGCACTAGCTGTTCCCTCTGAAACTCACATATTTATATTGGCTCACTCCTTCACCTCCTACATGCTTTGCTCAGGTGTCACCTCTGTGGGGCCTACACAAACTACCCAATTTAAAGTTGCAAACCCTTTTCCAGTGCTACCCTGCTTTATTTTTCTCCATGATACTTATCACCACCTAAATTTACACGCTCAGGCTTCCATAACAAAATACCCCAGACCAGATGGCTGGAGTGCATTGGGGCAATCTCGGCTCACTGCAACCTCCGCCTCCCAGGTTCAAGCAATTCTCCTGCCTCAGCCTCCTGAGTAGCTGGGATTACAGGCACACACCACCATGCCTGGCTAATTTTTGTATTTTTAGTAGAGACAGAGTTTCACCATGTTGGTCAGGTTGGTCTCGAACTTTTGACCTCATGATCCGCCTACCTCGTCCTCCCAAAATGCTGGGATTACAGGTGTGAGCCACCATGCCCAGCCAAAAACAGACATTTATCTTGTCACAGTTCTGGAGGCTGGAAGTCCATGATCAGCATGCCAACAAATTCCATTTCTGGTGAAGGCTCTCTTCCTGACTTGTAGATGACTGCCTTCTCACTGTGTCCTCATGTGAGGCCTTTCCCCATGAGATAAGAGAGAGTGAGCAAACTTCCTGGTGTCTCCTATAAGAACACTTATTCTATCAGATCACAGACCCACCATTATGACCTAATTTCATGTTAATGACCTCCTTAGCAGCCCCATCCAAAGATAGCCACACTGGGGATCAGGCTTCAACATATGAATTTTGAGTGGGCACATTTAGTTTGCAACACTAGCTGACATTTTGTATTAATTCCCTTTTCGTGTTTATCATCTGTCTTCTCTCACCAGAATGGGAACAAGAATTTTTTTTCTGTTCTATGTACTACCTACTGTAGTGCCTTACATATAATAGGTGCTCAATAAATATTTGTGAAGGAATAAATCAAATACCTAGCCCTTACCTGGTAGGCAGCCTCTAAAATGGCTCCAAATGATTTCTGGCTTCTGGTATTCAGACCCTTGTATAATCTCCTCCCCCCACGTATGGGTTAGACTTAGTGACTTACTCATGGTTCATACAAAGTGAAAAAAGTGATGAGATGTTGCAAAGATTGGGTTTTTGCACAAGGACTCTGACTTCCATATTTTTGCCCTTTCTTGCTCTCTCACTTGCTCCCTCTGATGGGAGCCAGCTGCCATGTTGTGAGCTGCCCCATGGAAAGACCCTCATGGCAAGGAACTGAGAGAAGCCTTTAAAGAACTTAATCTTGCCAACATCTGAGTCAGTTTGAAAGAGGATCTCCCCTTGGTCAAACTTTCAGATAAGACCACAGCCCCAGTTGATGTAAACTGATTTCAGCTTTGTAAGAGTCTTTGAGGGACAGGTACTCAGCTAAGCCAGGCCCAAATTCCTGACCCAGAGAAACTATGAGATAATAAGTATTTGCTATTTTATGCTACAACATTTTGGGGTAAATATTTTACATAGTAGTGTATAACTAATACACCTAATAATATAGGAACAATATCATCAGGGGCAAAAATGTGAACACTTAATCTTAGATCATTTGAAATTGGGCTGTTCTTAAAATTGGGGGACATTCAATTGTTATAGGCCAATACTGTGGCAATTCAAGTAGTTTCTTTATCTAAGACTATATCTAAGAGTAGCAGTCAGCAAACTACAGCCCATGGGCCAGCTGTATGTTTCTATAACTATGGATTTATATTAGAACACAGACACACCCATTCATTTGCATATTGTCTATGGCTGCTTTGCAGAATTGAGTAGTGGCTGCAGAGACTATCTGACCAGCAAGCCTAAAGTTTTTACTATCTGTCCCTTTAAGAAAAAGTTTGCTGACCCCGGTTCTAGAGGCAAAAACTAATACCTCCACTCTTTGTGCTTTCTGAGGAGTCCACCCTTTGCTTTCTCTCCACAAGTCTTCCTTAAAAGCCCAGTAAGTGGGTCTGATAACTCACCTACCCACGCAAGCAAGATTGCCAAGTGGTTTAGGACAGTGGCCTTAAAATGTTTTTGACCATGATCCACAGTAAGAAAACAATGTTATCTCACTACTAAGAACACTATACATATATATGTAATGAAAACAAATGTATCACAAACGAATACTTACTCTTTATGTAGGATGTCCTCTGTTGTTCCTTATTTTTTCCATGTTATTAAAAAAATGTTAGTATCTCACAGAAAATTGATATCTCAAATAGGACTGCTGAATGGTTATGCTGGTCAGGGCTGAGGTGTGGTATCAGACAGAACTGATTTCTAGTCTCAGCTCTGACTCTTGGAGCTGTGCAATCTTGGGCTGGGGTCCTAACCTCTCTGAGCCTCAGTGTTTGACTGGAAAATGGCAGTAATATCCATCCGCAGTAAGGATGTGTTGTGAAAGTGCGCATGTAAACTGCTTATGTGCCCAGCACATGGTAATACTTCCATAAAAATAACAAATATAATAGGTGCTCTTGTCCCAAGTGCACAGTAAATTAATTTCTGGTCCTTTCAAGCTGGGCAAAAGAAAGAGACATCCCCCAAAGAACCACAGAGGACAAAGTCTATGGAATCATTGTTCCTTTTTTGAGATTCAGATATGAGTATGCTGGCAAACCAAAATCTTTGTATCAACTGGCATGGAATGTCTGCAGGCCTGTAAACAGCCACCCTGTGCCAAATAGGTTTAAGGAGGCTCCCTTCCTTTTATTCAATTCACAGCCATTACATTTGTCAATCTTTGAATTCCAAGGGAAGGTGAAAGTTTAATTCAAAAAAAGTTAACCATACTTAGACTATCCCAGCTGGAAACAACATTTCTCCACACCCACAGTCTTTAGGGGAAGGAAAATTTGGTCTTTCACATGTTTCTCCACAGTTTCTCCTAATCCTCTCAGGGCCTCCGAGTGCTGCTCATGTTTGCACCCTAAAGCCTATTTCTGTTCAGTGGAGAGCGGTTTCATGGCACTTTATGGGGGCAGGTGAAACTGGATAAAAATGAACCATGCCAAAATCTGCCTTTGCCCCATTGCCTCCTTTCCCCCAGTCCTTTAAAAGCACCCAAAGCCTAGGTTTCAAGCCCCTGAGGGCTCTCCAAGAGAGCTTTGCTGCTCATCAATCTTCACTCTTAATTACGGGGACCATAAACCCCACCTAGAGTTCAAAGGGAAAGGCAGGAGAAAATCAGCTTTAGTGCCTTTGCTGCCAAACCCACTTCACACCCTCCTGTCATGACCAAACATCTTCTCTGGGGACTTTTGGAGCTGGTACAATAACAGCCGTGGGATCTCTGCTTCCTCAGAAATGACTTCACAACCAGCCAGACCCCTCATCATGGTGACTTCTTATCCCTCTGTCTGATCAAAGTCCCACCACAACCAGTCATTTCATTATCTTCAGCTCTAGTACAGAGAATGAACAGGTTTTTAGAAAGTGAATAGTTTCTGAAGAACTTCCAAACCTTGGTTGTGGGAACCTGAACAAGTAGCAAGGCAGTTGGGTGGCCACTCTTGTGGACTGCTACTTGTATATAGGGACATCTTCCTTCCTTCCCCGATACCTGATGGGACAGCTTCAAAGACTCCACAATTGGCTGAGCCCAGTGGCTCATGCCTGTAATCTCAACATTTTGGGAAGTTGTGGTGTGGAGATTGCTTGAGCCCAGGAATTCAAGACTAATCTGGGCAACATAGGGAGACCTCATCTCTACAGAAAATAAAAAAATTAGCCAGGCATGGTGGCCTGTGCCTGTAGTCCTAGCTACTGGCGAGGCTGAGGTGAGGTGGGAGGATCACTTGAGCCTGAAAAGTCAAGGCTGCAGTGAGCCGTAATGTGCCACTGCACTCCAGCCAGGGTGACAGAGTGAGTCCCCGTCTCAAAGGCAAGCAAGCAAGCAAACAAAAACAAAAACAAAACCCTCCACAATTATGAGGCTGGTGGAGAGATCTCCATTTCCTTCTCTATCCCCTGCTTCTCCCTGGGAAAGGTGGAGGAACAGTAATGTTCTGCCATCTGTTCCTAGCTGTTCCTTTGAGTTTCTTGATGCCATGGACACTTGTCTGTCTTTCCAAGTTGAAATGATCCATCCTGTACAGATTCCTGTGTGCCCTTGCTGGATTCAGGGCCACTGTCAGTTGACACAAGGCTCATAAGAGAGAATGGATTTTTGCATTATACAGAATTAGGGTTCCTGTCCCAGCTCTGCATGTCTCTGAATGACCTTGGGCAAATCACTTTGCCTTTATGGGCCTCAATGTTCTCATAATGTAAAATGATTAGCTTAGGTAGGGCCTCTGTGGCAACTCCAATTACATGGTATTTTCTGCTGGGGGCATCGTGTAGAAAAGATCTATTGGGCCACATTTTGGCTCAATAATTGATTAGTGATGTGTGCCAAGGTAGGGGTGAGGCACTACATCACCCATCACATTTTTGCCATCCCTAAGTGAAATGCTCTATTAATTATTACTGAGTTTCTTTGATGCTATAGTGTTATATGACTGCTGCTAAGATCTCAACTTACTCTCACTTTTTAAAATATGTATTTGCCCTTGTGCCAATGAGAATGAAGAAAAGGAATAGAAGAAAGTGATCCTCCAAACTGGTACTGTGCTTTGGGTAATGAAGACCCAGAAATCTGGTCCACTGCTTCTCTATGAACCATAGCATTTTAATTTACTGCAGAAACTGGAGATAAATTCTTTTGTGAAGTAGAGCTCTTCCTTTTCTTGTCCAAAATGGAGAAAATAAATGCTTATCTCCTTTGTATCACACCTTTTTATAGGCCATTACAGACAAAATTCTGATTTAAAAAATGACTTTCGGTGGGAGGCAGTGGCTCACGCCTGTAATCCCAGCACTTTGGGAGGCCAAGGCGGGCCGATCACGAGGTCAGGAGATCAAGACCATCCTGGCTAATATGGTGAAACCCCGTCTCTACTAAAAATACAAAAAATTAGCCAGGCATGGTGGTGGGCACCTGTAGTCCCAGCTACTCAGGAGGCTGAGGCATGAACCCGGGAGGTGGAGCTTGCAGTGAGCCGAGATAGTGCCACTGCAGTCTGGCCTGGGCAAAAGAGTGAGACTCCATCTCAAAAAAAAAAAAAAAAAAAAAGACTTTCAAATATTATTTAATAAAAAATTTAATTAAAAAAACAATGTAAAGATTCTCATTCTGAAATTTAAGACCATGGGAAAACTAAAGTTAAAGAAACCAATGAAATATATTTATGTAACTTTTTGAAAGAATAAAAATAATTCTAGGGATCTAATATGTTGCATAGTGACTATATTATACAATCTGTATAGTATATTTGAAACTTGCTAAGAGAGTAAATCTTAAGTGTTCTTGACACACACACACGTACATACACACGTGTAATTAGGTGAGGTGATGGATGTATTAACTAGCTTGATTGCGGCAATCATTTCATTTCACAATGTATACATATATCAATACTTTCAATGCATACAATTTTTATTTGTCAATTATATCCCAATAATGCTGGAACAAAATAATTATAAGAAGGACTGTGGAAACTTTTCCATTTCATGACATGTGTGTCTGAGAAGAGTGCCTGAGAGGACTGAACCTTTAAATACAAACACATGTTGGGCATCCATAATCTGAAAATCCAAAATCCAAAATGCTCCCACACCCAACACTTTTTGAATGCTGATATCACTCCACTTGTGAACAATTTCACACCTGAACTCACCATTTTCCCTCACTAAAAAATCACACCAAAAGGCAGTAATGTTCTCCAGGTTTATAAGATAGGCTCAGAGACTAGAGCAGGGTCAGCTTTATGGGCCTGGAAGATAGGCGCTTTCCCTGATGGAATCTCACCCTTCACACAATTCATTGGCTGTCTCTACTGACATCTTCAGCCTTGATCTCTCTCTCAGCTCTAGGACCTCATATCCAGTGTAGAATGACAGCAAGGCTAACTCATGAAACTGGCACCTGCCAGAAATTAGGGGTGCCAAAATAAATAAGATAGGAACTATGATGGACTTATAGTTAGACAAGAAAACTTGTTGGTATGAGAGAAATAAACACACAATATAGTGGGGAGCACAGAGAGGCACCCCTTACAATTCAATAACTTTAAATATATCCCAACTTAAAGTAATTAACTCTGTCTTCACCAGAACCCATACCTCAAGAAACTAAAAGCAGTTGACATGTGAACTATGGGGACCTGACCTGACATGTGAACTATGGGTTGTTCAAGGCAACCCTCTGCTATAAAGTCCCTGCAGATCTCTTTGAAGGCCAGGTGAAAAAGCAAAGCCCTAGAATGAAATTCAGAAGAACTGTAATTTTAGTTCTGATTCTGCCTCTAACTGTATAGCCTTAGGCAAGTCACTTGGTTTCTTCATGCTTCTGTGAAACAAGCACTTAGAATGAAAAAAGGGAGAGGGGTTGGCACCCATGACAGAACAAAAGAGTCTCAGAGGCAGACATTGGCAGTACCCAAGCACTATTCAGACAGGGAACCTTTGCCAAAGGACATCTAGCAGGCAGTTCCTAGTCCTGGTGGTACACAAGCATATATTAGCCCAGTAGTTCAAAATTCAGATTTTTTATTAAAATCACCTGGGCAGATTTTGAAGATAAACCTGTGCCCAGGCTGAAACCTAGAATAATCAAATCAAACTCTTTGGGAGTTGAGAAACACTGCTTTAGCCTGCTGTCAATGGACATTGAATGCCTCACTTCTGATTTCATGCTCACCAAGCAATCTTCTCTGATTAACATTTGGCTGCCCACACAGATTCGTTTAACAGGGATAAAAATGTGTGGGTTAAAATGACTTTGAATATTCTTGGTCCCTGTGGTATTTCTAAATCACACTAAGTTCATGAATTGGCATTCTCTTTTCCATACCCCCATTCCATGAGCAGAGTTAATGTGAGTCAGGTCCTGAGAGCTGGACCATCTGTCAGTGTGGGGACACATCGGGTAAGTAAGCTGGCAAGGCTTGGACCAGAATCTGGGCCTTGGAGAGCTCATCAAGCTAATGAATACCAAGCGGTTAGGCCTCTCAAGAGGTGGGCTGCTACTGTTCCCACGAGAAAAGTGTGTGTGCCCATTAATTGCTTTGTGCATGGGTAGAGCTAGTGAGTGTGCCTTACCCTCCCACAACTTAAGGCAAGATTTCCATTTCTATTTCTCTTATTCCTTATGTAAACAATCTTTTTTTTTTAAATGAAGGCTTGAACCACTTAATCTAGGTTGGTGTGAATGTAACTGTGGTTTTTGCCATAATATATATAATATATATTATATAATTATATAATTTTTATATTACATATTGCTTATATTATATATATATAAATAAAATATAAGGTTCTTCCCCTGCAGTTACCATCTACAATTGGTTTCAGTATTTCTAAAGAGGATTCTCATGCACTTCTGAAAGGAGTTTGATTCTCTCCAGAATTTTCCCAAGTCATTTCACAGTGTTCTCTAATAAACGCTGTCTTTTTAAAAAGAAAATAAGCATGGCGTTTTGTCCTCAAACTGGCCACCCACTGTCCTACTGAGTCAAAATATATTCATGAAATACAGTTGTATTTTGCAGAGGTATAATTCACAGAATTCTCAAGGATAGATATATCTGGAGAAATTGTATCCCAAATAAAATTCAAATTTCTCACTCTTCTCAGAATTTATTATTGTCCAAGAGTGGCCACAGGCTGAGCAGGTTTTTCCTGCCAGATAATATAGTTATCTTTTTTTTAAGTTGTGGTAAAATGTACATAAACATTGATTATACCACTGTAAACATTTTTAACTGTAGTGGTTAACAGAATTAAGTACATTCACAGTGTTGTGTAACCATCACCACCATCCATCTTTAGAACTTCATCTTCCCAAACAGAAGCTCTATACCCATTAAAAATCTTCATTCTTCTCTCTAGTAAGCCCTTGGCAACCATCATTCTACCTTTTGTCTCTATGAATTTGACTACTCCAGGTACCATATTTAAGTGGAAACTTACAATATTTGTCCTTTAGTGACTGACTTGTCTTTAAGATTCATCTATGTTATAGTATGTGTCAGAATTTCCCTTCCTTCCTTCCTTCCTTCCTTCCTTCCTTCCTTCCTTCCTTCCTTCTTTCCTTCCTTCCTCTCTTTCATCTTTCTTTGTTCTCACCCTGTCGCCCAGGCTGGAGTGAAGTGGCACGATCACGGCTCACTGCAGCCTCAACTTCCTGGGCTCAAGCAATCCCTCCTCTTCAGCCTCCCAAGTAGCTAGGACTGCAGGCATAAGCTACCATGCCCAGCTAATTTTATTTTATTTTTTTAGAGACAGGGTCTCGCTATGTTGCCCAGGCTGGAAATTTTCTTCTTTATTTAAGGCTGAAGAATATTCTGTTGTATGTATATATCACATTTTGTTTATAAATTCATCCGTAGATTGACATTTGGACTTTTCTACCATTTGTCTATTGTGACTATTGCTGCTATGAACGTTGATATACAAAGGTTGAGTCTTGCTTTTAATTCTTTTGGTATATACCCAGAAGTGGAGTTGCCGGATTATATGGTAATTCCATGTTTAAATTTTTTAGGATCTGTCATACTGTTTTTCAGTGACTTCACCATTTTACATTCCCACCAGCAACGCACAAGGGTTCCATTTTCTCCACATCCTTGCCAACACGTGTTATTTTCTGTTTTCTGACAATAATCATTCTAATGGGTGTGAAGTGGCATCTTGTGGCAGTTTTGATTTGCAGTTCCTTTATGATTAGAAATGTTGAGCATCTTTTCATGTGCTTATTTAGCCATTTGCATATCTTCTTTAGAGAAATGTCTATTCAAATATTTGCTCATTTTTGAACTGGGTTATTTGTGTATTTGTTGTTGAGTTGTAAAAGTTATTTAGATATCCTGGATATTAATCCCTTATCAGATATGTGATTTGCAAATATTTTCTCCCATTCTGGTGGGTTACCTTTTTACCTTGTTGATGGTATTCTTTGATGCACAGAAGTTTTTAATTTTGATAGTGTCCAATTTATCTATTTTTTTCTTTTGTTGCTTGTACTTTTGGTTTCATATCCAAGAAATCATTGCTAAATCCAATACAATGAAGGTTTTGCCCTATGTTTTCTTCTAAGAATTTTATAGCTTTAGCTCTTATGTTTTGGTCATTTTTATATATGGCAGAAACTAAGGGTTCAACTTCATTCTTTTGCATGTGGATATACAAGTTTCCCAACACTATTTGTTGGAAAGACTGTCCTTTACCTATTGAATGGTCTTGGCCCCCTTGTTGAAAATCATTTGACCTTAAGTGGGAGGATTTATTTCTGGGCTTTCTATTCTATTTCATTGCTCTGTATGTCTGTCTTTATACCAGTACTAGACTGTTTTGATTATTGTAGCACTGCAGAAAGTTTTGAAATCGGGAAATGTGAGACCAATATTGTTTTTTTTCAATGTTGTTTTGGCTATATGGGGTCCCATGAGATGCCATATGAATTTTAGGACGGGTTTTTCTATTTCTGCAAAAACATCATTGAAATTTTAATAGGGATTGCATTGGATCTGTATATCACTTTGCATAGTGGTAACATCTTAACACTAGTAAGTTTTCCAGTCTATGAATGTGGGCTGTCTTTCCATTTATGGGTGTCTTCTTTCATTGCTTTTGGCAAAATTTTGTAGTTTTGAGTTTATAAGTCTTTCGCTTCCTTGATTGTTTGTTTCTAAGTATTTTATTCTTTTTGATGGTACTGTAAATAGAATTGTTTAATTAATTTCCTTTTTTTGGTTGTCTATTTTTGGTATATAGAAATGCAACAGATTTTTGTGCATTAATTTTTTATTCTGCAACTTTGCTGAGCTTATTTATTCTAACAGTTTATATTATGTGCAAACAATAACAGCAAATGTATGCCATTTTTGTTTTTTCTTTTTGGACACAGGGTCTTGTTATGTCACTCAGTTGGAGTGCAGTGGTGTCATCACAATTCACTGCAGCCTCAAATTCCTGGGCTCAAGTGATCCTCCTGCCTCAGCCTCCCATGTAATTGGGATTACAGGCACGTACCACTATACCTGGCTAACTTTTTATATTTTGTAGAGATGGGGTCTCACTATGTTGCCCAGGCTAGTCTTGAACTTCTGGCCTCAGATTATCTTTCCTCTTTGACCTCCCAAGAGCTAGAATTACAGGCATGAGCCACCATGAATGGACATTGTTTTTCTTTTAACTGAGGACACAGCTATGAAACAGAAATAATTGATCCCTTTTTCTTTTCTCTCTCTCTCTCTGTGTGTATGTGTGTGTGTGTGTGTGTGTTTCAGATAGAGTTTTACTTTTGTTGCCCAGGCTGGAGTCCAATGGCATGATCTTGGCTCACTGCAACCTCAGCCTCCCAGGTTCAAGCGATTCTTCTGCCTCAGCCTCCCGAGTAGCTGGGATTACAGGCGCCTGCCACCACGTCTGGCTAATTTTTGTATTTTTAGTAGAGATGGGGGTTTCACTATGTGGCTAGGCTGGTCTGGAACTCCTGACCTCAGGTGATCCGCCACCTCAGCCTCCCAAATGGGATTACAGGCATGAGCCACCACGCCTGGCCCTCTTTTTCTTTTTTATGAACAATTAGCTGTGAAAATGCTAACCTTTAATGAGTCCCTACCATGAGCCATATTTAAAGTTAAGAATTTGCACCATGACCCTGTGAGGAGGGTATTGTTATACTCACTTTATAAATGAGAAAACTAAAGACTCAGAGGTGAAACTGATTCTAAAAGACTATTTAAAATACAGGTCATCTGTCTGGGTTAGGCCAAGGGAACAGTCTCAAAGTTAAAACAAAAGAGGGCAGCTACCATGATGCAAGCCAGGGAAGCTGGGAGGAAAAATACTTTAAGCCAGTGAAGAGGTGAGAATTCTTGTACCAAATGTGAACTACTTGTTCCCAGAAAATTCACTGGCTTAAGACTAGAATGAGACCATTTTAGTCTTGATACAAAACATGAAAGCAGCTGTCAGGCAACGGTGTTAATATTTGGTGCCCTGATAATGAAGAATAAGATTATCACTGACCTTGGCCAGTTTTCTAGAAGGTTCTCTGATTGTAATCTTTTATTTGAAATTGATTACAGACAGTTTCCCTGACTGTTAGCTGGGCCTATCCTGGAAGCTAGTCTTTAATCTTTCTAGAGAGGAGTGAGATGGCACAAGTTTTTCATGTCTGAATACCTTAGTGGCTTTTCCCCTCATGTTCTTTTGTTATTAAGATGCCAAACCCGTTGGAGATGCCTGATTAGTTTTGCAGAGGGAGGAATCCACTGTTATGACCTTTCATGCCTTATTTTTAACATGCCTTCTTGTAGCACAAGTTCTCCTGCCACGTATCACAGATCACAATGTGAGTTATGAGTCCCCGACTGAAAATCGGAGTATGTAACTGCTTCATGGTCCATTTCCAACCTGTAGGTCCAATCTCCAAGGAGGTAACTGAAAAACATCCCTTATGGATTTCAACATAATATCTTACTGATTTTCTTTCCTCTTAGGGCTGACAGCAACTAAAGATTACATCGACACCTCAAAGGAAGAGTGCAGTAAGAAACAGGCAGATAGTTCCCCCAGCAGGCTTCTGGCAGGACTTAGAACTTCTGATTATTTTCATGATGATGGTGATGAAGTAGGAGGAGACGATGGACAAAAATCATTAAATACATATTCAAAAGAAATCTCGAGAATGATACTACACCTCGGTAACTTTAAACCTGACTTTTGTCTATCACTCCATTCCTAGGTGACATTGTTCCCCATATTATAAATAATACCAGTGCAATGTTAAGAAATCCTGGAATGCTGGCTCACCTGGCAAAAAGATGTCAGTTTAGTTTGGTTTCATCAGCGTAATATTATAAAAACTGCAAAATGATCAACTCTCATGACACCTTTTCTGTCCCAGCTAATGAGAAATGGGTTTCTTAATGGCAGGCGCTGACTATATTTTAAGGAGTAAGTACTGATAGATGGACTGATTAGTTCTGAATTCAAGATTCTGTAACATAGCATCTACTGTACTAAAATGACAGCTACTTGTGTATGTGTTATGTGTCTTCCCTGGAAGTTTGCAAGCTTCCTGAGTTTTGGACTCTTTTTGCCCTCACCTTTATATAGCAGGGTGTTGCATGTCATAGGCACTAAACAAACTCATTTATTCAACAGGCTTTTTTTCTGAGACCCACTAGTACACCAGATACTAGCACTGAGATGAAAAAGACAAACCTTTATCCTGGAGAAACTCTGAGTTGGTGGAGAGACAAGCATCTATTATAAATCAGTGAAACCATAGTTTCAGTTATAAATGCTAAAATAGAGAGCTGGGGCTGAAGAATGCCAGTAGAATGCAAGACCGGTTTATAATTAATTATGTTTGGACATAGGGGTGGCAAGTGAAGTTCAGCTTTGTGTTTTCCCACAGGCAAACCAAGTCAGAAACCTTACTGTGTCCTCACGTTCCCTGAAATATTTCCAGCAAGAAAGGCCAAAGGAACAGCATTACCCTCTACCAGCCCCTAACAGGCGGTGGGAAACACCCAGGGAACGCCTCTGCTGAGCTCCCAGATCTTCCCACACCTAGCCTGAGGGCTGTCAAGAGGCCGCTGACCCTGGGGGCGGCGGGGGTGGGGGTAGGGGTGGGAGGTGGGGTTGCTTTGAAAAGTTTTGCTCTCAGCACCTCTGCCAGCTTCCAGGGTAGAGACCTCTCCTGCTAAAAATAGCAGCAGGAGGAAGAGATTCAAAAGCAGGAAGCAGAAAGGGGCTGAAGGAGATGTGGCTCCTAATGGCCTGGAGGGAATAAAGGAAGAAGGGAAGGAAAAGAAGGAAGAGAGGAAGGGAGGAAGGAAGGCAACGTCCTCTGCTGGGAATTTCCAGCTCTGTTACTTCAATGCCTCAACGACGCTGTGAGGTACCTACTATTATTGCCCACTTTTCAGAGCCAAACTAGTTAATTCATACAACTTTATGGAGTGTCTCCTCTGCGAGGCACTGTTGGACGCCCTAAGATACCGTTGAGGCCCTGGTGGGGAAACCGAACCTTGGGGAAGCAGCAGCAGCGTGGGATCCCATCCTCCTTGGGCTAGGCTAGGGGGGCTGCCAGGCGTGGGGAAGGCCTCCTTCCCTGGCATCTCCAAGGCGGCTTGCAAGTGCTTGCAAGGGGCGGGGCAGGGTCCCGGGAGGGAAGAATTTCTCTCTTGCCTGTGAAATCGCTCCAACTGCAGCCCCCAAGAGGATTTACAACCTATTGAGGCTTGGCTCTTGAATATCCATGGAAAGGCATATGAAAAGGGACAGAAAGTTGAGCAGATTCGATGAGACTTTATGATTTCATTTTCATTTCAAAGCCTTGTTAGCAGTTGGGTGGGAACGGGCACAGCAGTCCCCAGGAACGCTCCCTCTTCCTCCTCCAGGCAGGAGGATGTGTGAGCAATCTTGGGTCTGGGGAGGGGGCTGGACCTGGAGAGAACTGGGAAAGGTTGCTTTAGGGCTTTCTTTTGGGAACTGAATTTTAAAGGATAAAACAAAAATATATTCAACAGATCTTTCCAGAACCAGCAGTGTACGGTATCCGGTACTGGGAATGACTAGGAATTAGGATAGAGAAGGTAGTTACAAAGGAATCTGTAAGAAATTAGAACTGTGGATGGAGATGCCAGTCGTTAAGCCTGGGCTCCAGTGGGAGACATCTGGCTGGGAGTCCCAGTTCTGACACTTACTAGAAAAGTCTGGGTAAATCATCTCACTTTTCTGAACCTGTTTCCCAGGAAAATGGGAATAATAATACCAGTCACAAGGAAATGTTGTATGTATTGATTGTAAATGCCTCATAAGTGGTCTCTCTTGCTCACCATTCTCTGAAACTTAAATTAGATCATCATACTCATGCTTAAAAACCCTAAACTTCCCCCATTATACTTGGAATAAACAAATGTTCAAAAGTCTAACAAGCCCCGGGTACTTCCAGCTAATACAGACCAAACCCATCCTCAATACACTTCCCACCATGCCCTGCTCTTTTTCTTCATAGAATTCTAACTACTTGTCCTAATATGGGTCTCTGTTTTCTTCTTTACTGTTTGCCTCCCTTATAAAAGAGCCATCTCTAGGAGAGAAGGGATGGCTTCTAACTTTGTTTAATCCACCGTATACTGACATAACACATGGAACTTTTATATATATATATATATATATATATATATATATATATATATATATGGAATGAATTAGTGAATGAATGATGGAAGAGTGAAAAGTATCTGGTACATAGTAGATAGTTAATAAATGGAAGCTTTTTAAATTCCTATTATTTGTAGTAGGGAGAAGTTTTTGTAACTTTTGGAGAGACTCCCTATGCATGAAATAATTGGAGTGCTGAGCAACTTTACGGTTTAAAAAGTGATTTTGCAAGTAGTATGTCACTGTCATACTCATGACAATCCTCATGACAATCTTAAGAAGTAGGTGTCAGGCCTCTGAGCCCAAGCCAAGCCATTGCATCCCCTGTGACTTGCACTTCAGATGGCCTGAAGTTACTGAAGAATTACAAAAGAAGTGAATATGCTCTGCCCCACCTTAACTGATGACATTCCACCACAAAAGAAGTGTAAATGGCCGGTCCTTGCCTTAAGTGATGACATTACTTTGTGAAAGTCCTTTTCCTGGCTCATCCTGGCTCAAAAAGCACCCCCACTGAGCACCTTGCGACCCCCACTCCTGCCTGCCAGAGAACAAACCCCCTTTGACTGTAATTTTCCTTTACCTACCCAAATCCTATAAAACGGCCCCACCCTTATCTCCCTTCGCTGACTCTCTTTTTGGACTCAGCCCACCTGCACCCAGGTGAAATAAACAGCCATGTTGCTCACACAAAGCCTCTTTGGTGGTCTCTTCACACGGACGCGCATGAAATTTGGTGCCGTGACTCGGATCGGGGGACCTCCCTTGGGAGATCAATCCCCCGTCCTCCTGTTCTTTGCTCCATGAGAAAGATCCACCTACGACCTCAGGTCCTCAGACCGACCAGCCCAAGGAACATCTCACCAATTTTAAATCAGGTAAGCAGCCTCTTCTTACTCTCTTCTCCAACCTCTCTCACTGTCCCTCAACCACTTTCTCCTTTCCACTCTTCAATCTCTCCCTTCTCTTAACTTCAATTCCTTTCATTTTCTGGGAGAGACAAAGGAGACATGTTTTATCTGTGGACCCAAAACTCCGGCGCCGGTCATGGACTGGGAAGACAGCCTTCCCTTGGTGTTTAATCATTTCAGGGATGCCTCTCTGATTATTCGCTCACGTTTCAAAGTTGTCAGACCATGCAGGGACGCCTGCCTTAGTCCTTCACCCTTAGCGGCAAGTCCCGCTTTTCTGGGGAAGGGGCAAGTACCCCAACCCCTTCTCTCCTTGTCTCTACCCCTTCTCTGCTTTTCTGGGGGAGGGACAAGTACCCCTCAACCCCTTCTCCTTCACCCTTAGTGGCAAGTCCTGCTTTTCTGGGGGAGAGGCAAGTACCCCTCAACCCCTTCTCTTTCACTCTTAGCGGCAAGTCCTGCTTTTCTAGAGGAGGGGCAAGTACCCCAACCTCGTATCTCTGTGCCCCAATCCCTTATTTCCGTGCCCCAACCTCTTATATCTCTGCACCCCATCCCTTATTTCCATGCCCTGACCTCTTATCTCTGTGTCCCAACCCCTTTTCCCACTTTTCTGGAAGGTAAGAACCCCCAAACCCCTTCCCTCCATTTCTCTACTCTCTCTTTTCTCTAGGCTTGCTTCCTTCACTGTGGGCAACCTTCCACCCTCCATTCCTCCTTCTACTCCCTTGGCCTCTGTTCTCAAAAACTTAAAACCTCTTCAACTCACAGCTGACCTAAAACCTAAATGCCTTATTTTCTTCTGCAATGCCGCTTGACCCCAATACAAACTCGACAGTAGTTCCAAATAGCCAGAAAATGGCACTTTGAATTTTTCCATCCTGCAAGATCTAAATAATTCTTGTCGTAAAATAGGCAAACGGTCTGAGGTGCCAGATGTCCAGGCATTCTTTTACACATCAGTCCCTTCCTAGTCTCTGTGCCCAGTGCAACTCGTCCCAAATCTTCCTTCTTTCCCTCCCGCCTGTCCCCTCAGCACCAATCCCAAGCGTCGCTGAGTCTTTCTAATCTTCCTTTTCTACAGACCCATCTGACCTCTCCCTTCATCCCCAGGCTGCTCCTCGCCAGGCCAAGCTAGGTCCCAATTCTTCCTCAGCCTCTGCTCCTCCACCCTATAATCTTTTTATCACCTCCCCTCCTCACACCTGGTCCGGCTTACAGTTTCATTCCGTGACTAGCCCTCCCGCTCCTGCCCAGCAATTTACTCTTAAAAAGGTGGCTGGAGCTAAAGGCATAGTCAAGGTTAATGCTCCTTTTTCTTTAACCCAAATCAGATAGCATTTAGGCTCTTTTTCATCAAGTATAAAAATCCAGCCCAGTTCATGACTTGTTTGGCAGCAACCCTGAGACACTTTACAGCCCTAGACCCTAAAAAGTCAAAAGGCCGTCTTATTCTCAAAATACATTTTATTACCCAATCTGCTCCCGACATTAAATAAAACTCCAAAAATTAAATTCCGGCCCTCAAACCTCACAACAGGATTTAATTAACCTCGCCTTCAAGGTGTGCAATAATAGAAAAAAGTTGCAATTCCTTGCCTCCACTGTGAGACAAACCCCAGCCACATCTCCAGCACACAAGAACTTCCAAATGCCTGAACTGCAGCGGCCAGGCGTTCCTCCAGAACCTCCTCCCACAGGAGCTTGCTACACGTGCCGGAAATCTGGCCACTGGGCCAAGGAATGCCCGCAGCCCGGGATTCCTCCTAAGCCGCATCCCATCTGTGTGGGACCCCACTGAAAATCGGACTGTTCAACTCACCTGGCAGCCACTCCCAGAGCCCCTGGAACTCTGGCCCAAGGCTCTCTGACTGACTCCTTCCCAGATCTTCTCGGCTTAGCAGCTGAAGACTGACACTGCCCGATCGCCTCGGAAGCCCCCTGGACCATCACGGAGGCCGAGCTTCTGGTAACTCTCACAGTGGAAGGTAAGCCCATCCCCTTCTTAATCAATATGGAGGCTACCCACTCCACATTACCTTCTTTTCAAGGGCCTGTTTCCCTTGCCTCCATAACTGTTGTGGGTATTGACGGCCAGGCTTCTAAACCTCTTAAAACTCCCCAACCCTCGTGCCAACTTAGACAATACTCTTTTAAACACTCCTTTTTAGTTATCCCCACCTGCCCAGTTCCCTTATTAGGCTGAGACACTTTAACTAAATTATCTGCTTCCCTGACTATTCCTGGACTACAGCTATATCTGATTGCCACCCTTCTTCCCAATCCAAAGCCTCCTTTGCGTCGTCCTCTTGTATCCCTCCACCTTAACCCACAAGTATAAGATACCTCTACTCCCTCCTTGGTGGCCAATCATGCACCCCTTACCATCTCATTAAAACCTAATCACCCTTACCCCACTCAACGCCAATATCCCATCCCGCAGCATGCTTTAAAAAGATTAAATCCTGTTATCACTCACCTGCTACAGCATGGCCTTTTAAGGCCTATAAAATCTCCTGACAATTCCCCCATTTTACCTGTCCTAAAACCAGACAAGCCTTACAAGTTAGTTCAGGATCTGCGCCTTATCAACCAAATTGTTTTGCCTATCCACCCCGTGGTGCCAAAACCATATACTCTCCTATCCTCAATACCTGCCTCTACAACCCATTATTCTGTTCTAGATCTCAAACATGCTTTCTTTACTATTCCTTTGCACCCTTAATCCCAGCCTCTCTTCGCTTTCACTTGGACTGACCCTGACACCCATTGAGCTCAGCAAATTACCTAGGCTGTACTGCCGCAAAGCTTCACAGACAGCCCCCATTACTTCAATCAAGCCCAAATTTCTTCCTCATCTGTTACCTATCTCGGCATAATTCTCATAAAAACACATGTGCTCTCCCTGTCAATCGCGTCCGACCAATCTCTCAAACCCCAGCACCTTCTACAAAACAACAACTCCTTTCCTTCCTAGGCATGGATAGTGCGGTCAGAATTCTTACACAAGAGCCAGCACCACACCCTGTAGCCTTTCTGTCCAAACAACTTGACCTTACTGTTTTAGCCTAGCCCTCATGTCTGCGTGCAGCGGTTGCCACTGCATTAATACTTTTAGAGGCCCTCAAAATCACAAACTATGCTCAACTCACTCTCTACAGTCTCATAACTTCCAAAATCTATTTTCTTCCTCATACCTGACGCATATACTTTCTGCTTCCTGGCTCCTTCAGCTATACTCACTCTTTGTTGAGTCTCCCACAATTACCATTGTTCCTGGCCCAGACTTCAATCCAGCCTCCCACATTATTCCTGATACCACACCTGACCCCCATGACTGTATCTCTCTGATCCACCTGACATTCACCCCGTTTCCCCAAATTTCCTTCTTTCCTGTTCCTCACCCTGATCACACTTGATTTATTGATGGCAGTTCCACCAGGCCTAATCACCACACACCAGCAAAGGCAGGTTATGCTATAGTACAAGCCACTAGCCCGCCTCTTAGAACCTCTCATTTCCTTTCCATCATGGAAATCTATCCTCAAGGAAATAACTTCTCAGTGTTCCATCTGCTTTTCTACTACTCCTCAGGGATTATTCAGGTCCCCTCCCTTCCCTACACATCAAGCTCGAGGATTTGCCCCGCCCAGGACTGGCAAATTAACTTTACTCAACATGCCCTGAGTCAGATAACTAAAATACCTCTTAGTCTAGGTAGATACTTTCACTGGATCGGTAGAGGCATTTCCTACAGGGTCTGAGAAGGCCACCGCAGTCATTTATTCCCTTCTGTCAGACATAATTCCTCAGTTTAGCCTTCCCACCTCAATACAGTCTGATAACAGACGAGCCTTTATTAGTCAAATCAGCCAAGCAGTTTTTCAGGCTCTTAGTATTCAGGGAAACCTTTATATCCCTTACGGTCCTCTGTCTTCAAGAAAAGTAGAATGGACTAAAGGTCTTTTAAAAACACACCTCACCAAGCTCAACCACCAACTTAAAAAGGACTGGACAATACTTTTACCACTTTCCCTTCTCAGAATTCAGGCCTGTCCTCGGAATGCTACAGGGTACAGCCCATTTAAGCTCCTGTATAGACGCTCCTTTTTATTAGGCCCCAGTCTCATTCCAGACACCAGACCAACTTAGACTGTGCCCCCCAAAAAACTTGTCATCCCTACTATCTTCTGTCTAGTCATACTCCTATTCACCGTTCTCAACTACTCATACATGCCCTGCTCTTGTTTACACTGCCGGTTTACACTGTTCTTCCAAGCCATCACAGCTGATATCTCCTGGTGCTATCCCCAAACTGCCACTCTTAACTCTTGAAGTAAATAAATAATCTTTGCTGGCAGGACTATGCTGAATCTCCTTAGGCACTCTCTAATCAGGTGTCCTGGGTCCTCCCAATTCTTAGACCTTTTATACCTGTTTTTTTCCTTCTGTTATTCCATTTAGTTTCTCAATTCATCCAAAACTGTATCCAGGCCATCACCAATCATTCTATACGACAAATGTTTCTTCTAACAACCCCACAATATCACCCCTTACCACAAGACCTCCCTTCAGCTTAATCTCTCCCACTCTAGGTTCCCACGCCGCCCCTAATCCCGCTTGAAGCAGCCCTGAGAAACATCGCCCATTCTCTCTCCATACCACCCCCCAAAAATTTTCGCCGTGCCAACACTTCAACACTATTTTGTTTTATTTTCCTTATTAATATAAGAAGGCAGGAATGTCAGGCCTCTGAGGCAAGCCAAGCCATCGCATCCCCTGTGACTTGCACGTATATGCCCAGATGGCCTGAAGTAACTGAAGAATCACAAAAGAAGTGAATATGCCCTGCCGCACCTTAACTGATGACATTCCACCACAAAAGAAGTGTATAAATGGCCGGTCCTTGCCTTAAGTGATGACATTACTTTGTGAAAGTCCTTTTCCTGGCTCATCCTGGCTCAAAAAGCACCCCCACTGAGCACCTTGCGACCCCCGCCCCTGCCCGCCAGAGAACAAACCCCCTTTGACTGTAATTTTCCTTTACCTACCCAAATCCTATAAAACGGCCCCACCCTTATCTCCCTTCGCTGACTCTCTTTTTGGACTCAGCCCACCTGCACCCGGGTGAAATAAACAGCCATGTTGCTCACAGAAAGCCTGTTTGGTGGTCTCTTCACACGGACGCGCATGAAAGTAGGCAGGCCAGGTATCATAACCCACATTTTACCAACAAGAAAAAGTGAACTCGAATGAAGAAAAATGCTCATCTTCAAAGCCCCACAGCCAGCGAAGTCAAATCAAAGTGCAGATGTGCTGTGTTCCTGATTTGAAGATCAGGTCTGGCACAAGGCGAATAGGAACTGTTTTTGTATGTGCTAGGACACTGAGAGCGCCAGGCACCATCTCTGCCCCAGGGCGCACACACACACACAACATATACACCACACATATCACACCATGTACACACCACACACATAGCACACACACCACACGTACACACACACACCACACATACACACCACATACACCATACCACACACACACCCCACATTTACTCTACACACACCACACCACACACACACACTACACACACCACACACCACACATACAGAGGCAGCACACATACACACCACATACACCACACCACAAACACCATACCACACACCACACATGTACACATACACACCACACATGCACACACCATACATACACACTACATACACTACCTCACACATATACCACACCACACACACCATACCACATCACACATCACATCATACATACACACACCGCACATACACACCACATACACCACACATACCACATCGCATACACCACCCACACACACATCACACACATACCACAAACACACACACATATACATACCACACACCACACCATATACATACACACCACAGATACAGCACACTTGCACACACCACACATACCATACACACACAAGACGCACTCATACACACACCACACATGCACACATACCACACACATATATACACCACCCACATACCACACACATACCCCCCAACACACACATCACACACACCACACATGCACACAGCACATATGTATGCATACACACATATACACACACATACACACACACACACACACACGACCAGCACGGCCAGTGGCATGTCCTATGTTTCCTACAGGCCCCCTCCCTGTAGGGAGTTTTCTACATCAGCAGCCCCAGACAAGAGCTTCTCTGGGAAAATAGGTCACCTGCTTCTCCCTGTGTGCAGGAAGGTGTGAGCTGCACTTGCCCATGGCCTGGGGGCTGCTGCAGAGCAGAGGGAGGCCTGGCCACCAACCATTTTCACTGCCTTTCATCTCGGAACCAAAAATGCTTTGCTTCAGAGCCAGGGACAGAAGCCTTCACATTTCATCTTTCTCTCCCTGTCGCTGTCACCCCACACCACCCCCTCTCCTTTTTTATTTATTAAAGGTTTTCCTGACAAGTAGATGGAGCACCACAGCCTTCAAAGTTCCTGTCCCATCTCCAGGGCCTCATTTTCTCCCTTCCTGATGAAATGACTGCATCTCATAGTAGTCACTGCTGCTTCGTGTGCAGAGGTGAAGTGAAGAGGACCACTCCTGCACCCCCACCACCCTGCTGAATATGCTCATACCCACACCCATACACACACCCCCTACAAACCAGACATACGCACACTCCATACACACTGGACTGTGGGGACTCCCAGGTCCAGAATTCAGTGGAACAAAATGCACTGGCTCTGGTAATGCCCCCCAGGGCTGCAGAGCAGCCCCCATTGCAGTTATTTAGCCCAGGACCAGCTTCTCCTTGATGTACTGAACCCACCTTCCTGATTCTTCTGGCTTTGTATTTGGCCTTTGGGTACTTGATTTGGGTTCTGCCTTGGCTTGTGTGTTAGTTTGAGTTTCATCAAAAGCAGCGCTTGAGCCAGTAGTTTAATTGGGAGGTGCAAGGGACCTCTTAAGAGAATCTCCAAGGGAAGGCAGGGCAGGCAATACTGTGTGTCTGGTGAAGTCAGCTACCCCAGGGGGCAATTAGAGTTCCACTCTATGGGGAAGCTCTGGGAAATGGAACAAACCACAGGCCTTGGAATTATTCTCTCCAAGGAGCCAGGGAGTTGGAGTATTTATACACCAATTCCAGGTGGTCTTTGGTTGAGGGCCATTTCCAAGGGCTTAGCATCCCCAGAGCAGCCTTTCATGGTTCTGAAAGTAAAGCCCTTGGAAACAGGGATGCAGATGCTAGCAAGCTGGAAGTGAATGGTTAGAAAGACCTGGGCCAGGCACTGACAGTGTCCACCATAGGTTGCCAAGCTTGGCTCCTTCCTCAGCCTTCCGTGCCTGACTCATGGTGGGCCTATCACACGCCTGCCCTGGAATTTTGGAACTTGGGAATAAAGAGGTTGAACAAATGTCACTTCCCGACTTCTTCCCACTGTTTGAATAAGTCCAGACTAGTAGAGGAGGAAATGAAGCAGACACACCAAGGGAAATGGAGATGAGTGGAGGAAATAATTCTATGGGGTTTTAGTCCATGGTTTCAGTTGCTTTGAGGGCCAGCTAAGCCGCTTCCTGAGCCTTTAACAAAGTCTCCTTTCCTCCTTAAGCTAGCTTGAGTTGGGTTCTGCTCACTTGAACCCAGTGAGCTCTGACTAATGCCTGGATGTCTTGGGTTGCTTCGCCCCTGCCACTACCCATAAAGAATATTAATAAAAGTAATGATAATAATAATCTTTGCACTGCTGCTAGGTGCCTGTGTTTTCTAAATACTTTGCTATAAAGGGGAAGTGATTATTCTATGAAAAGAATCTGCCGATGATCCTAGATATTTCTTCTTTGTTTTCTAATGACCCTTATTAGGGCCTTAACTCTCTCCACTGGGCTTTGTATTTCATCTGCCCAGTTCCTACCCAGGCGCTGGGTCTTTCTCAGGGAATATTTCCTTAAGATAGGCCTCTTCTCTCAGGCAGTGTCAGATCATACGGCAGGCTACCCTCCCAGTATGTATCTGCATTTAAAAAATAACTTCCATGGCCAGGCGTGGTGGCTAACATCTGTAATCCCAGCGCTTTGGAAGGCTGAGGCAGGTGGATTGCTTGAGCTCAGGAGTTTGAGATCAGCCTGTGCAACATGGTGAAACCCTGTCTCTAACAAAAATACAAAAAGCTGGGTGTGGTGGTGCACACCTGTGGTCCTAGCTACTCAGGAGGCTGAGGTGGAAGGATCACTTAAGCTTGGGAAGTGGAGGTTGCAGTGAGCCGAGATTGCACCACCATACTCTAACCTGGGTGACAAAGTGAGACTCTGTCTCAAAAAAAAAAAAAAATTCCATAGTTTTCCTAAAATTAATATTTTTTTGGCAAAGAGGAAAAACCTCCATTCAAAAGTCGAATTTTTTCCATGCATGCAAATGGAAATCTATTGGCTCATGTAATGAAAATTTCAAGGTTAATAAGCTTCAGATGTAGTTGGATCTGGGAGTGCAAGCAATGTCATTGTAACTTAGTGTTGTTATGTGTCGCAGATCTTTTTCCCTTAGTGCTGGCTTCATTCTCAAATGAGCTCTATCTACAGGGTCATCTCCTTCTTCTTCCCTAGCAGTTTAGGATGACAGCCTGTCACAAAACTCCTAAGGCTGATGTTCATTAGCTTTCATTGGCCAGCATTTGTCTTGTGCCAACCTCTTGACTTTTCTCTGTGGCGGTAGGCATGTGGTACTCCTATACATCATGTCAGAGTAATATGCCTGCCTCTGAGTTCCAGGAGAACAGTTAAGTCTACCTGATTCGTGCGGTCTGGGGTTGAAAAGGAGTGGGTCTCTAAAGGAAAATTGGAACCAGCCATGGTGGCTCACACCTGTAATCCCAGCACTTTGGGAGGCTAAGGCGGGAGGATCGCTTGAGCCCAGGAGTTTGAGACAAGCCTGGGCAACATGGCGAGACCCCATCTCAACAACAACAACAAATTTAAAAAGGAAAATAGGGATGCTGTTTCTGGAGAAGAGGAATTAGATGCAGGGCCCACAGAGACCTTAAGCCCCTGTTCCTGGGGCTCAGCTTCTGGTTGAGAGAACACGTTAGTGTGCTGGAGTGCCAGGCAAAGTGTCTTCAGCTAATTGATAATGTATGTCTAATGTTTTTCTGTTCTGGAAGAAAGGGATGTAGAGAGCAAGATGATAGAAGGGCTCTAAGATGTAGCCAGGGATTCTTGGGATCAGGGAAAAGGAGGGATGAAAAAGGAGGCCAAGGATGCTCAGGACATGCTTCGAGATGTGAACCATTCTGTCTAAGCTGGCTACGTTTTCCTTGAATGCACGGGGTGATATGAATGGTCTCAGCAGTGTCTTAGTCACAACTCCCAATGATGTGATTCACTCAGCATGATTTTCTCAAGATAAGGTGTGTGTGTGTGTGTGTGTGTGTGTGTGTGTGTGTGCAAATGCTGGCATTATGTAAAGGAGTTTTTCTCCTGGGGCTTTTTAATTGGGAGACTGCTCTGCAAACACATTTGGCAAAATCCCATGAGATGAACAAGCTACCTTTGCTCTGAGAGCTAAGGAGGGGTGGGGGTGGGAGTGGTTATTCTGGGAAGCACTACATTAACATGTTCTGGCTGCCAGGAGACTGGAAGACATTGGACAGCCCTCATCTTCATGCATTTCCCAGGGTTCAAAACTTTCACGTGGATTCTGCTTATTTGCCCCCAAAGTACTGATTCTATTGTGTTAACATTTTCTTTAATGATTCAATTTAATCAAAGTGTGGATTTTATGGGGAGGGGGACTAGCTGAGACCTTAAGCAAGTCACAATCCATTGATTCCTAGAGTAGGTCACTATGTAGATGTTGAGAGGCACTGTCTGCCTGAGACCAGAAGATGAGGAGTCATTGTTCACAAAATAATGACTTTTTAAATCCTTGTGATAATTCTGCATGCTGGGGTTCCATTAGTATAACTATTTTACAAAAAAGGAAACTAAGGCACATATAAGTAACTTTCCTTGAGTTACAGAGCTAGGAAAGTGGCAGAGCTGGGATTTGAAGCCAGCCTGGCTGCCTCCAAAGGCCACGTTCTCAATTGTTAATCTCTCCTCCAGAATCAACCTCAGCCGACTTTACCTTGAAAGGCATAAGAAGCGTAGCTACTCCCACCTGTCACCAAAGTACAGAAATTTCTGATGTAGAAACTGTTATCCAGTCTTACTACTTGAATCCCTCCAGTGATGGATGGCTCACTACCTCTCAAAGGAAACATTTAGATTGTTGGTGAATTGTAATGATTAAATAGCTTTTTATTATTTATTAATGAGTTCAAACACCCTCCTGGTAGTTTCTAACCTTGATAATAGTGATAGTACCCCTGTACTGAGCTAGTAGTATGTGCCTGGCCTTGTGCGAAGCATTATCTTTTTTTTTTTTTTTTTTTTTTTTTTGAGACAGAGTCTGGCTCTGTTGCCCAGGCTGGAGTGCAGTGGCGTGATCTCGGCTCACTGCAAGCTCCGCTTTCTGGGTTCATGCCATTCTTCTGCCTCAGCCTCCCCAGTAGCTGGGACTACAGGTGCCTGCCACCATGCCTGGAAAATTTTTTGTATTTTTAGTAGAGATGGGGTTTCACCGTGTTAGTCAGGATGGTCTTGATCTCCTGACCTCGTGATCCGCCCACCTCGGCCTCCCAAAGTGCTGGGATTACAGGCATGAGTCACTGCACCCGGCCTCGGCCTCGCTAAGCATTATCTTAATACCTTGTTTAATCATCACAACAAATTTATCTTATCTACAAATATAGGGAAGAGACTCAGAGAGGTAAAGTAATTTGGCGACAAGGAGAAAATCAGGATTAGAATCCTAGTCTGTCTGAATCCAAAATCATCCCAATAAGCAACAGTGTGTTCCAGGGGCAGAACATTTGCCTTTGGAACAATTCATTTCATTGCCTTTCATTTTTATTTACTGAGACTCTGCTGTGGGGGAAGCCTTGTGCCAGCTTTGCGGGCTCATGCAAAGATGTATACAAGGCAGTGTTTGCCAGGAGCTTCCCCTCTAAAAAGAAACATGGGTGAGTATAGTGGCCCAGCTGGATCCAGCTTCACAGAGAGTGAGCCTTTGGCTGGAGGGCAGATGGAGTGGAGCATGAAGAGACAGGTCAGCTGACCACCTCCTTTTTTATGGGTCTCGTGGACTGACCATAGACATAAGGTCATATTTCCTTTTGCTTCCTCCAAGGTGTTTTTGTTTTTTGTTTTTTTGTTTGTTTTATCAGAGTGCTACGTCTTTGGAAGAAGGAACTCTCCACCTAGCACTGCTTCTGGCCTCAGTGTCGAACCTGAGAAAGGAATGAAGGCACAAGCTGAAGCAAGCACTGGGAGGGTGGTAACTGCCTGGGGCTCTGGGAAAAGCTGCCAGGAGCTTACAGTTGAAGATAGTTATCACTACTTCTCTATAATACAATACTGTGTTCTTCAAACAGAAAGCCTATGAAACCTTTCCTGATGCCCTCAAGCAGGGTTAGTCACTTAGCATTCAGTACACACCCCTGCTGTCTGACTCACTTAAGCAGCATTGTATTATAATTGTGTTTACATACTCTTCTTCGCTAGAATGCCAGCTCTCAGGACTATGGTGTCTTACATTATAAATCTCTCCCACATCTGGAACGACATGTGGGAAATGGCTTACTAGAGCACTTATCACATGCTAATATATGTTATGCATTTTACTTATTTATTTTGTTTATTATCTGGCCCTAACTGTCTGTTTTATACACAAATGTATCCTCAGCACCTAGGACAGTAGTCAGCATAGCGTAGGTGCTCAGTAAATGTTTGTTAGATGAATGACCATTCCTGAGACTGGAGGAGGGGTGAGCGGAGAACCAAGCATCAGGAAGTGGGGTGGTTAACCCAGAGAGTGCACATTGCTGGCTAGGGAATAGCAAGCATTCTCTATAATGGTGGGTTAGTGTGTGAATTATCCTCATTCTCAATTTAATTTTGAAAGTAGCATCCGTTTAACAGTGGTCCCACAGTTGAATCAGTTGAATGATAATCCACTATTTTGATGAGCCAATGATTTAAAAACTATGCCATAAAAGCAATATCGAAAAATTTCAAATACCACCTATTTTTAAAAAAACTTCATTGAATATGTTAATGGGTTATCAAAAAAGACTTTTCCTGATTTGTTGGAATTTCATTAGAGGACTAAAGGCTAAGAACACTCTCACATCCTAGAGATGCTAGAACATCTGTGCCAGACTTGTGGAGAGGTTCTCCTGGCACCAGGTCATAACCCACCTCTAACCTTTAGAAGAGCAAGTTGAAGAGGTCATCTGGAAGGACTGTTTTGGAGACAGTTGTAGGTATGCTGATTTTTGCCTTTCCTACCTGTGGTACTTTACCCTTACATTGGACCATGTGAAAAGAGAGCCCAGAGAATCATTCAGACAACTTAATATGGGTTCCCTGGAATTTGCAGGACCCAGCAACTCTCAAGGGAGAAATCTAAAGGCTGCTAGATGTGGCAGAATGAAATACAGAAAGACCTATACTGATATACTGATAGCTGCACTTCTAGCTATGGAAAGCCAAGGGGTGTAGTTCTTATGGACTAGATAAAGGTTTCATGAAAGGACTATCCTGGGATTATTTAAAAAGGGACCTGGCTGGGGGTGGTGGCTCAAGCCTGTAATCCCAGCACTTTGGGAGGCCGATGTGGGTGGATCACTTGAGGTCAGGAGTTTGAGACGAGCCTGGTCAACATGGCAAAACCGCATCTCTACTAAAAATACAAAAAAATTAGCTGGGCATGGTGGCACACGCCTGTAGTCCCAGTCACTCGGGAGGCTGAAGCAAGAGAATCGCTTGAACCAGGGAGGCAGAGGTTGCAGTGAGCCAAGAGCACGCCATTGCACTCTAGCCTGAGTGACAGAGCAAGACTTCTTCCAAAAAAAAAAAAAGGACCTATCCCAAAAGTACCTCCTGGAGTGATAATGGGACTCAACAGAGGGGTGGACCACGCAATGGCCAGCTGGAGAAGGCAATGCAATCTCAGGGAGGCAGTGCTTGTCTTTAGAAAGGATGCCTCCAGCAGGTAATCTCCAAGGGACCCACCAAACTGTCTTACAGAGGAAAGAGCCGGCAATGGTGCCTCTGCCACATTGGGAAAGCCCAAAGCCAGAGCACAACTATATGAGCCAAGTAAGACAGTTCTTAACCCTTACTTATTCTTCCTTCCTTCTTATGATACAGGCAGGGCCCAGAGCAGCAACCAACTAGAGGGGGAGGAAGTAGAGCAAGGAAAGAGGAAAGACACAGTCATGCACCCTTCTCTTGTCATCATAAAGGTCTAGGGCAGGGGAGAAGATTCGCAGTGGCTGAGTTTGAAGTTTGATTACATACTGGACTAGATTGGCCTGGACTTTGTGTCATCTCAGAAAGACTGAAAAAACTATGAAATATGATTTTGACTTCATCCATCTTCTTGAATTATGTGGTCCTACCAAACTGGGGGTTCTTCACAGGTGCCTGGAACACTCTGCCACCTTATCATAATGACCAAGTTCTACTCATCCTTCAAGATGCAGCTCAAGGGACATTTCTTCTGCCACCACTTCCTTCGTTCCCTCACACTGAAGAAGACATCTTTCATGTGTTTCAATTGCATTCTCACTTATCTGGTAGAGAAGGCTAGTTGCCCACATCTCTTTTCTCCTTCTCTAACAATGGAGTGGAGCCTGGACCTGTAGTACCTGAGCTGCAGCTGGAAACCGTACTGCCCAGCCCACTTTGCAGTTAGGTGTGTTCACATCAATATCATGTCAATGATATGCTTACTTCTATTTCTGGGCCTTAAAATGTTTTGCCCATGCTCCTTCATAACTGTCCCGCTTCCTGCAAGTGGGAGCACAGATGTGTTGCCACTCACCTTCAGTCATGCAAATGAGGACAATACCATGTGAGCTGGTAGAATAATAGAATGGAAGGAACCTGGGACCCTGAATGACAGTGTGGGGCAGAAACTTCCCCACTGGGGATTTGTTACATAAGAGAGAAATACACTTCTTTGTTCCTAAGCCACTGTGTTATTGGCTCTCTTTGTTTGAGATGTTTAGACTTTCATCGTAACCAATTCAAATTATGGTTCTAGACTGTCCTGTAACTGTCTGTTTACCTGTCTGTCTTCCCTATTTACCTGTCTGTCTAAGTAGACTTAGACTTTCCTCAGGACTGGAACCTATTGAATTTTCTTCCCCAGAATCTAGCACAGTGTCTGTAAATAGAAGGTGTTCAACATGTGCATACAAAATGAAAGATGACAGGTGAAAATAAACACAGTGTCCTATGAAGCGTCCAATGTGGCAAGCTCTCCATGTATGGCCTACCAGCAAATAGCCACCATATTTGACTGCCATGGCCTTGGGTGAGTAAAGGACTCCCTCATTTCCGCTTTTCAAGTCTGACACAAATTCATTTCATTGCCAATGAGAAAGGGAGTTCTGTGATATGTAGTTCCTATTCTTAGACAGGCATGGCTTTACCAAGTTGATGACAGACAACCCATCTCAACAGGTGACAGGGAGAATGCTCTAGGCAAACAAAATAGCATAAGCAGAGAAAAAGAGGTAAGAGAGGGAGAACGCTGTAATTGAGGAAGTGAAGATAGCTAAGAAAGTCAAGGGATGCAGGAGGAGTTCAGGTTGTAGGGAGCCTTGAGAATGTTTTATGGATTCTAAAATTTTTTTTTTTTTTTTTTGAGATAAAGGCTTGCTGTGTTGCCCAGTCTGGAGTGCAGTGGTGTGATCTTGGCTCACTGCAACCTCCACCTCCCAGGTTCAAGTGATTCTCATGCATCTGCATCTTGACTAGGTAAGACTACAGGTGCGCACCACCACGCCCGACTAATTTTTTTTTTTTTTTTTGTATTTTTAGTAGAAATGGGGTTTCACCATGTTTGCCAAGTTTGTCTTGAACTTCTGACCTCAAGCCATCCGCCCACCTCGGCCTCCCAAAGGGCCAAACTGCTGGAATTACAGACGTGAGCCACTGCACCCGGACTCTGAAACGTTTTTCTGATGAATGGGAAATCATTAAAGGATTTCAAGTAGGAGAGGATCAGTTTCCATTTTGAAGAGGTCCCTCTGGCTGCAACATGGAGAGTGAATTGGAGGAGGACAGGAACAATGGTGGGGGCTGCTTAGGAGCTACTAGTAGCACCTCCAGGGCAGAGATGGCATTGGTTTGGGCCAGGGCAAGGGTAACAGGGATGAAGACAGGTGGAAGGATAGAAAAGATATTTTGTAGGGAAAGCAAAGACCCTTATACATAGTTATAAGAAGCAGCTGTAGCCAGGCACAGTGGCTCACACATGTAATTCCAGCACTTTAGGAGATCGAGGCAGGAGGATCACCTGAGCTCAGGAGTTTAACACCAGCCTGGGCAACGTAGTGAGCCCTCATCTCTACTGAAAATAAAAACAATTAGCTGGGCATGGTGGCACATACCCATAGTCCCAGCTACTCAGGAGGCTGAGGCCAGAGGATTGCTTGAGCATGGGAGGTCAAGGCTGCAATGAGCTATGATCACACCACTGCACTCCAGTCTGGGTGACAGAGCCAGACCTTGTCTCAAAAGATTAAAAAAAAAAAAAAAAAAAAAAAAAAGAAGCAGCTGATTCTTGCTAATTGGTTGAACCATATGAAATTGCCATTTTGTGGGCCAAAAATGACCAAGTATCGGCAATTTCATATGATTCAAGTTAAGAACATCTCTAAAGCGCTATGACGATTCTGTTGCTGCAAAGGAGGAACCATTAGGAGAGCAGCTGTGACTTTTAAATGGCCAGAACTAGGGGCCAGAAGGGGCTGCCCACCCACATAAATGCCTGTGAAGAAATACACAACTTAGCCTGGCTTCCTATGATTTTTCTCTTGAGACTAAGAGACTTAGGAGACTTTTAGGTGCAAGTAAGAGGACATCTAATTCAAACCAATGTAACATTAAGTGGTGTTTGTAGGCACAATAAATCAAAAGTCCTGAAGTGGGAAAAACTTTAGGTATAGTTAGTCCAGGAATTCAGTTTTATTTCCCTGCCATTCTCTCCATACTGGCCTCCTCTGTGAGGCTGCCTCATCCTAACTGGCTTCCCTCAAGATATGAAGATGGCTGCCAGCGTCTCTTGGAGCAACACGTTTCCCTGTCCAGTCAGGGGGAGAGAGATACTCTCACAAACATTCAGAGAAAAACCCCAGACATCTCTCTGTTTGGGCCAAGTAAGGTTACATGTCCACTCCTGAACCACAGTGGCAAAGGGCAATGAGACGACCCTGAGGGCTTGGAGCCCTGGAGCCAATGGGGTCAAGTCAATCCAAACAGCATGACAGTAACACCACGGTATGTGTGTGGAATGGATACTGTGGAGACACCCACTTGTCTAGCATAGTAGGGGACTGAATTAAACTGTTCTGCAAAGTGGGTCCCTTCTGATCTGGTGATATCAAGGAACGGCCTCTGGGGTCAAGTTTTGAAATCACCTGCCACACTGGAGGTGCCTGTTGAGAAAGAGCAAATGCATTTCCCTGTGGCATGCCTCTAAGGACACACAACTTGACAGCTTCATAAGAAAGACTCTTTCCTCTCAAACTGCACCAGAAGTAAGGCAGTTTTTCCCCCTGAAAACTTGTAGAGTGAAAAATGAAGGGCCTCGTTTGAAGTATAAAAGGATTTCTTATGGTCCTCACAGATGGCCAACTTTATCCTGGTGCTGTTGGCCAGGGCATGTGATCTTGGTCCTGGGGCTCTGTCATACAGCTGCCGAGGTGGCAGCAGGGAAGATTCCAGCTTGAACTCATTTCCTGACATTTTCTTTGGCACAGAATAAAGAAAAAGAGAGTCATCTTTTCAACTTGGGGTAAGAATCCATCTCATATAATTACATTAAGATGGGTCCTCAAATGCTGTCCTCCCAGCGTCACTCTGAAATGCATTACAGATATGGGATTAGAGGAAAGCTGAGAGCTTTCTGCAAAGAGCTTGTAAAAAGTTTCCGTTGTTATAAATGCAGAAAGGAAATATGCTAGACGTTAGCTTTATGCTGAAGTCTAGCTCTTCTAAGAATGGCCTCCTTGTAAAGAACTCCCATTCATCATGGATCACAATTTTATACTTCTGGATCCTCTGGGAAGTTACTGCTGAACCCAATAATCATATCTTAGGTTGGTGACCCTCCCTGGAAAATGATACGCTCCAGGACCCATTACCAAATTATCTATTTGGTAATTTGACATTACCAAAACGATCATATATCCAGGTTTCCCTAGGACAGATTGTCCCTGTATTCTAGTTTAGCCTTTTTCCCAGACAAAAGCATTCTGATTTAGATGATAAATTATATGGTCACCCCAGCTGTTACCCACTTGACTTCCGCTGCAAAGCATACTGGAAGGTGGAAACAGATGGGGCCAACCTTAATGCGTCACTGCAATTTCTAATGGTTACAGTGCCAGGTCCTGCATTAAGAGTGCCCTGTGCTTTGTCTCATTTAATCCTCACAACAATCCTTTGAGAGTAACACTACTACTATTATGTCTGTTTTACAAATGTGAAAACAAATTTGCCCAGGAAAATTTGCCCGCCTATGAAGTGGAAGAAGTGGAATTTAAATTTGGACTCCAGAGCTAGAGATTTTAATCATTATTCAAGTTGAGTATGTCTCATCCAAAATGCTTGAGAGCAGGAACGTTTTGGATTTTGGAATATTTGCATTATATGTATTCACTGATTGACCATCCCAAATCTAAAAATTTGAAATCCAGCATGCTCCAAAATCTGAAACTTTTTGAGTGCCAACATGACGCTCACAGGAAATGCTCCCTGGAGCATTTTGGGCTTTGGATTTTCAGATTTGGGATGCTTAATCTCTATCATACTGATGGTGAGGGCACCAACCGGAAAGCATAGCTGCTCTTCTGCTAGATGAGGTCCAGGGGCCAAATGACAATGCACAGCAACTCTAGTGTCAGTGTTTGTGTCAATGAAGATGCTTTTATCTCTGGGCAGCAGAAAATCCAACTAAAAATGGCTTAAGCAATATTAGCTCACCAGTGAGAAGCCCTGGGGCAGGGAAGTTTTAGGGTTGGATGATCAAGAGACTCAGTGACCTTAGCAAGGACCTAGGGCCTTTTTGTCTCTGTACTCTGAGGTCCACAGTGTTGGCTATATCCCAAGGCTGATCTCCTCCATCTTTGTAGGGCAGCTGTCATTAGCAATCAAGGGTACACACTTCCCTCTTCTCACCTAGTAGCAAAGAGAGAGCCTGGCTTCCTATGATTTTTCTCTTAAGACTAACAAAAAGTGTCTTTCCTAAAAACTCTCGGTAAATTTCTCCTTCTTAATCATTGGCACAAAATGGCCTGCCTGTCCCTGAACCCGTCATTGGCAAGGAGGATTACTCCTACACACTCAGGCTGGGGTAGAGTGGCCTTATAGGACTCAGTTGCAGTGTCCACTCACACAACCAATGCAGAATTAGGAGCTCAGTCACAGGAGCTCCTGGGCAGCCTTAACATTTGGAGCCTTGGTTCTGGAGTTAGTGACCTGGGTTTAACGTTCCATTTTGTCACTTACTAGCAAGGGACTTTGGGCAAATTTCTTATCTTCTCTAAACCTTGAGTTTCTCCTCTGTAAAAAGGGAATTAATAGCTTTCAATTATATCTGTTTAAAGATTACTTTAAACGTTTAAAAATATGCGAGAGCAGGCCAGACATAATGGCTCACTCTTGTAATCCCAGTGCTTTGGGAGGCTGAGGGAGGAGGATTGCTTGAGGCCAGGAGTTCAAGACCAGCCTGGGCAATATAGTGAGACCCACTACAAAAAATTAAAATTATAAAAAATTTAGAAATTAGTCAGACCTGGTGGCACACACTTATTGCCCTAGCTACTTAGGAGGCTGAGGTGGGAGAACTGCTTGAACCTAGGAGTTCAAGGTTGCAGTGAGCTATGACTGCACCAATGTACCCCAGCCTGAGGGACAGAGCAAGGCCCTGTCTCTGTAAAAATAGAAAAACATTCATTGAATAAATGAATGCAAACAGTGAGAGAAAAAGAGAAATTTAGAAACACTAGTCCAGCTAGAACAATAGAATGAGTTTGAACTAGAAGGCAAGAAATACATGAGTTCACATCCTGGTTCTGCAGTCCACTTACTGTTTAACCGTGGACTGTCATTGCACAGCCTGTCATTGCAGATCATATAGCTTGGTGGCACCACCCTAGGGCTCACCTTGTCTGTCCTAATGATTATGTTACAAGGAGAAAGGCCTGAGCTCGACTGTGAATTACACACAACAAAGTACAAAGTACCACCGTAGTGAGTCTGGGAACAAAAGATAGTCTAAAGTAACTCAACCTTAGAGTACTTGGTGAGATTTTTGCTAGATATGAGCTTAAGGAGATAGGCTTTGTTTATAGGCAATCGGAAGATGTGGCCAGCTTCTATTCAGAATGGAGGAAAACAGATCAGTGTTTTGTAATCACAGTCTGTGTGCAGACTGTGTTATCTATTGTAAGAAACCAGAGACTGAAGGCCAGATAGTGAATGTCTTCAATAGTCCAAACTGGAGAGATGATAGGGGTCTAGACTTGCAGAGCGGTGATGGACAGGAGAGGCTAGTTCACTATGAATAAGGAAGGCACAATCTGGTTGGGATAATTAATTGGCTGTGTGAGTAATGAATCTAGGATGGCCTTGGGATATGTAAGTTGGGTGACTGGTTGGAGAGTTGGGAAGACTCTGAGATAGGGAGGAGGTCTGGTTGATTTGGAGTGCATGTGGTTTGTTTAGAAAGCAGTGGGTTCTATGAGTCTAAAATTCAGACAAGGGGTCAGGGCTGAAGACACAGATCTGCCCACAGACCCTATGGAAAGAAGAGGTAAAGGAGAGAATAATTCGAAATACAGTACTAATATTTAGGGAGTTGGTAGAGGAAATGGTGCCAGCAAAAGAGAAGGCAATGTTAAGAGAAGTAGCAAGAGAACTGAGAGAGTAAGATTACTGAAGTTGAGGAGGTGGGGAGAGATTTTTTCTGGAGGGAGGAGGGTTACATTTCAGAGACATTAAGTAGGATAAGCACCAATGAGGTCACTTCATGAGCTTCATCAGGGCAGTCAGTAGAACATTGGGTGTAGAATCTAGATTGTCTGCAGATGGTCAGAGAGGGAACGGGAAGTGAGATTATAAAGCCAGCGAATAGGAGCTTTTGTTCCCAGAAGTCCTATTGTAAAGGAAAGAAGCCCATGGAGGCAGTGGGTTAAGCAGATGTACGGTAAAAGGAAAGATCTTTATTAGGATGAGGAAGACTTGAGAGTAAGATTGAGGAAAGGTATGAAAAAAGATCCCTGAAGAAATCATAGAAGGTGATGGGAGGTAATTAGTAATAACAGTTAACAATTACTACATTCATGACACGTGCTAAGCACTCTCTGTAGTGAGTAATTTTCACTCACTAACTCATTTAATCCTTACTATCACCCTGGAGGCAGGGACTATTGCTATTGTCTTCATTTGACAGGGGAGGAAACCAAAGTACAGACAGGCTTGGAAATTCAAACTCTGGCAGTCTAGTTTCAGAGAATATGCTCTTAACCATTAGGCTGTACTGACCAGCTTTCTAAACACATATCTAAGAGCATAAGTTAAGGTTCATGCTTTGTCCAAGAAGTGGCTCATTGCTTCCTTGGAGAAAAGGCACAAGAAGATATGGATCAGTTTGGAGGCTGAGCATGTTCATACCTAATGGTCCCCGCATCTCCTTGTCTGGTAAAATAGAATATCTATTGAGAGAGGGAAATGAAGACATAGGGCAGCTTAGCAGCCAAGGTTTGGAAGAGCTGCTGAGATTCTACTAGAATTAAAAAGGTTTCTGAGTAAAGACCTTTGACCTTAAAAAAATGTATGATCCACTGAAGTGGATATGACAAGTGCCCAAACAACTGTAATCTGGGACAATATGTGTGAAGGGACATAATAGACATAGAAAGTTAGTGGTATGAGGGTTCGCCAAGGGAGACACTGTGTCAGGTTATGGGGTAGAAGGATCAAAAAGTCAAGGCCTGGGCGTGGTAGCTCAGGTCTATAATCCCAGGACTTTAGGAGGCCAGGGTGGGAAGATTGCTTGAGGCCAGGAATTTGAGATCAGACTGGGCAACATAGCAAAATCCCATCACTTCAAAAATAAAAAAATTAGCGAGGTCTGTTAGTGCGTGCTTGTAGTCCTAGCCACTAGGGAGGCTGAGGTGGGAGGATTGCTTGAGCCCAGGAGTTTGAGGCTGCAATGAGCTATGATGGTGCCACTGTACTCTAGCCTGGATGATAGAGCAAGACCCTGTCTCTGGGGAAAAAATTGACAGCAGATAATTCAGTGTCTGACTCGTAACAGGCTCCTAAGCAACATTAATTCCATTCTAGTGTGAAAGGACAATCTCAACCCCCTCCTTAGTCTAACCTCAATAACATGTATGTATAGTACAGCTTTTGTGTAATGCTGATATTTTTTGTATTGTTTTAAAGACACACCTTTTCTGTTGAAGACCTAGGACAAGATCATTCTCTGTGAGAGTATGGAGCCATGTCCTGTGTAATTTTTGGGTAAAGAGAGAGCATGAGACAGGAAACCAGAATTTAGAAGGTACAGATTTAGGCAGACAGGGAGACAAGGAAGGGGATAGCTGTTTTCATTTGGTTCTTTCTCTCTGGTATCTGGATGTTAAATAACTTAGAAGTGGCGAGAGAGAGATGGCTTCTGCTCCAGGGTGAGGTCTGAGAACCAGGCAGAGGTGCACTATAGGGGCTCTTGACTGAGTAGACCATAACTTGTAAGCCAGATTCTATGGCTATCTGCCATTCTTTGGTTTGATTTTTCTTTTATTCTTATCAGTCTTAAAGAAAAGTGTGCTTGAATGTGCCATCTTTGCTAGCGAGACTTAGGGGACAACTTCTGCCTTGGCCCACTTTTGGGCTTCAGCATCAAAGAGCCAGCAACACCTCATGTGGTCAATGTGGTGGTACAGTGATATTAGTAGAACCTCAAAGGGAAGGAGATCAGCCACCAACAGTGGCCAGCATCCTCTCCCTCTGTGAAGAGTTTTCTTCCGTTACTTGTCTTGGATGGCCATTGTATTAAGGAATCAGAGGGGTCTTATAATTGGTGATTAGTAGTATCTTGGTTGGAACAGCCCATGGCCCATGGCTAGAGACTTCAATATCCAACAGGAGGTGGACAAGAGATCAGAGCTTTAGCAAATGGTTTAAGAGCCAGTACAGGACTTCCGTTCTAGGAGGCAGCCAGAATACAAACCATAAATTCCAGAGAAAAGGCACAGTTCATTGGGAGTGGCAGGTAAGGGGAGGGCAAGTTTGCAACTCAACAGCTTTGTTCAGAACACTCTAGAAAATAATTTATCAATTCTAGACTTCGTCTTCTACAGGGAACAAGTTCCCTCCATAGTCAGTGGAAACTGCATGAGTTTCCTCCTCCTGTCTCTTAGTGGTCTGAGAAGCTACCTTCCACAGGTGTCTTGGGAAAGTAGTTTCTAAACTGTGGGCCATGGAACCCCTGGAATTTGTGGGAATAGCTCAGGGACCAATAGGTGAAAATGGGAAGAGAAATGGGCAGGCCTCAGGCATTCATCACCTTGACCCCAGGAAGTTCCACTTTCCTCTGTTTCGATCAGTGCCTAGTAGAGAGTCTGGCACAAAACAGGCACTCAATAAATGAATTAATGTTTTAGACATTTCAGTTCCTTGTAAGTTTTCATTTGATTAAAGGATTCCACCACTAAAAATGTATGAAAGCTACTGCATTAGAACATTTTTAGAAGACATCCATCCATACGAGAAGAACTAGAGCAAACACTCATCTGAAGTCTCCTCACTTGGCTTCAAAAACCATCTTGGTCTCTTGATTAAGAAAAAGATCATCAGAGGAGTTTACACATTTTAATCCCCTCCCATGCCTGCACCAGACCTTGATGACAGAGAAGTGAATTTATCAGAGTGACATTCTTGAGGATTTTTTTTTTTTCATTTTTGGAGAAACATATTCCTTTGATTCTTATATGGTAATATACTTTATTTCCATGAAGAACAAGAATAAAATAACAACATTCATGATACTGTGAGCCAGGTGTTTGCACACATTATGTCATATAATTTTTACTAGAATCTTCTCAGATGGATATGATCCTCTTTTTTTTTTTTTTTTTTTTTTGAGACAGAGTCTCACTCTGTTGCCCAGGCTGGAGTGCAGTGGTGCCATCTCAGCTCACTACAACTTCTGCCTCCCAGGTTCAAGTGATTCTCCTGTCTCAGCCTTCCAAGCAGCTGGGATTACAGGCACCCACCATCACGCCCAGCTAATTTTTGTATTTTTAGTAGAGATGGGGATTTGCCATGTTGGCCAGGCTGGTCTTGAACTCCTGATCTCAAGTGATCTGCCCACCTCAGGCTCCCAAAGTGCTGGGATTACAGGTATGAGCCACTGTGCCCAGGCCTTTTTTTTTCTTTAAATGAGGCAATCGAGGCACAGACACAGAAAGATAAAGTAACTTGCCCAGGATCACACAGAGAGGTAAACCCAGTATTTGCACTCACGTCTGCCTGACTCTAGCAGATATGCACTTTTCATCCTGGCTCTTATTGCAGCAGCAAGAGTGATTTTGGGTATTTATGAGAGTTAACTCATTTCTAAGGACTGCAGAGAACTGAGAACTATTACTAAAGCTGGATACATGATTCCTCGCTCTAATACTCTTTCATTAAATAGGCTGGATACTTACCTGCTTAAAGTGCTTAAAGGTGAAGCAGGAGGGGAGATGCAAGTACGGATTGCTCATTTTTGGCCACACCTATCCATTGGCAATTTTGTGGCAGTGCACCTGGATCGGCACCCTTGAGAAAAAAATCAGAGTTGGGAGGCAGGAAAACACGTGGAACAGAAAGGTGAGAGCTTAGAGAAGCAGGGCACTCTCTTTGTCAGGCAGAACCAGGCAGCAGAGGGAAATGCTGGCCTTGAAGCAGACAGGGAGAGGGTTGTTCCTCTCCCCTCAGAGACCCTTGGATTTTCCTATTGGTTTAACACCTGGGACAGGTCGGGTGGAGCAAATAAGGGCTTTGGAGCCAGCTGAATTCCGTTGAAATCCTGGCTCTACTTCAATCATGGATTGGTCTTAGGCAAATTACTTAATCTATGCAAACCTCAGTTTTATCTTTCATAGTATGAGGATAATAATGTTTTCTCTAATAGTTATTGTGAAGATTAATAACATAATAAATTAGCATGCATGGCATAAAATAGATACTCTGTAAATAGTTTCCTTACTCTTTCTTTTCATATTCTGTTCCCCCATCCCCACTTCAAATACTGACCACAAGTCTGCTTCTAGCGCTGTAATTTCAGGGTTTGTTTCTAGAAAGCTGACTGAGAGGAACCTTTCTGGTTGCCCTCAGGAGTGTGTTCAATCTTAAAAATGAGAAGGAATATGATGGGCATTTGAATCAGCAAAAATCCAGCCAAGGCCGGGTGCGATGGCTCACGCCTATAATCCCAGCACTTTGGGAGGCCAAGGCAGGCGGATCACCTGAGGTCAGGAGTTCGAGACCAGCCTGACCAACATGGAGAAACCCCGTCTCTACTAAAAATACAAAATTAGCCAGGCGTGGTGGCGCATGCCTGTAATCCCAGCTACTCGGGAGGATGAGGCAGGAGAATCACTTGAACCTGGGAGGCAGAGGCTGCGGTGAGCCGAGATTGCGCCATTGCACTCCAGCCAGGATGGTCTCGATCTCCTGACCTTGTGATCCGCCCACCTCGGCCTCCCAAAGTGCTAGGATTACAGGCGTGAGCCACTGCGCCCAGCCGACAGTCCCAAAAATCTTAACTTGTTCCAGCATCATCTTAGAAGTCCAAAGTCCAATGTTTCATTTGAGATTCAAGGAAAGTTCCTTTCAGCTATGAGCCTGTAAAATCAAAACCAAGTTATTTATTCTCAAGAAACAATGGTTGTGCAGGCATTGGGCAAACATTCTCATTCTAAAAGGGAGAAATCAGCCAAAAGAAAGGGGTAACAGACTCCATGCAAGGCTGAAATTCAGGAGGGCAGACATTAAATCTTGACGCTCCAAAGTAATCTTATACTCCGTGTGCTGCTCCGTGGGCACACTGGGGTGGGAGTTGGGCCCCAAGGGCCTCAGGCAGCCCCAACCCTATGGCTTTGCTGAGTGCAGCCCATGTGGTTGCTCACAGGGATTGGAGTTCAGTGCCTGAAGCTTTCCAGGTGGGCTTTGCATCCTGCCAGTGACCCCATAGTTCTAGGATCCTGGTGGCGATCCTATTCCCATGGCTTCACTAGGCATTGTCCTAGTGGGGACTCTCTGCAGCAACTCTGAGCCTGCATTTCTGCTGGGCATTGTTCTAGTGGGGGCTCTTTATGGTGGCTCTGTCCCTGCGACAAGTCTCTGCCCAGGCCCCTTTTGAATCCTTTGGAATCTGGGTGGAGGCTGCCAAGCCTCCACAGCTCTCACTTTCTGCAAGCCTGTAGAATTAATACCATGTAGATGCTGCCAAGTTTTACAATTTATACTTCCTGGAGCTGCAGCACTAGCCACACACCATAGCAAACTCCCTTCAACCAAAAAAGTAATGGAGATGGGAGTGGGACTGGGGGAGGTCTAAATTACTGGTGGAAGAATTGAATGCATGACAGTAAGAACACACATTCATCTGGCTCTCAACCACATGCTGTCAGGACTCTTGCTCTCCATAGTCTCCAGTTTTCTGCATATTGGGTTCATTAGCTTTTCCTACAGATTAGCTTTCTTTGCTTAGTGGAAATTCTGGCTACTAACAGTTTCCAAATTTCACACTTCTTTCTACCACAAGAAAAAGATTGAACCACCTCCTCTCACTGGTGTAAAAAAAAAAATATTCCAAAGGACAGCCTTATAAACAAAAAAGAAAAAAAAATCAAGGGGCTCAGCTTGAGTAATATGCTTACCCATGGCGCACCTAGCTATGATCTGAAAGGGGGTCTGCAAGAATATGGTGACAGTCACTCAAAAGAGTAGATGGTGTTGGAGTAGGATTTCCTAGAATAAAAGGAATTCTGTTCCTAGAATAAAAGAAAAGGTACGAGGCAGATAATATAATAGAAGTCTCCTACAAAACATGTAAATCCTACAAATGTATGCTAGGTTGATCACACTCAAGCTAGAATTTCTCAAACCAGGAAATGACCACATTCTACAGGTGAGATGTCCTATTTAAATATTCTTGGGCTATTTTATAGATGTTCTAGTTGAATATTCTTGAGCCGCATTCTTGGGCTATTTAAATTCCTGGGGTGCAAGTTTCCAGGGATGCATGTTATTTCTGTGGGGAAGGTTATCTCCTCCGAGTGATGAGTGAACTAGATAGTCCATGACAATATGCCTTGTGAGTCACATGGTCTTTCCTTACCATGACAATGGATTAGAGAGGCAAGCTGACCCAAGGCTGGGACACCACTGTCTGGTCAGTCGCCTGTGATCAATCATTCTTCTATACATTGATTCAACAAATACATATTGAGTGACAGACACTATCCCAGGCACTAGCATATAGTGTTCCTGCCTACACGAACCTTACATTCAAATGGGAAGACAGATAATAAATGTACACACGTTATGTGAAATACAGAATGTAAACCAGGGTGAGAGAATAGAGTGACTCATGTAGCCTGACCCTGAAAGATAAGATGGGTGATCAAATTTCTGAAAGTGGGCTCTGGGAGGCTGAGTTGGTAATCTGTGAAACCTTAGGTAGCCTCAAGATATGAAGCCCTCAGATTGGGTCAAGTGTGGCATAAAGTAGCAGGAGAAATTTCTCCAGGGAAGGATGTAGAAATAAAGTAGAAACGAGAAGCACAAGCAGTTCCAAGAGTTGGAAGGAGAAGCCTCAATTCAGCCTCAGTTGAAGCCCTGATTCTCTCATCACTCGGGTCCAAATCCCAGGAGGAGCAGCTTAGATGTCCACCAGAAGTAGTGACTGGCAAAACTGTCACTGGCTCAAGAGCTGATTGTGAGCACCTCTTCTCAAGTCTGTGTTCAGGGACATGATGGAGGTAGCTTGAAATTGGCCATGGTGGGAGAATTTACACTATGGAAATTGGCAAACATGACAGCAGTGGCATTCATAGCTGCACTGCCACCCCCTAGTACAGAGTCCACCACACAGTTAGCTTGGCAAGTATTCATACACAGAATGTAGATGTTTAGTTACTGAATGATTGAACTGGTATCTATAGATTACCAATGGTTAACACCACAGGCTGTACATTATGTACCAGGAATTGTGTTAAGTACTTTATGTACATTCTCTCATTTAATCCTATTACAACCCCTTGAGGTACAACTATCACCCTCATTTTATAGATAAGGAAACAGAGGCACATAGAGGTCAAATGAGTTCCCCAGAGCCACATAACTGGTAAGCAGCAGGTCGGGGATGAATGAGTGGAGTGAAGAGTAGCTTGTACGCAATCAAGTGGTGGTGACAAGGAGAGGTAACTGCTCCACTATGGGGCTTCCTTTTCCAGGAAGAAGGGAGATTATAGGGCTAGTGATGAGGGACAAGTCAACTGGCTGGATTCCACCCTGGGCCCAGGTGGTGAATGGTAAGGAAAGGGGCCACAGGGAAGCATGTGGCTGCAGTTCTGGGTGTGTGTATGATTCCAGCTGGATCCAAACTTCCCTAAATTGGCAGGCCCAGTGTGAGGCTTCTGGCATCCCTCACTAAGGAGCTGGACCTTGAGGTTGCCGGGTGTCTGCGGGGTCCAGAGCCCAGCCATGTGGATTGGGCTCTCACTGGTCATCAAGGAGTTGTTTTTATTTGAATGCAGCTCCAGCTGCTTGAATGTAGCCAGACTTGAAAGCTGAGCAAACCTCAAAACCTGTAGTTGGTAACCTTCTGGAACTGGCAGCTGCCAGGGTTCTGGCAGCAAGAAGGCCATTTGGCTGGGTCTAGCATGGGGCTCTAGCCCAGCAGAAGTCAGGAATGGAAAGCACTCACCTCCATAATGTAGTTAGAAATGGAAAGCTCTTCTTCAGTAAGCTGGGGTGCCCCAGCCCTGACAGGTGACCACATGCCTGTGTTGGCTTTTTGTTGTTGTTGTTTGTTTGTTTGTTTGTTTTTAGCTCAATGAGAAGGCAGACTGAGCCTAACAAGACTAGCAGTGCCCCATGGGGTCAGGCTGCTGTGTGTAGACACCAGCCCATATGGGGCCGTGTGACGGTGGGTAGACAGAATGGAGTTGTTCTGAGCCAGGGTACTGGGTTATGGCATCAGGGAGACCCGAGTTCAAATCTTGCTGGCTGTGTGGTTACGGGGTCAGAATGTAACCCTTTAAGCCTCATACTTATCTCATAGAGTGATTGTGAGAATACATGTGATGTGATAGTCAATCATAACCACATCAATGTTATTGTCATGACAGATCAATTTCCATCACAGGCTGAGGCATGGACACTGACTTAGGAGATCACGGAGTCCTTTTTGTGCATGTGTACGTAACTAGAAAGCTAGCATATGATAGTGTCTCAGAGATTGCTAAGCCCAATTTTCTCATTTTACAGAGGAGGAAATTGAGGTCCAGAGAGACGATAAGGCTTATTAGGTCAGGGCTGGAGCTGGAATCCAACGTCCCTAAGCTTTCTCTCTCATCCAGGCTGTCATTCTCAATCAGTAGTAAGGCTTTAGCTGGGACAGCATCTATAGGCTTTTGAAAGCATTCATAGGCTGGTTCTCTGGTGGGGGGTCTGGTGACCAGGACATTCCCAGACATGGAGCTTCCAATTCCTCCACATTCCTGGTGTGGAGCAGCAGCCTGATAAATGTTCATTCAATTGATCGGTAACTCAGGATGCCAAGAAGATGTGACGGTGTCAGCATTAGATACGGCAATGCCTTAAACCCAGCCTTCCCTCTTTCTTTTTCTTGGACATGCCCTTCTGAGGGAAGTCAGCTGCTGGATATATGCGCAGGATGTAAAAGCATTTCAGCGTGGTGTGAGGAAAGCAGCTGTTTCAAAGGAAGGCAGCATAGAGAAGTAGAAATGGCCCTGGCCTGGGACCAGAGATCTAAGTCCAAATAGTGGTTCTGCTACAGCCTAGCTGGATATTAACTGTCATTCACTTTCTCTGAGCATCAGTTTTCTAATCTGCAAAGGGAGCAATAAGCCCTGGCTTTGCTTATTTTACGGGAAAGCTGTCAGGATTAAATGAGGTTCCCTTAGGCCAGTCGCAGAGGCTCACACCTGTCATCCCAGCACTTTGGGAGGCCGAGGCAGGTGGATCACTTGAACTCAGGAGTTTGAGACCAGACTGGGCAACATGGCGAAACCTCGTTTCTATAAAAAATACAAAAATTAGCCAGGGGTGATGATGCGTGCCTATAGTCCCAACTACTTGGGAGGCTGAGGTGTGAGGATCGCTTGAGCCCAGCAGGCGGAGGTTGCAGTGAGCTGAGATGGCGTCACTGCACTCCAGCCTGGAAAGAGCCAGACCTTGTCTCAAAAAGAAAAATGAAAACCACAAATGAGATTCCCTCCTTTTCTCCATCATAACCAGCATGACTGGCAGCGACTGTGTAGTGGAGACAAGCCCAGACTCTGGAGCCAGACTGCCTGGGTTCAAATTCAGATCTCAGGCTTACCTACTAGCTACATGACCTTCGGCAATTTACTTACTCTCTCTTACCTCACTTTGCTCATATGCAAGATGGAATAATATTATTTACCTCATAAAGATATGTCCATCTGGAACCTGTGAATGTGACCTTATTTGGAAAAAGGGCCTTTGCAGATGCAATTAATTTAAAGATCTTGAGATGAAATCATCATGAATTACCTGAGTAAGCCCTAAATCCAATGACAAGTGTCCTTATAAAAGACAGAAGACACAGACACACAGAAGAGGCCACATGAAGACAGAGGCAGAGATTGGAGTTAAGCTGTCGCAAGCCAAGAATCACTTGAAGCCACAAGAAGCTGGAAGAGACGAGGAAGGAGTTCCCCTCTAGAGCCTCTGAAAAGATTAAAGCTCTGCCAACAATTTGATTTCGGACTTCTGGCCTCCAGAATGTGAGAGAATAATTTCTGTTGTTTTAAGCCACTCAGTTTGTGTGATTTGTTAGAGCGGCCCTAGGAAGCTAATACCTGGTGTCCACCCACATTGAGAAGAGGCTGTCAGCTTTCTGTATCCTGTTGCACGGACATTTATTAAAAGTCTGTTCCCCACTTCCTGGTGCTGGACTAGAGATGCTGAAAAAGGATAAAGCATGCCTTGTTAATCACAAAATTTTCTACATAGAAATGTCTATTACTAGCTGTTATGATGACTGGTTTTATAGAATCTGACTCTTAAAGTTGGGCTGGAATTTTGAAAGTTGTCAGAGTTTAATCTTGAATTTCCCAAATTCAGTTAGCAATAATATCAAGCTTTTAATTAAGGTCTTTGTGCTGCCGGGTGCAGTGGCTCACGCCTGTAATCCCAGCACTTTGGGAGGCTGAGGCGGGCGGATCACGAGGTCAGGAGATCGAGGCCATCCTGGCTAACATAGTGAAACGCCGTCTCTACTAAAAATAAAAAAAATCAGCTGGGTGTGGTGGCACGCACCTGTAGTCCCAGCTACTTGGGAGGGTGAGACAGGAGAATCGCTTGAACCCAGAAGGCAGAGGTTGCAGTGAGCCAAGATCGCGCCACTGCACTCCAGCTTGGGCGACAGAGCAAGACTCGGTCAAAAAAAAAGGTCTTTGTGCTAAGCATCTGGTCTTTCTGCTTTACATGTGTTATTTCATGTGACCTCATAACAACCAAGAGGCACATGCAACTAAGACCCTGAATTTGAATATAGAGAAGTCAGATAACTTAACCTAGATTCTACAGTGACTAAGTGCAGGAACCAGGCATCAAACCTGCGTGCCCTCACTAACCACTTGGTCATGTGACCACACTGCCTCGCCAGTCACTTAGCAAGTGCTGAGTTAGCTGCTGGTCCACAAGGATGAATACAATATAGACCCTGCCCACGGGACAGTGGGAGAGATAAAATATGCAAAAAATATATAATATGATTAACCAAATTCTACATGGATCGAAGGTCAGAAACAAGTCTAGATATTGGTTAGAGACTGATGTGTGCAGGCATTAATTCCAGATGAAGGAGGTTATTGTGCAGGCAGGGCAGGGCCACAGAAAGCTTATAGGCAGGACTCTGAAGAAAGGGCATTCTGGCGGCAGGGTGACTGATGGATGGGACTTCAAGGACAGCTGAGGGTAGGGAATGCAGACAGAATCTTCTTTGACTCCATCTGACTTGGTTTCTGAGGATGCTTAGGGGTTAACACCTGGCTGGCTATTGCCTCCCTAGCCTGGTCCCCTCACACTTTCTTTCTTTTCTTTTTCTTTTCTTTTCGAGACGGAGACTCACTCTGTCACCCAAGCTGGAGTGCAGTGGCGTGATCTCGGCTCACTGCAACCTCTGCTTTCTAGGTTCAAGAGGTTCTCGTGCCATAGCCTCCTAAGTAGCCGGGATTACAGGCGCGTGCCACCATGCCCAGCTAATTTTTGTATTTTTAATAGAGACGGGGTTTTGCCATGTTGGTCAGGCTGGTCTCGAATTCCTGACCTCAGGTGATCCACCCACCTCAGCTTCCCAAACACTTTCTTCACTCTGACCATTGGGAACCCACTGTCCTTTCTTTCTGGGCTCTCTCACTCTCTTGGCAAGTTCCTAATGAGTCAGCCTTTCCTTCAGCTGATCCCTGAATGCACTTCTTTCCTAACTGACCAGGTCTCTCAACTGGCATTCTCTTTCATAACTCCCTTTACAGTGTCTTCAACCTGGATCAAATTAGCATTCTTTCCAGGCCCCAATTTCCTGTTCTCTTCTTTGCTCTTCCTATTCCTGGTAACTTAAGCAGTCATGAAACGATCTGTTGATCTTAATTGCCACCCCGGTGTCCCTCCCAGACACCACAGAGGATGGGCAGATGTGTCTGTCTCCTGCACTTGACAAAGACCTTATCTTCTTTTTGTGTCAGCCCAGTGCCTAACTTTCAGAAGATGCTCTATACCTAACTTTTGGAAGATGCTCTATATTTGCTGAATGAATAAATGAATGAAGAAATAATTTCTGCCTTCAACAGGCTTACCATCTAGTTGGACAGATAGGTACAGCATGTCTTTCTCATTGGACATCACTGGGGGATTAAAAAAATTCTAGACAAGTGAATTTCCCAGATAAATGAAATTTATTCCTTTAAATATCTAATTATATTTCTTAGACATTTTAGATGAGAAAATTTAACTTCTTTTTTTAATTTCTTCTTATATCAGTTAGGACTCTTTATGTTCCCAGTAGTAGAAAACTTAATTGAAACTGGCTTTAATAATAAGAGAATTTTCTTATCTGAAAGCATTGGGTTCGCACTTAGAGGTGTGGATTGTTTCAGAGCCCAGACAATCTCATCAGGATGTAGTTGTTGTTGTTTTTTTCCCCTCTCCATCTCTGGTCTTTTCTTGCTAAATGTTTGCTTCATTCTCAGACAGGTTTCCCTTTGAAGTACAAAATGGTGCCAGCGGCTCCCAGGGCTACCCTCTGCCTTATTCATATTCAGTAGGAAGAGAAGAGGATCTCTGTTAGCTTTCATAAAAGGAAGAGGCTTGTCTTTACCTGCAGACTCAGGTAAACCAGTCCCTGACTGGTTTACATACCCATCTCTGAACCGATTGGTAGTAAGGAAATTGGAATACTGTGCTTTTTTTTTCCTTTCCTTTTTTTTCTTTTTCTTTTTTTTTTTTTTTTGGAGATGGAGTCTTGCTCTGTTGCCCAGGCTGGAGTGCAATGGCGAGATCTCCGCTTACTACAACCTCCACCTCTCGAGTTCAAGTGATTCTCCTGCCTCAGCCTCCCAAGTAGCTGGGACTACAGGCGCCTGCCACCATGCCTGGCTAATTCTTTGGACCAATCTAACCCACTCCTGGGGGTGGCATCAATCACACTCAATCAGCAGGGCTGACATGGGAAGGCTGGAGAGAGAAGGGGAAACAGATGCTGGAGAGCAACCAACCAGTATCTACTACCTCCTTCTCTTCCTTTCTCTCTTTCTTTATCATCTTCTCTACCTCTCCCCTCTATGAAAAGTTCTGTGCTAGGAGTAGAGGCTATAAACATGAGAATATATTCCCTGCCCCTGAGGTCCTCCTGGGTCAGTCAACGGGTAACATGTAAGAATGTAATTATAGCAATGGTAAAATGCTAATAATTGAGAAATGGGAACACAGCAGAGAGGTGGACAGTATTATTGTCCTGGGGAGGTCAAAGAAGGCTTTCCAAAACTGTTAGAACTTGAGCTGATTTTGTAGATTGCCTAAGAGGTAACCAAATAGTCAAGAACAGACACAGCATTCCTTTCAGAGGGAACAGAAAATCCCAATGCAAGTAGATGTGAAAGATGGAGGTGAACTCCAAGTGGTTCTGTATGGCTGTAAGAGAGGTGATAGGGCCTGGTGAGACAGGAAGGAACTAAGACAGACTGTTTGTCAGACACGCTACCGGGCATGGTAAACGCACCACCCTGTTTAGTTCTTACAATGACCCGATGTGTTCTGTAATGGATAAGCCACTGTTAATTCCTACAATGACCTGATGTATTCTGTCATGGATAAACCACTTCACAGCTGTCACTCCTCCTTAGTCCACTTGGCGTCATTCTCCACTCTCTATCCCCTGCCGCACCACCCCCCCCCCCCACCCCCCAACGTCTCTAAGTATAGAAAAGATGAAAGTGGCAGAAACAGATTTTTTTTTAGGGGAAAAGCAACAAAAACAGAAGAAATATAATCCCTGGACAGGCTGTTCTCTGTGAGAAGACGTGACTTCTCAGGCACTTGTCATGTGGGAGTCGCTGTGGTGAGGTTAAAGGGGATGCGAGTATAACCAGCTGCAACAGGGAAAGCTGGTGAGAAGGTTCTGTTAGGACGGAAGGGTAAGAGGCTCCCAAGAATGGAGTGCTAGAGCAGAGGACAGGGCAAGTGATTTAATGCATTTCTGTGAACTGAATTTTTGGACCCTGTATTCATTATATGCACCTAAGTATTGCAAAACTTGGCCTAAAATAATATAAATATTTATCTCACACAGTTTCAGTGGGTCAGGGGTTTGGTAGTAGCTTAGCTGGGAGGTTCTGGCTCAGAGTCCATCATGCAGTGAGGTATTGGCCAGGCTTGACTAGGCTGACAAGAGCCACTTTCATGATGACCTACCCACATGGCTGTGGGCAAGAGGCCTCAGTTCCCCACCACGTGGATCTCTCCACTGAGCATCCTCATGGCATGGTAACTTGCATCCCCCCACCCCCCCGCGCCCAGATTGAGTAATCCAGGAAATAGCAAGATGGATGTGGCAATGTCAGAAGTCACACACAGTCATTTTAGCAATATCCAACTAGTAACACAAGTCAGACCTCTCTGGTGTTGGGGGAAGGGACCTATATAAGAGTATGAATACCAGGAAGTGAGAATCACTGGGGGCCTTGGAGGCCAGCCGTCACAGAGATCCTTAAATGTTTGAGGAAGACCTGAAGAAAGAATTAAAACTTTTCATTATAGGCCACATTCATTAAATGCTTTGCTGCACGGAAACTGAACAATTTTGACTTCTGTCTTTATGCGCTCATTTTGGTGCCTTTAAAACCTATTTTACAGATGGAAAATATTAGTCTATGTCAATAACCATTAAGGAGTGGCTGACCTTGGTCCACCCAAATCCGAAACCCACATAGCTTCCACAGGGTGAGACTAAAGATAGGAAAATATGTTAAGAGGCTCTGCAGTGACAGTCCGTAGTTAAACAGTAAGTGGATTGCAGAACCAGGATGTGATCCCAGTTATTTCTTGCCCTCTAGTCCAAACTCATTCTATTGTTCTGGACAATAGAGTTTCTAAATTTCTCTTTCTCTCACTGTTTGTATTCATTTATTCAATGAATATTTTAGAAGCATAAAAACATTAACTTCTTCAAAGGAAAGGATTCTTTCTTATTAATGTTGCTATTCAAACATCAAAAACAATGTCTTGAACATAGTAGGTAATCAATATATCTTATTTTTTTATTGCTTTAATTTTATTATTAATGATTCATTACCTTGGGCAATGTATCAGTCATGGTTGTCAGGAAAATAGAAGTTACTGTAGGCATTTCAGGTTGGAAGCGAATTTAGTATGAGGAGATAGAGGCTTACACAATCCTTGGAAGGGCTGGGGAGCAATGATTGGGAAGACTGCTGCTCACTACCAAGGAATCTGTTTACCAGGAATCCTGGCAAAGCCGCTACCAGGACCTAGGCTACCCGCAGCACCTAGTGATGATTCTCAGGATGGTACCTAGAAACCCCGCAGCTGCCTCCAGAAAACAACGTCTTCCCCTTATTCATCTTCCAAATGTCATCTGAATATCTCTCATTGGCAGAGCCCCTGCTGGAAGGGACTCTGGGAAATCTAATTTCTAGGTTTTCAGTGTCTGTGGTACAAAAGACAGTGATGGGGAACATACTGACCGTCAAAAGACATTATCTGGTGTAGGGATTGACACTCAGATTCTTATGGCTAATCTTAAAGGGAACTTGCATTTGCTTATTATGATACGATATTCTTTGGAGGGCTAACAATTCACGTGACAGATAGTTAAGATCTTCAAAAGAATTATTAGTCTTGTCTTTAATAACATTAACTATTAACAGTAATTATTATTCATAGTGACAACAACAGCATAAGTCAATCAGTATGATCATGAGTTTTAGAATTCTAGAAACCTAGGTGTGAATGTCTGATCTGTGACTTTGGGGAAGTTGTTTAGCCTCCTGACCAGGATAAAGATTTCTCACTGGGATGGAGATAATAGAATCTTCCTTGTAGGCTTGTGGTGAGAATTAAATTAAGTAAAACCTATAAAATACCCAGGAGATACTTAAGAGGTGGGGGCTCTTTTTATTCAATACCAATCACAAAATACTTCAACATACATGATGACATGTGACTAGCCCAATTGGGAGGGGAAACATGAGGAGGAAGAGAAGAGTAAGAGACATGAATTCAAGGAAGGGTCTAGAAGGTTAGAGAGAAAGGCCGAGATGCAGGACCCCAGGTGAAGGGCTACAGTGGGGGTGGCCTGGCAGGCCCCAGGAGAACACTAGGCTTGGAGTTGGCATAACCATCATCTTGTCAACAGCCTCCTTCCTGCTGTCTCTGTTTAAATTGGAGGACAGGAAATAAAAACAAGTGCTGAGTCTATAAAGGCTCTGAATGCTAACATCTGAATGATGACCAAAGATTTAGATACTTTTTTTTTTGCCAAATATTAAAACAATAATGTAAACACTGAGGCTTTTCTTGGGCCCCGGCTCCAGCCCCGGAGGCTTCTGTGGCTCCATTTATAACTAACAGATGAAGAGCAGAGACTGTGGGCTTTGCTAGGCCCATTAACTTGGTCTAATTATTGGAAAATGTTTTTTTCCCAGTGATTAATCACAGATGAAATATTTCAACTCACTTCATGATTTTTTCCCTTACTGTTTCCGGAGCAAACATACTCACACACTTCTCTGTTCCTGTCCTTTGCTTTGGGAACAGACACTCCATCACGCACATCTCGGGCAGTCTTGGAGAAGCACCATGCTGCCCCCAAGGAGAGCAGGAATTCAGGGCCACACTTCTGAGAGGGCTACATCCTGGTCTTCAGCACCCCCAAAGCCACCCATTTCGGTGTCCTTAGTTTTTGATATGGGAACTCGATGTTTTCTCAATCAAGTCCAAGCATTTGTAGAAATAACTTTTGCAATTTGTATTAATTTTTAACACATTCTAACTTAAAGTAATGTGTTTGTTATACACATTTGGATTTAAGTCAGTTTCCTTTGCAACTAGGCTGCAACCCCTGATCCTGAATAGAAATTGAGGAGCTGGTGCTTTTCATCACAGCTCTGCCTCTTGTTAACTGTGTAGTTATCTATGTCACTTCTGTAGGCTTCAGTTTTGTCTTCTGTGAACATGGAATAACCTCCCCTATTTCTCGGAGTTGTTATGGATATTAAATAGGTAACATATAAAGCACACAGCATGGTATTTGACAAATAGAAAATGCTTAGTAAATAATTATCATCATAGCTAACCAGCATTAGTCCCAACATCATACAATTAGTAAAAGGCAGAATCAAAATTTGATCATATACATCAACCTAAGACATTTCTGTACAGCAAAGGAAACAATCAACAAAACAAAAAGGCAAACCATGGAATGGGAGAAAATGTTTGCAAACCATAGATCGATTAGGGGTTAATGTCCAAAATATATTAGGTACTCATACAACTCAATAGTAAAAAAAAAAAAAAAGTTTTTTAATGGGAGAAGAACCTGAACAGACATTTTTCAAAAAAAGATACACAAATGACCTACAGATTTATGAAAAAGCATTCAACATCATTAATCATCAGGGAAATGCAAATCAAGACCACAATGAGATACCACCTCACACCTGTTAGGATGACTGTTCTCAAAAGTCAAAGGGTAATAAGGGTTGACAAGGATGTAGAGAAAAAGGAAACATTTATACACTGGTTGATGAGAATGGTGATTCGTATAGCCATTATGGAAAACAGTAGAGAGGTTCCGCAAAAAATGAAAAGTAGAATTACCATGAGATTGATCTGGCAATCTCATTCCTGTGTATATAACCAAAGAAAATAAGATCACTACCCCAAAGAGATATCTGCACTCCCATGTTTATTGCAGCATTATTCACAATAGCCAAGATATGAAGACAACCTAAGTTTTCATTGGTGGATGATTAAAGAAAATGTGTATAGATCATGGAATATTTTTCAGTCTTAAAAATGTCGCCATTTGCGACAACATGGATAAAGCTGGAGAACATTATGCTAAGTGAAATAAGCCAGATGCAGAAAGACAAACACCTTATAATCTTGCAAATGTAGAATCTAAAAAAGTTGAACTCATAGAAGCAGAGAGTAGAAGCATGGTTATTAGGAGTCAGGGGGTGGGGAAAATAGGGAGATGTTGGTCAAAGTGTAAAAACTTTCAGTCATAACATGAATAAGTTCTGGAGACCTAATGTCCAGTATGATGACTATGGTTAGTAATAATGTATTATATACTCAAAATTTGCTAAGGGAATAGATCTTAAGAATTCTCACCATGCACACACAGAAATGGTAACTCTGTAAAGTGATAGATATGTTAATTAGCCTGATTGTGGCAATGATTTTACAATGTATGCATGTATCAAAACATCACAATGTGTACCTTAAATATATACATTTTTTTTTCTCTTTGAGACAGAGTCTTGCTCTGTTGCCCAGGCTGGAGTGCAGTGGCATGATCTTGGCTCACTGCAACCTCTGCCTCCTGGGTTCAAGTGATTTTCGTACCTCAGCTTACCAAGTAGCTGGGATTACAGGCGTGAGCCACCACGCCCAGCCTACAATTTTTATCTGTCAATTATACCTCAATAAATCTGGAAAAACAAAACAAATGATATACACACATACATGCATAATATGCAGCTGAGGAAATAGATCCATACAGGGAAGTAGATATCACTCTGTTAAAAATACTTATTGCTTGAAGGTGGGATAATAACAATTTTGTTTGATGGATTTTCAGATCTTCTATAATGTAAATAAAATAGTTATAAATAAGAAAGAAGCAAAAAAAGATTTGACCCCAGACAAGACTACGAAACCCTCTGCCCTTTCTACACAGAATTCTGCCTTCCAGCTGGGTGAAAGATTCAAGACTTGTTTCTTTGCTTTACATACTTGCCAGCCAGAAAAAGAACAAAGACTCGGTTATTTTCATCCAACAGGTGAGGTTGGGGGATAAACCAGACTCCAAAGAGCAATGAAAGGAAGCCCGTGATAAGAGGCCAAATAAGAGGAAAAGGAAGTACCAGGGTAGCACAGAGATGAGGGGAGGCTTAAATTAGGTTTAACTTGAGATTTGATAAGCAGACAGGAGGGAGCAAGGGGCTTCTTGTTTGCACTTATTCCCTTAATTGACGGACATCCTGGAGCCAAATCTTTCTCTTGAACTACGGTTGCAGACTTAGGTTGAAGTCCTGGCTTTGCACTTACCAGGTATGTGAACTTGGGGCATCACTTCACCTCAATCTGGGTCTCGGTATCCAGTTTAATAAAAAGAGGGAGTTAGACTCCCCTCAACTTCAGCTTGTCCTGGGAGAATGTAGTGCTATTTTCATGGTCCCACGACATTTTATAGGGTTATCTTGTTTTACTCTGGGTTTGTTGATTCTAAGTAAGAGAAACCCAATCAAAATCAGTTTAGAGGTCAGGTGCAGTGACTCATGCCTATAATCCCAGCACTTAGGACAGCCGAGGTGGGAGGATCACTTGAGCCCAGGAGTTTGAGACCAACCCTGGCACAGTAGCAAGTCCCTGTCTCTATAAAAAAAAAAAAAAAAAATTAGCCAGGCAGGCATGGTGGCACATGCCTGTTGTCTCAGCTACTCTGGAGGCTGAGGTGGGAGATCACTTGAGCCTAGGTGGTCGAGGGTACGGTGAGCAGTGATCACGTCACTGCATTCCAGTATGGGTGACAGAGCGAGACTGTCTAAAAAAAAATGTTTAGAGAGGTGAGGGGAAGTATATATTACATGACTCTAGGAATATATACCTCACTTTTACCCAAGAACAGAAAAACATTCTGGCTTCATAACTGGAAAAGCCCAAGGAGAATTCTCTCTCTCTCTCTGTTTGGCTCTATAGTTGCTGTTTCTTGCTACATGTCTGCTTGCCTCTCATTTCTCTTTGCAAACAAGATCTCTCTGCTTGTTCTTTAATATACAAAGCCTCAAAACATGCAGCCCACCCACAAAAAAACAACCCTGCCTTGGTTCCCATACTTCACAGATGCATCTCCTACCACTCACTAACTCAATTTGTGCCCCAATTCCACAGTCTTGGGAGGGAAATATGATTGGCCCACCCATGACCAGGGGAAGATGCTTGGTCTGACCATCTGTGAGTAATGATCCCACAGTGGAGGCTAGTCCCTGTCCTTTGGCAGAGTGCAGTAGGGGTAGGATGGGAAAACCATTCTGGTACTCATCCTTTCCTGGCGTTGGATCAACTTCAGTTCCATTGCTCCCACACCACACTGTGAGTTCCTCCTTCATCTTTGCATCTCCTGTGCCCAGCAGAGGGTCTCAGAAATCATAATACTTGTGAAACTGAAAGGATACAAAATAAAAACAACATTGAATGTCCACATAGCTCTTTACAGTTTACACTGCAGTCTTCATATGCATGATCTCATTGGACTCTCATAGAACTGCAAGAAGTAGGTATTATTATTACTCTCGGTTTACATCTGAGGAAAATAAAGCTAGCTCAAAGTCACATTACAATTAAGTGGTGGAATCAGGACTCAACTCTCAATATCATGGCTTGAAATCCCAGCATCCAACTAGATGGTACTAAGGATTCTCTGGTCCTAACATCAACCAATACCAGGACATTTATATCATTGTGTTTAAAAAACAAAAAACAAAAAACTCCACATTCCCATTTTTCTTGGTAATTATTTCCATCTCCCAATGTTAGCTTTGTTTCATTATATGGCCAATAAGATGTTGCACTTCTAAAAAGCATACCGCATTGGATCTCCTTTTATTCTCGAAGATATATTTCACTTGAAAATGGGGAGAATGGAGAGGAATTAAGACCCTCACAATAAAAAAGAGGAAGGCTCATGAAGAGTGGTCTGGCTAGTCTTTAATGAGAAGCATCAGACTCCACTATTGAGGCCATCTGGGGTGGGGGCTGGGAATCTGACTGAGGTTTCCAGTGTAACTGTAGTCACAGGCAGTCCCAGGCATCTGCATGGGTAGCCCTCTACTATTGAAATGTCAGGAATGCCTTTTATTTCATTGACTGGTATAGGCCATGTCTTTGGCTGACTTGGTAGTGTTTGAGTAAATCCTGACCAAGGCTTTCAGCTTTCATCCCTGGGGCACTGCTGCCTGGAGAATCGAATTCTTTCAGAGGTACTGCCTTTTTTTTTTTTTTTTTTTTTTTTTTTTTTTTTTTTTGAGACGGAGTCTCCCTCTTTCGCCCAGGCCGGACTGCAGTGGCGCTATCTCGGCTCACTGCAAGCTCCGCCTCCCGGGTTCACACCATTCTCCTGCCTCAGCCTCCTGAGTAGCTGGGACTACAGGCGCCCGCCACCAGGCCCGGCTAATATTTTTTGTATTTTTAGTAGAGATGGGGTTTCACCGTGTTAGCCAAGATGGTCTCGATCTCCTGACCTTGTGATCCGCCCGCCTCGGCCTCCCAAAGTGCTGGGATTACAGGCGTGAGCCACCATGCCCGGCCAGTTACTGCCTTTTAAGAGCAATAATACACATATTATTATTTATTGATTACCTTGTAATGTGTCAGGCAGGTAGTAAACAATTTATCTAATAATATTCATTTAATTTTCCTCACAACCCCATGAGATAGAGTAATATAGTCCCCATTTTATAGTCCCCATTCAGGGTCACTGAGATCTGCAAAAATAGAGCAAGATCCCACAGCTAATAAGTAGCAGAACTGTCATTTAATCAGTTAACCCAGATTTGGTTGGCCCCAAAGTGAATGCTCTTAACCATTGGGTTCAGGGTCTCCTAAGCCTGGAGTGGACATGTGGAGCAAAAGTTAGCTATGAACCCAATTTTACCTATTCCAAAACCTGTGCTTCAAAGAGAACACTCTGCTTTTATATGCTTTATAAATTTAGGTTCTACATAACATTGTTTTTTTAAAGCTTCAAAGCAAAAACTGTAATAATTGTTGTATTAAGCTGCTCTCGCATTGCTGTAAAGAAGTACCCAAGGCTGGGTAATTTATAAGGAAAAGAGGTATAATTGGCTTGTGGCTCTCATGCTCTACAGGATCTGCTTCTGGTGGGGCCCTCAGAAGCTTACAATCATGGCAGAAGGCAAAGCCAGTACAGACGTGTCACATGGAGAGAGTGGGAGTGAGAGAGAAGGGGAGGTGCCATACACTTTTAAACAACCAGAGCTCAGGTGAACTCAGAGTGAGAACTCATTCATCACCCAGGGATGGCACAAAGTCATTCATGAGGAATCTGCCCCCATAATCTGAACACTTCCCACCAGACCCCACCTCCAACACTGGGGATTACAATTCAACATGAGATTTGGAGGGGACAAATATCCAAACCATATCGATTGTGATAATGACTTTGAAATGTACTCCACTCCATTGTCATTCAGAATTCCTCCCAGTTGTTTCTCACCACCACATCCACCTATTTCCCTTCTTCCCAGGCATCCGGCTAGACCACCTGTCCCCACCTTCCATGTGCTTGAGTGGCCATGTGACTGAGTGCTGGCAGGTGGCCTCTCCAAATTGTTCTCTCTGAGGCAGAGAGAATGCTGTGTGCCACATCGGGCCCAGTGCTTCGCTTTCTCTCTTCCCTGTCTGCTGGCTGGATATCTGCCCCCAGGAGGACCTCAGAAGCCACATGTTGACAATGGCAGAGCCTCCATCAGTCTGGGTCCCTGAAAGATTCCATGAGGCAGAACACCCATCGTCATGCCCTCTACCAATTCAACTTTGCTAGAGTCAATGAAATTTCCTAGTTAATCCACAGCATACTCTCCCCCTCCTGCTGGAACTTGTTTATAAATAAAAGGCTCGTGTTTGAACCAGGCCTTGCTTCACAACGAGGCTCACACCATAATATTCTGAAACCTGGTCCAAGACCTCATTTACCTGTATGTAGTGATTAGCAACCTTTGGCTGCCACCATCCCAACTCTGTTATCACCCTAATTATTTGTTTTCTACTTATAGCCAAATTGATAACTGTGAAGCATTCTCTCCACTCTTGCTTAGAAGACAGCTTAAATTGATTTAGCCATTTTCTTCCTGCCTTTTGGCCACATGGTTCTCCCTCTTTTGTTTATGTCTAATTTTTCCATCCTCAGAGCTCTAGAGTAAGACTGTGCCAGAGAGGATCCCATTATTTTAAAGATTTCGCAGAGAAGTTTAAGATTCAATAGTCCACGTCTCTCATTTTACTGATGACAAAAGAGAGGCCCAGGAAGATAGTCACTTGCTATGGACATACAATAGTTAGTGACAGAAGTGGTGCTAGAACCCAGGGCCAGGGCTAGGGTAGGGTGAGCAAGGCACCCAGGATGTACAGTTCAGGGAGGCACTCACTCTCAGCTGCTAACCCTGGGTTCATGACCGAGAGCCCTCTGTGACGTTCTTTTCTGTAAGGAATAGCCATGTCTACAGCTGAGTAGTGTCCTCAGACTGCTTCTCACTCCTAAAAACTCAGGAGCAAAGAAACTTCTCTTTATTTTGAATTGTCACTGTCTGTTTTAGTTCATGCTAATGTAACTCCCTTGGAAACTTTGTACAAGAGTATAGCACACTCCATTAGACAAAAACTACACTCAACATTCTTTGCAAGGCAGACCTTTCTTTCTTGGCTTACTCATAGATATTTTGAGATTAGGCTTCTGTGACACTGTATCCTGAAGACCTGAATAGAACAAACCCTGGTGTGCCTGAATAAGAGAGAACTTCTGCCTGTCTTTAAGGTGGAACATCCATCTTTTCCTGCCCTTGGAACTTATGCTACCAGGAACTTATGGAACTTATGCTACCAGCTCTCCTTGTTCTCAGGCCTTCAGATTTGGAGTGGAACTTACAACATTGGCTCTCTTGGTTCTCAGGTTTTGGGACTCAGATTGTAACTACACCATTAGCTCTCCTGGGTCTCCAGCTTGCCGACTGAAGCTCTTGGGACTTCTCAACCTCCATATTTATGTGAGCCAATTCCTTATAATAAAGTTCTTTCCATATATACATATGCATTTTCATGTTATATGTTTTATAGCATATAAAACATATGGACTTGGTTGGTGCATGCACATTTATACATGTTTGGGTGTGCATATGCATATTCCTGTATATTCTTTTGGTTCTGTTCCCTGGAGAATACTGACTAATACTTCCAGTATTCCTGGAGCTGTGGGATGGGTACAGGGAATCATCATAATGCTTAACATTGATCAAGTGATTACACCCCAGGCAATGTTCTAAGTGGCTTACTTCTATTAACTTATTTAATTACCATAACAGTTCTACGATGTAGGCATTTTTATTGTAGCCAGTTAAAAAAGATGAATTGGAGATACAGAGTGGGTAAGTAACTTGCCCAAGGACACACAGCCACCAATGAAAGGTCTGAGTTTGCACCCAGGTGATCTGACTGTAGAATTTGAGATGTAACCACTATGCTTTACTGACTTTCTAAAAAGGAAAAGAAGTGGTGGGGAAATGAGCAAGACAGGGAGGAGCTAACGGATGGATACAAGAGAGGTCTTCAACGCCCAGATCATAACGAATTTTATGAGTGTCTGCAAAGTTCACATAACCCGTTTAAGTGTTTCTTTCAAACAGAGACTCTCAGGATCTATGTATGTGCACATTTTACCCCTCTCCCCTGGACCAGTTGGTTGAACTGGATCCAACTTGGGCCAATAGTAATCTTTTAGGAATTTGGAATTAGGACTGAGAAGTTCTGGATTGGTCTGGACAGGACTGTTAGAACTAAAGGGAGTATATTCAGGAATGGTGGGAGCCACGTTCTGCCCACCTGTGGCCTTGAGACACCTGGCCTTGACAGAAAAAGAACTATAAGTGCAGGGGAGAGCAGGGAAGATTGACGATGAGTCTCCTTCTGTTCTAGGTCCCAGCAGATCCCTGCATTCCAGCCTTCAGCTCTGTGAGGGCCTTCCAATTCCCCCTTTTCCTTCTTATATTAGGGCGCATTGATACGTGGCACTTGCTCCAAACTCCTAGGGATTTTGTACACCCAGAGCATGAGCTTAAACTGTATTTGAAGGTGACAGGGGCCCTCAGAACGATTTAAAAACAGGTAAGAGAAAGAGGGGACAAAACTGTCTTGTCTGTACCAAAGGGTGGAGATTACAGGGAGGCCAATCTGGACTCATAAAAAAGAAGAACTCCCTAAATTAATGCTGTCCAAAAACAGAATAACTTGATTCCTGAATTGTAAGATTCCCTGGCACTTTCTTGGTGCAAGCCCAGAATAATCAACCATGTGACAGAGGAAATTCAAGCTTCAGGAGGAGCAGGAGTGACCAGGGATGACGTCTGGTGTGGCTTCCACACTGAGGTTTTGTGATCCTGTGACTCTGGACTGAGGCCTGGACAGTTTTCAGCCGGCTCTTTGTTTCTGGTGAGGAAGGCATGCCTGGTGTAGAACACACAGTTGTACCAGCTGCCTATGCATGAGAGGGGCTGTGAGAAGATGCTGGCTGCATGGGCCCTGCACTGTCAGTGTGGAGGCAGGAGCCAGGGCCTTTCTTGTTTCAATAAACAGTGTTTCTTCCTCCCACCTGCCATGATGAGCTGGCCAGTTCCGTGGGCATGTTAATGAGCTTCTCTCTGGTGACCGAGACACAGCATACGACACAGCTCCTCTGGCCCCTGAAGGACAATTAAGTCCCAGTAGTGTCTGAGAGCCTGATGGCTGGCTTCTGGGACTCCACACACTCTTGCATACATATTCTCCTTCTCTCCATCCCCACAAATATTGTAGCTGTCTCAGGTTCTAAAAGCAATAATGACTTCTTAGTAAAGACATTCTGAAAAACCTAAAGAAAATAGAAATGATTCAAAATCCTACCGCTCAGAAATAGCTAGTACTCACTTTTTGGTGAACCCAAGGCCCCTCTCTCACACACATCTCTCATTTAATGATCTCATCCTTGGAGCTGTTGTGTAACCTGCTTTTTCACTTAATCACCTCTCCCAGACATGTTGTTATATGTCGATAAACACAGACAGCCCTGATGCTCCTCACTTCCCCCTCTTCTCGCTTCCTGATGGTTTTCCTGCTTCATGTGGATTGCCTGTCTAGCCCAGCCAGCCAAACAGGCTTCCTTCCCTGAGACATCAATAATTGAACAAAAGCCTCCACAGACTCGGGGCTGGGCACCAAGGCACCCGCCCACTGCCCAGAGGCTGCTCAACCCTTCTCTGCCACAACCTTCCTGCTGAGGCTTTGCAGAGACCGGCTGCCAGAAAATCACAGTGAAAGAAAGTGACAACAGAAATTTCTTTTGGCTCCTTGGCTGCCTTGTCTTGCTCCTTCTTTATGGAATTCCTGGTTTGTCTCTAATTATCTAGCACCCAGAGCTTCAGAGCAAAGCCATGCTTCCAACCACTTGTCAAGGGAATGTAGACACTATAGAAAATGGATGAACGTGGCTTTGGACCCATAGACGCTTGGCAGATGAGAGCTGTGGCTCCTCAGCAGGAGGAAGGGTGCCTGATTCACAGGGGAGATGCCTGATGGCGGGTGGGGGGCTGCTGTTGGCATCCCCACTGGAACGTTTGTCCTAATGGGGGCCTGGCTCCCTCATCAGTGGCTTGTCCCAAAACAACAACCAGTGTTCCCAAACCTATACTTCCTCTTTGGATTTTTGTTTTTCATCTAGTTGGAGGGAATAAAAATAGCCCATGATTTCTCAAGCTTGACACTATTGATATTTGGACTGCATAATTCTTTGTTGTGAGGGGCTATTGTATGCATTACATGACACTTAGAAGCATCCTGGTGTCTATCCACTAGATGCCAATAGTATGTCCCTCGGTGTAACAATCAAAAATATCTCCAGACATTTGCCAAATGTCCCTGGCAAGCAATGTCACCCCCGATTGAGAACCACTGGGATAGAGGTTAACAGGGTGAGCATTGCAGCCAGACCAGTCTGAGTCCAGGTACTGGCACTGACCCTTGCTTAACTGTGTGACCTTAGCAAGGTTATGTGAACAGTTTTGGTCCTCAATTTCCTCATCTTTACAATGGGGGAAGCAACTATATCTACCACAAGGGGTTGATGAGAGGATTAAATATTATGAGGGAAGTTCATTGCTTAACAAGAGACTCAGGCCAGGTGCAGTGGCTCACGCCTGTAATCCCAGCACTTTGGGAGGCTGAGGTGGGTGGATTACGAGGTCAGGAGTTCAAGACCAGCCTGGCCAAGATGGTGAAACCCCATCTGTACTGAAAATACAAAAAAATTAGCTGGGCATGGTGGCAGGTGCCTGTAGTCCCAGCTACTCTGGAAGCTGAGGCAGAGAATTGCTTGAACCCAGCAGGCAGAGGTTGCCGTGAGCTGAGATTGCGCCACTGCACTCCAGCCTGGGCGACAGAGCGAGACTCTGTCTCAAAAAAAAAAAAAAACCAACAACAACAAACAACGACAAGAGTCTTAAGGAATTATCCTATTTTGTTTTCAAAGTAATTGTTTGAGGTGGTTAATAACAATATCCCCATTTTTCAGAAGAGAAAATTGAAACTTAGGGACATTGGATGACTTCCATAATTAGTAAGTGGCCTATGATGTTAATTCCTAGAGAAAAGGAACTTCCCGACCACGCCTGGAATAGGTTACTGATATGCTGAGATACCAATTTTCTAAACTTAGGGGTGGCTGGCAGAGGCTGGTGTGCCAGACCCATGAACTAGTTATCTCAGTTTACCCAGCGTACTTCATAGATGTCATCATTTTCTCTGTATGCCAGATTGTACATGAAAGCCTTTTGTACTCCAAGGCATTGTGCAAATGCAAGCTGTTATTATGGTACAGACCTGTCCCTCTGAGAATGTAAATACACCAGGACAGGTGTCTTTACTCTGTAGAAATTGGACCTTATTGACCTTGAAAATCCTTTTTACTGCTTAGGATTTTATGGATCCAACATCTTACAAGTGAGGATGCTGAGAACCAGTGTTGATGATGGGGAAAAGGAAAGAAAGGCTGAGAGTAGCCAGAGCTGACGAGTTGGGAAGGGGCTAAGACCCCAAGACAAACAACAGGACAGAGTGCTTCCACAGATGTTCTGATGGGAGGCTGCTTCCTTTCTGAAGATAGGTCTCTCTTCTGCTCCATCCCAAACTTCCAGAATCAAGACTCAATTTTGGCCAGGTGTGGTGGCTCATGCCTGTTATCTCAGCACTTTGGGAGGCTGAGGCGGGCGGATCACCCGAGTTCAGGAGTTCAAGACCAGCCTGACCAACATGGTGAAACCCCATCTCTACAAAAAAATACAAAAATTAGCTGGGTATGGTGGCACATACCTGTAGTCCCAGCTACTTGGGAGGCTGAGGCAGAAGAATCGCTAGAACCTAGGAGGTGGAGGTTCCAGTGAGCCGAGATCAGGCCACTGCACTCCAGCCTGGGTGACAGAACAGGGCTCCGTTTCAAAAACACAAAAAGGATTCAATTGTGGGTGAACAGAGAAATGAATAGATAAGTGGTAAACACAGCAAAATGTTAATAATAGCATCTAAGTGGTGGGTGTATGGGTGTTCATTGTAATGTTATTTCACTTTACTGTATGTTTGAATTTTTTATATTAATAATAAAAAGGATTTCATCTCTGGTAGAATCAAATATAAAGTAAACAAGAGAAAGTATCCAGAGGCCAGAGACCCTGTCTGAGGGTATGTACAGGCATCAAGACCTCCTCTTCTTACTCTGAACCAATGAACTCCTGGGCAAGTGCTGCTGGGCTGTGGCTCCCCCCACTTCATTGCCATGTCTGTGGTCATGGAGTATAGGGGTGGCGTGGCAAGGGGCAGAGGAGAGGACAAAGCAAAAACTCATTGGGTCATGCTCCCAAATGCTACAATTTTTTATTTTTATTTTTTTGAGATGGAGTCTTGCTCTGTCATCCAGGCTGGAGTGCAGCGGCGTGATCTCGGCTCACTGCAACCTCCGCCTCCCAGGTTCAAGGAATTCTCCTGCCTCAGCCTCCTGAGTAGCTGGGATTAGGTGCCCACCACCATGTCCAGCTAATTTTATTTTTGTATTTTTAGTAGAGACGGGGTTTCACCCTGTTGGCCAGGCTGGTCTCCAACTCCTGACCTCAGGTGATTTGCCTGCTTTAGCCTCCCAAAGTGCTAGGATTACAGGCATGAGCCACCGCACCCGGCCAACTATGATTTGATTACTATGCTGTCTCATTTCTCCTTGCCCCTGTCTGCCTTCCCTCCCCCTGGAAGACACTTGCTCACTATGTGAGTGTGGAAAATCACAATCTCTCTGTGCCTCATTTTCCTTATCTATAAGATGACAATTCCTGCTTAATGTTGTTTTGAAAATGAGAAAATAATGTAGCTCTTCGTGATGTCTAGCACCAAGTACATTCTCAATTAATGGAAGCTATTAATATTATCATCACTATTATATTTCCCTATTATCCTTCAGCCCTTGTTTATAGACACCCAAATTTCCATATAATTGAAAGAATGGTTTACTTACATATAGAATTCTTTTTTTTTTTTTTTTATGCGGAGTCTCACTCTGTCACCCAGGCTGGAGTGCAGTGGCATGATCTTGGCTCACTGAAGCTTCCACCTCCCAGGCTCAAGCAATTCTCCTGCCTCAGCCTCCTGAGTAGCTGGAATTACAGGCGCGTACTACCACATTGGCTAATTTTTGTATTTTTAGTAGAGACGAGGTTTTGCCTTGTTGGCCAGGCTGGTCTCAAACTCCTGACCTCAAGTGATCCATCCACCTCAGCCTCCCAAAGTGCTGGGATTACAAGCGTGGGCCACCGTGCCTGTCCCATGTAGAATTTTTGACACTGGGAGGCACTGGCTGGCTGGCTGCTAAGTGCTATGGTAGCATTATCAGTCTCTCAGAAATTTATTTATATTAGTCAAGCTCAAAGAAGGCTGAAATATAAACCCAAATGTCAATTTGTTGATTTACTGAGAGAAATATAGCTGTCTCCCTTGTACAATAAAAAGAGAGAGAGAAAGAAATATAGATCAAAGGGTCTAAGGTCTAAGGTCTCTTAGCCATTTTCTAACTAAGAGAAGGGCTTTCCTGATTTATATAGTGATGAGTTGGTTTAACATAAGAATGGATGGTTGATTTGCAGTTTAAGAGAACAAATTTTTTTCCTACAACAATCATGCTAGGAGATTAATGAACAATAAGATGCTTATCAGCTTTCCAGCTTTTGTGGTCATTCCATGTTTTATAGTTGGAAGTTACTTTCCTGTTAGGTTAAACAGGAAGTCTGAAATGAAGAGTCTTAGAAGAATTTTTTGAAATCTTGAATATCTTTAGAATCTTCTTTTTTTTTTTTTTTTTTTTTTTTTAAAACATGGTCTCACCCTGTTGCCCAGGCTGGAGTGCAGTGGTGTGATCATGGCTCACTGCAGCCTCAACCTCCTGAGCTCAGGGAATCCTCTTGCCTCGGCCTCCAGAGTAGCAGGGCCACAGTTGTGTACTACCACACTCAGCTCATTTTTAAAATTTTTGTAGAGATTGGGTCTCTCCACGTTGCCTAGCCTGGTCTCCAACTACTGGGCTCAAGCAATCTTCCCACCTTGGCCTCCCAAAGTGCTTAGATTACAGGCATGAGCCACTGCAACCAGCCCTAGAAGCTTCTTGATACTTCTTGATAATGTAATATTTTTAAAAGTCATATTTATTTAAATGTATCATTCTAAATCTATCATTTACTATGTGGGTAGTATAGGCACATGATTAAAAAATCGAAAGTATAAATGGCATAGCAATCATGGGTCTCCTTTCTACCTGTGTAGAAGTCACCCACTCTCCCTTCTTCCGGGAAATCACTTCTGTTAGTTTTTTTTACCCATTCTTTCAGAGATATTTCATGCACACACAAGTAAACAGGCTATATTACAGTTAAATACATCCTCTTGCCCACCTGTCTAGACTCTGGGTCCTTGTGCTTCTGAGGACTCTGAAATGTAAATGTCTTCCAGCTGCCTTTCCTTATCTCACCGAGGAGGGAACTGACTAGCCCATTACTGTGAATGGTCATGGTACCTGTGTCAACAAGATGATTTCCTCTCAAGCCTTCCGATTAAATGCAATTGTGCCTTATGGCCTATATTTTCATTTAATTTTAGTGAAGGCTGAAAGAAAGATTTTAAGTTTATAATTTATGTTTCCACATACTGATATCAGACACAACAACATGCGACTTTGATTTTGAAGTGAGCAAAGAAAGAAATCAGCTTTCATTTTATTGGTGCTAAGTCAAGTTCCTCACACAGAAGGTGTATTGATTAAAGTATGCCGATTTTGCCAGGCACAGTGGCTCACGCCTGTAACCCTAGCACTTTGGGAGGCTGAGGCGGGTAGATCACCTGAGGTCAGGAGTTCGAGACCAGCCTGGCCAACATGGTGAAACCCCACTAAAAATACAAAAAAATTAGCCGGGTGTGGTGGCGGATGCCTGTAATCCCAGCCGCTCGGGAGGCTGAGGCAGGAGAATTGCTTGAACCCTGGGGGCAGAGGTTGCAGTGAGCCAAGATCACACCACTGCACCCCAGCCTGGGTGACAGAGTAAGACTCTGTCTCAAAAAAAAAAAAATTGCTGATTTTATAGTCTGTTTCTTAGAGAAAAATCTGATCTACTTTTTTTAAGGGTACAACCTAGTTAATTCCAAGTACTTTTTACACTATTATTTTTTATTTTGAACATATTATGAATATTTGTTTAAATATATTTTTAATGATGCAATGTCATAAACTCTGGTCTATTGTAGGGGAGACCATCTGAGACAAGATAGAAGTGGTAGGCTGTGTTTTCCACAGACGGTCAGCACAGTGTCTCCCATCCCACATGCTGCTTTACGACATGACCTTGCTATGCCCCCCATCAAGAGGTAGAGCCTCTCACTTAGAATCTGAGCTGGTCTATGAGTCAGTTACTAGTAACTAGTAGAATGCAGCAGAAGTGGTACTGTGTAATTTCCAAGGCTAAGTCAAAACACATCCTGTATCTTCCCCCTGGCTTTCTTAGGCTTCTCCTTGAGTAAGCCTTAACAAGAGCCTTGAGACCTCTGTGCTGGAGAGGCCACATGTAGACACTTCAGCTGACAATCACAGATGTGTCTAGTCTTCTAGCCATCCCCACTATGGCACCAAGCATGTTAATGAAACAGTCTCACACTCTTCAGACTAGCCCATCTGCCAGCTGAGTACTGCAGCCAGGGAGCAGAGGAGTGACCCAGCCATGCCCCACTGAAATACTTTGCCCACAGAATCCATAAGGTGTAATAAAGTGGATAATGTTTTAATCCTCTAAACTTTGAGTTTGTCCCACAGCACCAGTAACTGGAACGAGGAGCTTGGGGAACATTACAATTTTAAGAAACATTCAACTAATATAGTGTCATCTATATGTTGGGCACTATAAAAATTCTGGGGATTACAGCAAACAGTCAGATGAGACCCCTATTTGCAAGGAGCTTCTAGATCACTTAATGTAAGTCGACTTGCAGATAAGATAAATACAACCAAATAATTTTATAGGTGCTGTGGTAGAAATATATATGAAATAATATTGGGGGGCATAAAGTAGGAATGGGAAACAAGTCACTCATTCTAGAAGTTTTGCTACCTTTTCTTTCTTCTTTCTTTCTTCTTTCTCTTTCTTTCTTTCTTTTCTTTCTTTCTTTTTCTTCCTTTCTTTCTTTTTTTCTTTCTTTCCCTCCCTCCCTCCCTTCTTCTCTTCTCTTCTCTTCTTTCTCTTTTTCTTTTTCCTTTTCTTGACAAAATCTCACTTTTTACTCAGGCCTGAGTTCAGTGGCGTGATCTCAGCTCACTGCAACTTCCACCTCCCAGGTTCAAGTGAGTCTCCTGCCTCAGCCTCCCGAGTAGCTGGCATTACAGGTGCCCACCACGATGTCCAGCTAATTTTTGTATTTTTAGTAGAGATGGAGTTTCACCATGTTGGCCAGACTGATCTCGAACTCCTGACCTCAAGTGTGATCCACCAGCCTCGGCCTCCCAAGGTGCTGGGATTGCAGGCGTGAGCCACTGCACCCAGCTGCTACCTACTATTTCTTCTAGTCCTCAGCTTCTGACAAGAAAATGTTGACTAGAGGTAGGAATAGAAAACATCCTTGTCTCATTTCTAATCTCAGAGGAAAAGTTTTAAATACTGTAGAGGATGAGGTTTTTGTTTTCATTTTTGTTTTATGAATACCATATCAAACTAAGGAAATCCCCTCTATTTCTTAATATATTTAATCTTGAATGAGTATTGAATTTTGCCAAATGCTTTTTCTGTATTTATATGTATGATATGATTTTTTTCCTTTATTCTGTTAATGTAATGAATTACATTGATTTTCAATATTAAACCACCTTCACAATCCTGGAATAAATCTGATTTGATAATGACATACTTTTAATATGTTGCTGGATTTGATCTGCTAACATTTTAAGATTTTTTATATTTATGTTCAGGAGAGAGATTGGCCTGAATTTTCCTATCTTATAAGTAATGTTCTTGTAGTTGTTTATCTCAAGGCTATGTTGGCATCATAAGATGAGTTGGAAAGTATTCCCCTTTATTATTGTTATATAGGAAACTTGGTGCAAAATGGGATAATTTCTTCCTTTAATAATTGAAGAATTTACCAGTGAAGCCAGCTGGGCCTGTATATTTAATTGTGAGAATGTTTCTAAGTAAAAAATTAATTTCTTTATTAGGAATAGAACTATTCAGATTTTTTATTTCCTCTTGTGCCAGTTTGCTAGGCTGTGTTTTTCAAAGATGTCGGCCATTTTATTTAAAATGTCTACTTTGTTGGCATCAAGTACTTATCATATTATCTTTTTAATGTCTACTGAATTTGTAATGATCCCCTTTTCATTTCAGATTTTGTAATTTGTCTTTTTCTTTTCTTGATCACATTGCTAAAGGTTTTCAAAGAATATTTGGTTTTCTTGATTTTCTCTATTTTGCATTTGTTTTCTATTTAATCCATTCTCTGATTATTATTATTGTCTTCTATTTTCTTTAGGTTTACTTTGTTGTGTTTTTATATTCTTTTTTATTATTATTATACTTTAAGTTCTAGTGTACATGTGCACAACATGCAGGTTTGTTACATAGGTATACATGTGCCATGTTGGTTTGCTGCACCCATCACCTCGTCATTTACATTAGGTATTTCTCCTAATGCTATCCCTCTCCCAGCCCCTTTATATTCTTAAAGTTAAAAATTAGATTATTGATTGTTTTCACCCTTTATTTCTAATATATGCATTTCAGGCTCTAATAATATCTCAGCAATAGCTGCAAACTGGGTACAGAAATTATCTCAACCTGGCTACAGAAATTAGCCAGGCATGGTGGCGCACTCCTGTAATCCCAGCTACTCAGGAGGCTGAGGTGGGAGGGTCGCTTGAGCCCAGGAGGCAGAGGTTGCAGTGAGCTAAGATTGCACCACTGCACCCCAGCCTGGGCGACAGAGTGAGACACTGTCTCAGAAAAAAACTTCAATTCAATTTCTTCCTGCTTCAATCTTGGGAGTTTGTGTGTTTCCAGAAACCTATCCATGTCCTAGTTTGTGCACATAGAGATGTTCATAGTAGTCTCTGAGGATCATTTGTATATCTGTAGTATCAGTTGTAATGTCACCTTTGTCATTTCTGATCGTGCTTATTTGGATCTTCCCTGTTTTTTTCTTGATTAATTTAGCTACCAGTTTTTCAATCTTGTTTGTGCTTTCAAATAACCGACTTTCTTTTTCAAAGATTCTATGTTTTTTTGTTTGTTTGTTTTTGTTTTTGTTTTTTTGGTCTCAATTTCATTTCATATTGCTCTGGTCTTAGTTCTTTTCTTCTGCTAGGTTTGCATTTAGTTTGTTCTTGTTTTTCTAGCTCCTTTAGGTGCAACATTAGGTTGTTAATTTTTTCTTTCTTTTTTATGTAGGCATCTAGCACCATAAACTTTCCTCTTAACCCTGCTGTTGTTATATCCCAAAGGTTTTGGTATGTTGTGTCTCTACTTTCATTTGTTTCAAGGAATTGTTTGATTTCTGCCTTAATTTCATTGTTTCCCCAAAAATCATTCAAGAGCAAGTTGTTTAGTTTCCATGTATTTGTGTGGTTTTGAGAGTTCCTCTTGGCATTAATTTCTAATTTTATTTCACTGCAGTCGAGAGAAGATGTTTGAGATGATTTCAATCTTATTGAATTTATTGGGATTTGCTTTATGACCAAACGTGGTCAATCTTAGAGAATGTTCTATGTGCAGATGAGAAGAATTTATCTTCTTTGATTGTTGGGTGGATAATTCTATAGATGTCTGTTTATTAGGTCTATTTGGTAAAGTGCTGAATTCAAGTCCAGAGTTTGTTAGTTTTCTGCCTTGATGATCTGTCTAATGGTGTTGGTGGAATGTTAAAGTCCTCCACTATTATATGGCTATCTCTTTTCTTAGGTCTAGTCTTATTTGTTTTATAAATCTTGGTGCTCTGATGTTGGGTGCACACATATTTAGAATAGTTAAATCTCCTTGGACCAGGCACAGTGACTCACGTCTGTAATCCCAGCACTTTGCGGGGCTAATGCTGGAGGGTAGCTTAAGCCCAGGAGCTTGAGACCAGCCTAGACAACATAGTGAGATCTCATCTCTACAAATAATTTAAAAAAATTTTCTGGGCATGCTGTCCTGTGCCTGTGGTCTCAGCTACTAGGAGGCTTAGGTTGGAAGATCACTTGAGCCTGGGTAGTTAAGGCTGCAGTGAACTGTGATTCTGCCACTGCACTCCAGCCTGGGCAACAGAGACTCCATTTCAAATAAAAAATCTTTTTGTTGCATTGAACTCTTTATTATTACATAATGCCCTTCTTTGTCTTTTTTTTTTTTTTAAACTGTTGTTGGTTTACATCATTCTCAGCAAACTATCACAAGGACAGAAAACCAAACACTGCATGTTCTCACTCATAGGTGGGAATTGAACAATGAGAACACTTGGACACAGGAAGGGGAACATCACACACCAGGGCCTGTTGTGGGGTGGGGGAAGCGGGGAGGGATAGCATTAGGAGATATACCTAATGCAAATGACGAGTTAATGGGTGCAGCACACCAACATGGCACATGTATACATACGTAACAAACCTGCACGTTGTGCATATGTACCCTAGAACTTAAAGTATAATAAAAAATATATATATAAATAAAATAAACTATTGTTTGTTTAAAATCTGTTTTATCTGACACAGGAATAGAAACCTTTGTTCTCTTTTGTTTTCTATTTGCATGATAAAACTTTCTCCATCTCTTTACTTTGAGCCTATGGATGTAATTACATGTGAGATGAGTCTCTTAAAGGCAGCAGAAGATTCCACCTTGTTTTTTTCTAATTGGGTTTGTCACTCTATGTCTTTTAAGTGGAGCATTTTGGCCATTTATGTTCTAGGTTAATATTTATATGTGAGGTTTTGTTCCTGTCATAGTGTTGATAGCTAGTTGCTTTGTAGTCTTAATTGTGTAATTGCTTTATAGGGTCTGTGGGCTTTGTATTTATGTGTGCTTTTATGGCAGCAAGTATTATTTATTTGTTTCCATGTTTAGAACTTCTTTGAGCATTTCATATAGGACTGGTCTGGTAGTGACAAATTTTCTTAGTGTTTGCTTGCCTGGAAAAGACTTTATTTCTTCTTCATTTATGAAGCTCAGTTTATGAAGCTTCATTTATGAAGCTTAGGGATATGAAATTCTTGGCTGGCATTTTTTTTTTAAAGAAAGCTAAAAATATGCCCCCAATCTCCTCTGGCTTGTAAGGTTTCTGCTGAGAAGTCTGCTGTTAGTCTGATGGGATTTCCTTTTCATGTCATTTGGCCCTTTTCTCTAGCTGCCTTTAAGAGTTTTTCTTTTGCATTGACTTTGGATAGTCTGATGACTATATGTCTTGGGGATGGTCATCTTGAATAGTATCTCACAGAAGCTCTCTGAATTTCTCATATCCAGATGTTGATCTCTCTAGCAAGATTAGGGAAATTTTCCTGAATTATTCCCTCAAATATGTTCTCCAAGTTGCTTTTTCTTCTCTCTCAGGAATACCATTAAGTTATAGGTTCAGTCACTTTATATAATCCCATATTTCTCAAAGGCTTTGTCCTTTTAAAAATTATTTTTGTCTTACTGGGTTAATTTGAAAGACTGATCTTCAAGTTCTGAAATTCTTTCTTCTGCTTGGTCTAGTCTATTGCTCTAGCTTCAAACTGTACTTTGAAATTCCTATAGTAAGCTTTTCAATTACAGACACTTTATTTGTTTTTTCTTAATATAGCTATCTCGTCTTTCATAATCTGAATAATTTTTCTGATTTCTTTGTATTGGGCTTCAATTTTGTGTTGGATCTTGTTGACTTTCCTTGTAATCCATATTTTGAATTCTTTTTCTGTCATCTCAGACATTTCAGTCTGGTGAGGATTCATTGCTAGAGAGGTAGTGTGATCCTTTGGAGGTATTGAATCACTCTGGCTTTTTATACAGTTTGAGTTCTTGCATAGATTCCTTTTCACCTGAGGAAGCTGCCACTTCTTATCTCTGAATTTGCTATCATTTGATTGGGCTTTTAAAATTTTTAAATTATTTCTTCCCTTCAGGGTATGACTAAGGTGTATATTGTATATGGTGTATGTTGTATGGTGTGTGCTTGTTTGGCTTTGCTTCTGGTTGTTTTCAGAGAGCCAAGGCTCTGTATGTGTTCCTTTCTCAGATGCTGCTTGTAGCAATGTATTTGATGTAAGGGCTGACACACTATCTCCTGCAGGGTTGAGGGTGTAGAGGTCTCAGGAGGCTTATCTCATGGATTAGCACAAAGCCCTTGTGATAGCAGGCTTTTTTGTTTGGTGGTGCAGTTCAGGCTGCAGTCCAGACACTTAACAGTAAGAGCTAGCATGAAGGCCAGTGCTGAGTGGAAGCACCTGTTCTGACTAGGGTGGTAGGAAGGGATGATGATGGGGTGCACTAAGGTCTCAGGGTAAGGATGAGGGATGCACCAGCTCTTTGTCCTGAGCTGGTAGGAACACGATCTGCTTTCCTATTATGACACTGTCACAGGGCTCATGACCTGTTTATAAAGGCTTTGTCTTTTGATTCCCAGCTGCAATGTGGCCAGGAGCCATGGGTACACGACTCTGAGGGCTACTACTAATATGGGGCTTGGGGCAGAGCCTCTTCCTCCAGGGCTCACAACTCTGTAGTCTGTCCTCTGTTGTTGGGGTACTGCTGCTTTATGTACGGAGTGGGAGTTGGGCTTCATTCTTCATGGAAGTCCAGGCAGACATTTCAGCAGGGGTGGAGCCACGCAAAAAGTGTGGAAAGTGCTTTCTTTGAGTGCATGTTCACTGTCCCCAGCAGGAAGAACCACTGCTGCACCCACAATAGCGTATGGGGGTGGAGGCAGGAGATGACCCCGCCCTGCATCTGTTCCTGGACTTTGGTATTGCCACCTTCAGTGGTTGGTGTTGCGTTCACATTTCCTTTGTTTCAAGGGGGCTTTGGTGAGCTGCACTCCTTCCTCCCTTAGGGACAGCGCACACCAAAGGTTAGATCTCCACGGGTCCCACAACTCCCCAGGGCCCTGCCATGCTTGCCAAAGTCAGAGCAGGTTGCGGGGTATGTTTGTGGGGAATCTGGTGGTGTGGTGGCTTAAGGGTTTAAAATCCCCAGGTGGGGCAGTGGCACCACCACTATAGCACCTACCATCTCAGTTTGGGTCTGAGGGGTGTGTGAACCCACCAGAGTGGGCTGGACACCTGGTTCTGCCCTTGGGAAATCCTCAAATTGCCACTGACAGTATTGCCCTGGGTCATGAGGGCACAGGGGCTCCCCAACAGTTTAGCAGTCAGCAGAATGTCAGAGGAGTGAGGGGAACAGAGAAGAGAAGCACTCCCATCTACCCTTTCCATGTGGCTTTGAGCTCCTCAGGTGTTAATTCCCATAGACACGTGAACCCAACTTTTACTTCTTCAGTCTCATGACATTGTTGGAAGCTCTGTTGTATTCTCTTTCTATGTTTAGCTGTCTTCCACCCATCTTCTTAGCCTCTCAACTCACTCTTCAATATTTAGCAAATAGGAAAAAGTCCTGATCAATTGTCAGGTTCAAGTCAGTAATATTTCCTTCTTTCTAGGATCTTGATCCTTCATATCCTGGATGCCTCTTCAACTCTTATGGCTTCATGAATATTTTTTAATATAGCTTTTTTTTCCTTATCTTGATTGTGTTGCTGCAAGTTACTCCATTATAACCACAGTTAATTTAATTTTAATTGTAGAAAGATTCCACATACATGACTCATGTATTCCCTCATAAAGCCATCTATTAGTTCTGTCTTACAATAAAACCTCAAATATATACACAGAAATCTTAGATTCTCAGATTACCAGAATGAACTTGGATATAACCAAAGAGGTTCAAATAACTAGACACTATAAATGTTACCTAAGATGGGAAGTCTTAATAATACAGTTCCAAAAATGGCTCTGATGGTTTTAGGGCAAATTCTTTAAAAAAATCCATAAGGGGTAAAATTTTACCCATGAAAATTAATCTCACTTTACAGAGCAGTAAGTGAAAGAAAGAGGATTAGCCCAGTGCCTGATGTATGTGTGCCTAAAAATGTTTATAAAATAAATAAAAGAAAACGGGTTGGAGCTGACAAGCTTGTAAAGGGGATTCTGATACTGAAAAACCACAATGCTTGAGTTCTGCCAAAATTAAAAAAGAAACTGATAAGGACTGTGAAGATGATGATTCCTTTGAGTGAAAGAACAAGCTACTTTGATCTTTCATTCAGTGAATAATTTTACGGAAGGATGGTCATATTACTCTACACAAAAGTCATGCAACTGAAATTTCTCTCTACTTTTATGAGGAAAAAAATGGCAAGATAGCAACCAGATGGTAAGAAAAACAGGTTTAACAAACCTCAGATTAGCACTTAAATAACTCAGAATATAGATTCAACTGCTTTGACAGACCTAAAATAACATGCTTTCGATTACATAGATCAGGAGTCAGCAAACCATGGTTTTGGGAACAAATCTGGCCCACCACCTGTTTTTGTAAATAAATTTTTATTGGAATATAGCCACACCCGTTCTTTTATGAATCGTCTGTAGCTGTTGTAGAGGTGGTAGCTGTGATAGAGATTGTGTGGGCTGCAAAGCCTAAAATATTTACCATCTGATCTTTTACAGAAAATAGTTGCCAACCCCTGGTATAGCCATTTCTCTTTTGTGTAAACCTAGGAGCAGTTATAGGGGCTCTTCTTTGTGAAGTCCTCAGGGCCCCAGGATCTTTCTATCTCTTAACCTTCTGTAAGATGTTGCTTTTGTCTTCATAGTCCAGGCTCACCATGAGGTCTGCATGACGTTCCAGTCAATCTACATCTACAGTGTAATAAGCAAAATGGTCTTCCAGTTAAAAAAAAAGGTTAAACTAAGTTCAATATATCCTGTTTATTAAGGTAGAAAAGCAACATATTTTAAAAATACTTCCATTTTTAATTCTCTGTGCCTAAAGGGGAAACTGATCTTATATACCTCTCCCTCCAAGCATCATGGGTAAAGGATGTGTTGCAGTATAAAAGCTGGAGAAAGGATGTTCCTTGGAATCAGACAGAGATCAAGCTGAATTTCTCAACTTTGTCCCTAAGGAAGTCAATATTTTTTTTTTTTTTTTGAGACAGAGTTTCACTCTTGTTGCCCAGGCTGGAGTGCAATGGCGTGATCTCGGCTCACTGCAACCTCTGCCAAGCGATTCTCCTGCCTCAGCCTCCTGAGTAGCTTGGATTACAGGTGTGTGCTACCATGCCCAGCTAATTTTGTACTTTTAGTAGAGATGAGGTTTCTCCATGTTGGTCAGTCTGGTCTCAAACTCCTGACCTCAGGTGATCCACCCACCTCAGCCTCCCAAAGTGCTAGGATTACAGGCGTGAGCCACCGTGCCCGGCCGAAGGCCAATTTTTTAAGCCCTCTGTGCTTCAGTTTCTTTGTCTCTAAAAATAGGTTGCTGAGTGAGATAGTTTGGATATTTGCCCCACCTACATTTCATGTTGAAATTCAATCCACAGTGTTGGAGGTGGGGCCTGCTTGGAGGTGATTTGATAATGGAGGTAGACTTCTTATGAATGGTTTAGCACCACCCACTTGGTGCTGTGACTTCTCACAAGATCTGGCTGTTTGAAAGTGCAGCACCTTGCCTTCTCTTTGTCTTGTGCCTGCTTTCACTGTGTGATGTGCCTGCTCCCCCTCTGCTTTCTGCCCCTGTCATGATTGTAAGTTTCCTGAGGCCTCCCCAGAAGCTGAGCAGATGCCAGCATCATGCTTCCTGTACAACCTGCAGAACCATAAGCCAATTAAACCTCTTTTCTTTATAGATTACCCAGTCTCAAGTATTTCTTTATAGCAATGCGAGAACAGACTAATACACTGAGTAAGTAGTTTTGAAGAGTAAATCAGATGTATATGCTGTGCTGGTGGGTTCTCTATAGCTGTTGGCTTCTTTTCTTTTCACGAGTTTTTTACTTGTGCCAATACGAAGTTGATCCTTGGAAATGTTAAGCAGACTGAAATCTCATTGGTTCCCATCCATAGAAACATACCAGGCCCTGCACATATGCATATATTTATTATAACAACTTTGTGTAAATCTCATTTATGTATAAATAATTTGTGAAGAGCCTAACTGGGAAGTACATCTTTCTGCAGACACTAACACTCAAGAAGCCTATGACCATTCTTGGGTAGTGGGGCATTTGTATTGGAGAGCATCATTGTATACTCTATTTGAAAAGCCTATAATTAATATCTTAAACTATATAATATAGTGTGACAGGCTTCTTTTGTGTTAACAAGAAGTTACTCAGTAATTCATTTCCTAGTCCTCTTACTGGAAATCATGATAAAATAATGTGGTTTTAATAAGGCTCTAATATGCTTTTCCAAGGGAATTCTGCAGTGCTTTAACAATTATCATACCATGACTTTAAGGCACTATTGCTTCAGGAATGAGTATAGCTTGTTACCAAAGGAGATGACATGTTCAGGGCCAGGAATGGGAAGTCTCAAACATGTTATACATAGTTGCTGTGGAATATAGAGATTTAATTGATGAATGCTTAGAACAAAGACAAATCTGAGATTCTAGCACGTGAGATGAAACAATGGTTCCCCCTCCCTGAAAACTACTGTTCACTAAGGAAGAAATAAAACAAAGAAAAATATTAATGCTTTCAGCACTAATTGCTTTCAATGTAGTAACTAACCTATTTCAGGTGCTTAATAATATTCCTCTGCTCTTTGGGGACCTTTGTTCATCTTAATGGGACTAATTTTGTTTTGATGTTAATTGTCCTTTAATATTTTGTTTAATTGTGCAATATGTCTCTAGGTTTTTTGAAAAAGGGAGAGAATTAATTCTAAGCAGAAAGCCAAACAAACAAATGCATATGACTCATTTTCCCTGAAAACATCTGAGTATTGTTCTGTATATGACTAACTAGACTTATCCTTCAATGAGCCAAGTATTTTTCTTATACACACATTATAAAATTTAGCAACAAGGAGGATAAGTGACCACCAACATTGATTTAATTCGATAAACATTATTTAAGCACCTATTCAGTGAAGACAGAACAAGATGCAGCACATGAGGATACAAAGGTAGATAAATGGTTCTGTAATCTCATAGTATGATAGAGACAAATGCATACAAAAATGGTATTGATATATGGGCACCTATGAAAATATAATAACTTTCATTTCAATTATGCTTTTATGGTTCATGATATGGTTTGGCTCTGTGTCCCTACCCAAATCTCATCTTGAATTGTAATCCTCATGTGTTAAGGAGAAACCTGGTGGGAAGTAATTAGATCATGTGGTGGCTTCCCCCATACTGTTGTTCTCATGAAATCTGATGCTTTAAAAGTGCTTGGCATTTCCCCTGCCCGCCCCCACCCCGTCCACCACCAACACACTGCCACCACGTAATATGTACCCTGCTTCCCCTTCCCCTTTTGCCATGATTGTAAGTTTCCTGAGGCCTCCATAGCCATGCAGAACTGTGAGTCAATTAAACCTCTTTTCTTCATAAATTCCCAAGTATCATGTAGTATCTTTACAGCAGTGTGAGAACGAACTAATACAGTTTACAAAGGACTTTTATGTTCCATTCTTATTCATTTAGATCCCACAAAAATCCATGAAGTATATGAAGATTGTTATCTCAGTTTTACAGAACATTGTGGTTCAGAGTTTTTGACTACCCTAAGATTATATAACAAATAAGAAGGAGAGTCAGGCTCCAAGTCTTTCACTCAATTCTTTGTATTATTCTGCTTTTTGTATATAACATGAAAGGACAGGGCATTAGTGAGTTCTCTTTAAGTAATGCTATGGACTGAATTTTTGTTTCTCCAAAATTCATGTGTTGAAGCCCTAATTTCCAATGTGATGGTATTTCGAAGTGGGACATTTGGGACCCACTGGGAACCTTTGGGAGATAATTAAGTTTGTCTCCATGAGGGTAAAGCCCCATGATAGGATTCATGCCCTTATAAAAGAAGAAGAGACCAGAGCCCTCTCTCTCCACCATGTGAGGATACAGCAAGAAGGTGGCCATCTATGAACTAGGAAGAGGGTCCTCAGCAGGTGCCTAATCTGTCAGCACTTTGATCTTGGATTTCCCAGCATCGAGGACTATGAGAATAAATGCCTGTTATTCAAGCCATACAGTCTATGGTATTTTGCTACAGCAGCCCAAACTCACTAAAGCAAATGTTAAGTCCAAGAACATATGCATTTGTCCTGTCAGGGAAGGCTGACCTGCTTATGTCACATCCAAATCATTTTACCGGCTTCTCAAGCCCTGGATGAAGTCCAAGTTCCTGGACCTAGTAGATGAGGTCTTCCATCTCTGGTGGTTTTTGCCAGAAACTTTGGCTTTATGTTTGCCATTCTCATCCTTGAGCTCCCACAGTACATTGGCACTTGCAGTTCCTCATGCACTTCACATAGTTTCTCACCTTTGCCTAAGTTGTCTTCTCTGCCTGAAATGTATTTTTGTCCTATTTAACCAGACAACCTCCTATCATCTTTAAGACTTGGCTATTCTACTTCCTATTGGAAGCTTTACAGACTGTACCAGAATCAATTAGGTTTTCCTCCTCTATGTTTCCATAATATGCTAATTGTATTTTCCTCATTTTAGTATACTCATGTTTATGAGCCTCTTTCCTTTCTTAAACTGTAAGTCAAATGAGGGCAGGAACTAGGTTTTATTTTTCTCTGGCACCTCTCACATAGAAAGTGCTGAGGGCTGTACAAATGACCAGGTTCATTAAAAACATAATCACCCCTGAAGTGAGGCTCAGGACAGTATATGACAGACCATTATAGGTCTTATATATTTTAAGGGTTGCAATTGGTAGATAAGAGAAGTTGCTCACTGGTTACATCAGTCTGTCTGCCATCCCCCTTAGTCTGGACTGGAAGATGTAGTAAAGACAGAATACAGTAAAATCTTCCTAGTAAAGAAGAGGCAACTAAATAGCGATAGTCTGAAATGTTGAAATAAGCAAATTATACTTTTATTAAAAGAGAATAGTAATATTATAAAAAGTTTAAATCAAAGATGCTTTATTCCTAGAAGCAGATAATTAGAGGTAGATAAAACACAAACAATTGTCTAGGTCAGTCCTAAGGTGTAATTATTACACACACACACACACTCACACATGATACTGAATTTCACTACTAATGCAAACAATGAGAATAAGAGTAACATAGTAATCCTATTACTACATTTCTCTATTCCAGCAGTTACCCTTCCTTTCTCCTAGTTGGACAATTAGTACCTTTTCCTTTTATTTTTTCCTACTTCATTGAGAAAAGGGGTGTTGTACTAATAGTAGCACCTAGAACCCTGACTCCCCTGTTCAGGAATGGGGGTCGATTGTGCCACTTGCGTCACCAGGCAACCCAAAGAGAAACTCTGAGGCCATCTGGCCCACCATATTTTTCATCTTCTCCCAAACTTACCATGACCCAAGCTAAACTTCATTTCTCCCCAATTCCCAACCTGTTCCTCCTGCAATCCCTATCTCAGTAAACAAAAATTCTATCTTTTTAGTTGTTCAGGTCAAAAACCTTGGGGTCATTCTTGACTTGCCTATTTTTCTCATATCCTATATCCAAACCATTAGAAATCTTGTAAATTCTGCATTCAAAATATCTGACCACTGTCCTCATCTTCACTGCTACTACCCTGGTTGAAGCCATTACCATCCTTCCCTTAGATTTTTACACTAGTCTCCTAACTCAACTCACAGCTTTGCCTCTGCAGCCTATTCACTACCCAGCAGCTGGAGGGATCCTTTAAACTATGTCAGATCATGTCCTACCTCAGCTCAAAACATTCCAAAGGTTTTCATTTCACTTGTTTAAAATTTAAAAATGTACAGGGTTTTTACATGACCTCCTGCCACTGACCTCACTGTGTTCATTCTGCCTCAGCCATGTGGGCCTTCTCCTTGTTCTATTATAAAACACATGAATAGACTCCTGCCCCATGGTTTTCTTTCCTGCTCTTCTCTAGGCCAGGAAGGCTCTTCCCATAGACATATGCTTGGACCATTCTTTTTCTTCAGGTTTCTGTTCAAGTGTCTAAGATGAGAGAGGCGTCCTGTGCACAGTCTGCTAAGCTCCAGCCCTCTTTCCCTGAATTTCCTATCACTCTATTTTGTATAGTTAAAATAAGGGATAATCAAAGTATGATTTCACAAATCACAAAGAGTATTGCCATACAAAGATATTTTGTTTCTTTTTGAATCACCTAAAGAAGGGAAGAATAATGAGAACAAATCTAGAGGGAATACACTTGATAGATGACGTACATTAACCACAGAGTGAGTTCCAATTTTGTTAGAGCCCAGTTATTAGTCTAGTTGCTCAATTAGGATAGAAGCAGGGCCTCTGTGGAAAGCAAAGTCTAAGTGAAATTTGAGGCATACTGTCAAAGGACAGGTTCTCAAGAGAGATGACTTGACCAACACAGGAGAGATCCATGAAGGCACCTAAGGTCTCGCGATGCTAGAGGGCAGTGCTAGTGTCAGCTGAGGAGGCTTTAAGCTCAAAGGCTAACTAAGCACGGCCTTGTTACAGCCTGAGCCAGCAATCTTGAAGAAGTGACTGATAGAGTGTATACTGCCACAGGCTGAGCATTCAATGTCTGCCAAGCTCTTGAGTTTATATGTATTTTGGAGTCAGTAATTCATGGATGAGTTAAGGTCAGTAACTAATGGATGAGGTCTGATAATGTGTGACATAACATTGTCAAGGGGAAGGAGATTACACTTCAAATTCTTATCATAGCAAAACTTGTCACTCATGTAGCAAACTATGTAAGTGTTTGGAACAATTTCAAAGCTTATCTAGTTGTATTTTTCTTTATAACTCTTATTACCACCTGATCTGTTATATACACAGTATATATTTGTTATTACATTTATTACCTTTTACCTCTAAAACAAAATTAATATCTGTGTGGAAACAAACTTAGTATTTTACCCTGAAGTATCTGGAGGAACTAAAATGTACCTGGCACTTGGTAGGCACTCAGTACATATGTGTTGATTGAATAAATGAATGAATAAATGAACATATTACTTATCATACTGCAAAAATTGAAAAGATTAATAATACTTCATAATGGTGAGGATATGGAGAACTAGGATTATACTCCGTTGGAGGATGAATTATTTTAGATAGCTAATTGACACTTGGAAATATCCATCAAAATAAAACATAAATATTCCCTTTGCTCCAGCAACCGAATTTCTAGGAGTTTCCACCATAACAGTACTAGTTTACAAAGAAATATGGCCACACAATAGTTACAGAAGTATTTTAATGCCCATCAATAGGGAATTAGTTAAATAGATTTTGTTGTATTGGAAAACGGTTTTGAAAGCAAACAAGGCAGATCTCTATGTTAATGCTGCCTGGGATCTGGTGTTGAGGAAAAAAATAGTAGGTTGTAGAAGTACATGAATAGAATGGTCCTTCTTATTTTTTTCAAAGAGAACATTACATAGATTTACATGTACACATGCTTACACACATTAGATGGTAGGATGTCATCAGCTTGGACTGGTGATTATCTCTGAGGGGCGTGGGAGGGTGATTTTGCTCTCTGATTTGAGCACTTCTCAGCTATTTGAGTTTTTTCATCATTATTTTAAATGATGGAAATTAAACATTTTTACTTTATTTAAAAATTATTTTTCAATGCCAAGTTTCTCAGAAAGCCTAAAAGAGCAATAAAGATCGATATGAGGACTTGGTTTGAATATTGGCTCTGTAACTTACTAGCCATGTGACCTTTAGCTATCAATTTAATCTCTCTTGAAATCACATCCATTACTTGACAAGGAGGCAGGCAGCATATGACTCCCACCTGGTTGTACAATGGGGAACCTTTTTGGACACTGAACCACACTAAGGAATAGTAGATAACTGAATAGATGAGCTTTTGGAGAGGAGGTTAGCTTAATGCTGTTTCATGTCATTTGATATTGACATTAATAGGCTCCATAAAGCTTCTTCCCTTTTTATCCAGGATGTGAACCAGACATCTTTAAGATTGCAGCAGTTAATTTTATCCATTCAAGCTTCCCAATCAATGCTTTTACTTGGAAAATATTTATGCTTAGGATGCTGAAAAGCTTTCTCCGCAGTCAGGTCCCTAAGGCATTCTAATATCACTTTTTAGAGTTGAGTGCTGAGACCTTGGGCCCTTGAAGTGAGAAACAATAAATAATAATGACTACAGAACTTGGCAAATATAAAGCTCTAGGCAAAGTTGTAGAAAGAGTACTCAAGCGTGCAGAATAAACAAGATAATATATATAACTTTCTCAGTTTTTGATCCTAAAAATTAGAAGTAAAAACAGCAGCTGTAATTTTGAACGTTCAACAATCACATTGCAAGCATTTTGTATATCAACTGTCATTGCTTATTAGTGCACATTTCCTTTTCTTTTCAGTCTCTGTCTCTCTATTTCCATTTGCACTCTCCAACCTCATCCTGTAAAGCCCTGTTTACCCTCAGAATCAACTGCTGAGCTCTCTCTCTCAAGGTCCTCGCTGGTATCAATTTTCCATGTACCCCCAGAAGATTCAACTTTCCACATCACTAATTTCAACATGTCTGTCTTCTGCTTAAGTGTTTCCTAAGAGATGCAGAATAAAGTTTAACTTTGTAAAATTGGTACTCAAGGCTTCTTCTGTAATCTGTTTCCCTCATTTTGTCATAAGAGAAAGTAGAGTACGTGGTGTTTAGAGACCTGGGTTCAAGCTTCAACTATGATTAGCTTGTTTGGATTTCTTGATCTCTTTTAGCTTCAATTGTCTCATCCCTTTGTAAAATGAGATTTATAATAATGCCTATCTCTCAACGTTATTGTGAGGATCAAATGAATCCATGCTTGTGAAAGCACTCTAGACAGTAGGCACTGTAAAATACAATAATAGTAATAGCATTTATTGAATACTTGTATGAATCCAAACCTCACAGCAACCTAGAAGACTTATTACCATTTCCATTTTATAACAAATGAGGTACACTTGGGTTAAATAAGGCATCCTGGTTACACAGTCAGGCAGTGGCACAGCTAGAAGTCAAACCCAGGCGTGTGGCCCAGAGCCCATGCTCTCACCACTCTGTGGCACGGCCACTGGACGTGATGACTGCCCCTTCCTGACAAAGAGACATTCATTCAGGCTCCCATGCCAGTTAGTTCTCTGTTCTCAATCTTTTGGAGCATACACACTCATTAGATGGATCTATTAATAATTCCTCTGTTTTCCAGCATTCAACAAGATAGATGGTGCTCAATGATCATTTCTTGAATAAGTGAGTGTTATCTAATTCCGTATTCTTCAAACTTACCCATTTATAAGACTCACCCTGGGCACTTGTTAAAAATACACATTTCTTGCCCATTAAAGCCACAATGAGGTATCACCCCTCTCACCTCTCACAATGGCTACAATTAAGAAGACTGAAGATAACAAATGTTGACAAGGATGTGGAGAAAAGAAAATCCTTGTATACTGTTGGAGGGAATAGAAATTAGTACAGCGATTAGGGAAAACAGTATGGAGTTTCCTCAAAACGCTAAAAATAGAACCACCATGTAATCCAGGAATTCCTGGGTATATATTTAAAGGATATGAAATCAGTTTGTTGAGGAGATCTGCACTCCGATGTTCATTACAGCACTAGCCACAATAGCCAAGATTTAAAATCAACCTAAGTGTTTATCAAGGGATGAATGAATGAAGAAAATGTGGGATACATACACAATGGAATACCATTCAGCCTTAAAAAAGAAAGAAATCTTGTCATTTAAAACAACATAAACGGACATAAAGAACATAAGTGAAGGCTGGGCATGGTGGCTCAAGCCTGTACAGCACTTTGGCACGCCAAGGCGGGTGGATCACCAGATGTCAGGAGTTTGAGACCAGCCTGGCCAGCATGGTGAAACCCCATCTCTACTAAAAATACAAAGATTAGCCAGGGGTGGTGGCACATGCCTGTAATTCCAGATACTTGGGAGGCTGAGGCAGGAGAATCACTTGAACCTGGGAGGCAGAGGTTGCAGCGAGCAGAAATCGTGCCACTGCACTCCAGCCTGGGCAACGAGAGTGAAACTCTGTCTCAAAAAAAAGAAAAGAAAAGAAAAGAAAAGAAAAGTGAAATAAGCCAGGCACAGAAAGTCAAATGCTGCATGATCTCATTTTCATGGCAATCTAAAAAAGCTGAACTCAGAAGCTGAGAGCGGAATGGCAGTCACCAGATGCTAGGGGTTGGGGGCACCTGAGGGGATGTGGATCAAAAGGTACAGAACTTCAGGTAGAGAGGGGGACTAAGTTCAAGAAATCTATCGTACATCATGGTGACTATAGTTACTGACATATTTTGTCTACTTGAAAATTGCCAAGTGATTAGATTTTAAGTGTTCTCACCACAAAAAAAAAATGATAAATATGTGAGGAAATGCATATGTTAATTAGCTTGATTTAGCCATTCCACAATGTATACATATACCAAAATGCCATTCCATATGCAATAAATATATATAATTTATTTGTCATTTTTAGAAAAATAAAAGTATGCATTTCTGTGCTCTATGTGAGACCAGCTGTGAATCGGTAACTCTGGAGGTGGGTGGAATTAGATAAATCTAGTGTTTTATAAGTTCCTCAGGTGATTCTTTTAATCAGGTAAGGCTGGCAAGTACCAGTCTAATTCAATACATCTGAACCTCCCGGGAAGCTTTTCAAACCAGGCAAACCCATTTTTATCTCCATCTGCCTTCAGAGATTCTGAGTAAGTCTAGAATATGTATTGAAAAAACTTCTTAGGTGATTCTTATGCTTCCCTTTCCCATCCCTTCCTCAGTTAAAAACCCATTTCTACTTGTTTCACGTATAATATATACACTGTGGTCCACAACTTCACACTTCCACCCCAAAAGAGACTGAAATATGGATGCTTTGGGAGGCCAAGGCGGGCGGATCACGAGGTCAGGAGATCGAGACCATCCTGGCTAACACGGTGAAACCCTGTCTCTACTAAAAAATACAAAAAATTAGCCGGGCATGGTGGTGGAGCCTGTAGTCCCAGCTACTCGGGAGGCTGAGGCAGGAGAACGGCGTGAACCCGGGAGGCGGAGCTTGCAGTGAGCCAAGATGGCGCCACTGCACTCCAGCCTGGGCGACAGAGCGAGACTCCGTCGCAAAAAAAGAAAAAAGAAAAAGAAAAAGAAAATGAAATATGGATGGTAAGCTCTGTGTCTTATAATTTTGAATCCAACACATGCCAAGGACATAATGGCATAATGGTTGTTCAGTTGAATTAAAATTTCTGTTTTATTTCCTTATCCATCCCTGGGTTCAAGTTTAAACTATGATTAGCTTGTTTGGATTTCTTATTTACTCATTTTATAACTTAGTTACTCATTTTCTGCCTAACTACCTGGCCATGTGTCCAATATTTTGGTTTAATTCACTTGTGTCTTTTGCCACTTAGCTATCTCCCTGCCCTGGAATCCATAGTCAGTGCCTTCAAAACCCACCCTCATTGGAATCCTACATTATTTCGATTTGCACACCCTAATAATTCAGGCCATTCATTGACCCTCAATGCCAATAAGCCTCTGCGCTTGTCCTTCTTTTTTAAAAATATAATTTATTTGTTTTAATAAAAGTAGAGATGGAGTCTTGCTATGTTGCCCAGGCTGGCCTTGAACTCCTGGGCATAAGTGATCTTCCTGCCTTGGCCTCCTAAAGTGCTGGGATTACAGGCATGAGCTACTGCACCTGGCCATTGCCCTTCTTAATGATATATACCCAACAAGGTTTGTTCTGCTATAAATGAATCATGGATCACCCTATGATATGATCAAACACACGGAGTGCTCATGCAGAAAACATCTCCCCAACAGACCTGCCCAGGTGTCTAGAATTTCTAATACGATGCCTGTACATCTCTCCAGAACAATGCGAACATGACATGGGAGCATATTAACATCCTCATGAACACACTAGTTTATCCAGGCAGCTGAGAAGAAGGCCTAAGTGTAAAACATGGCTCTAGTCAGATGGCCTGTCTGGCACATAGGCAGAGACTCTAATAGGCACTACTCTGAGATACAAGCATTCATGACCCAAGAAGGACACAGAAAAGGGCAGAGATATTTGGTCAAGTTGAAAAAGGAAGACCCAAAACTTAGCTTGCCATGTAACACTTTCTGAGAATTAGAAATCTAACACTTTCTAGTCATTTGATTTATATAATTTCTAACTCCACAAACTCTCTTAATCTGATGATTTTAAGATGCCCATTCTTATTGCTGCTCATTTAGTTTTTTTCATCCTCTCATTCACTGTCTCAGACCCACTCTTATTTCTTTTCCTTGTCTCTAAAATCTTTTAAACATGCTCTTTTCCCTCAGGATTTTCCTGATTTTTACTTCTCCAACTCTCCTTGAATGTGAGATGTTGTTGGTAAAGAAAAAAAAAAAGACAGGGAAAAAAGATTTCAAGTTGGAATTCATTATTTGTCTGCTCTACTATTGTGTGTGTGTGTGTGTGCATGTGTGAGAAACTTTGAGACAGAGAGAAAAAGGAAACAGACAGAAAGGTTAATTGATTCTGTATTTTCCTTAAAGAGAATTAGAAGTTCACTGTGTTATGTAATTATATAATATAATTGGATTTATTTTTTTCTTTCACTTTTTTCTTTTCTTTTTGTCCCTCCCTTTTCCTTAAGTTGCTTTGAATTACAATAAAGGCTAAACAATCTGCCTTTGTATGCAATTTGTGCACAAGCTGCCAAGCTGGCTGCCAGGTTTAGTCCTGATGTGATCAAAAATGGTTGGGTTACAAAGCCACTGAAAAAACCGGTTTTCTACAGGAAATAGAAATTTATTAAAATCAGGCCTCCCCAAATGCCCTGGCTGTTAGGCTGGCAGCCTGCCAGGTCAGCAGGGCTGGAAGAGAAGGAGATGAGCAGATGTGATCGTGCAGCCCCTACTCAAGCCAGGCGGGAGGCGGGAAGCACTGCAGGGTCCTAGAGAAGCAACTGTCATACAAACAAAAGAATCTCCATCAAGAACACCAGAATTGTGGTTTCCCAATCCCTGACATTTTTAGGTGTTCTGGGGTGTGCCATTTGGATTCTGGCCATTCATGGGCTCCCAAATTATATTTCAAAATCTCTGATTTTTCCCAGCAGAATAAAATGTTAATACCCTTACAGGGTCTTGGGTTCTAACGTCAACAAAGATCCTTAACTTCTTTGAGCCTCAGTTACCTCATCTCTACATGGGGAATAATACCTACCCCATGAATTGTGAACTTAAATGAAATAACAACTGAGAACTGATAAGTATTGCCATTGTTATCTCCTTCCACCACAGGATGGGCTATCCCAGGCAACTGGCTGCCTCTCATTAACCACTGGTTTGGACGCTGCTTTGGTTCAGGGCACAAGGCCTAAAGAGGCACTGGCCTGGCTCTCCTGGGTTTCTTCTGACACTGTGATAACAGCTGACACTTACTCAGGGCTTACTTGAATTTGGACCAGCAATTGCTCTAGGTGCTTTAGAACTATTAATTCATTTAATCCTCACATAAAACTTCTTAGTGGTTACTACTCTTATCAGATTAGGAACCAGGACACAGAGAGTTGTTGCCCACCCAACGGCCAGTGTTTGGTGGTGTTCAGAGGGGAGTCCAGGCAGTGTGGCTCCAGAGCTGTGCACTTGAATGCAGTGCTGTAGAACCCAAACTCTTTCTTGTTGAAAGAAGGAAGTTTTTAATGTGTACTTTTCAGAGCATTACCATCTAATGCAGTGCTGGGGATTTGGGAAACAGATAAAAGACAGATACTGCAGGAGTAATAAGGGATTGGGGAGGAGACGCAGCTCAGATTGTTCCAGGGTGGGGAGCAAGCACATCTTGCGATCAGACTTTCACTGGGATGAAGTGCCTTGGCAAAAGTCTAGGGGTCAGAGCCCACTACATTTCCCCAGGCCTGGTCTCTTCCCCACTTCCCAAGCTTCCCGCCTAGCTCCACTCCTCTTAAGTTTTCTGAGCAGCCTTTGTGCCTAATTCTCTTGCCTCCTCTTTCCACCATCTTCACACACAATAATTCTAGCTAACATTTATTGAACCTGATACTGTGTGAAGCACTTTATATGCATTTTATTATTTAACTCCAATAATGACGCTGTGAAATATTATTCTTTTCTCCATTTTACAATGAGGGAGGTAAGGCTCAGAAAGCCTCTGTAATTTGTCTAGGATCACATCACATAGCTTGGCGCACGGGTCTGAACTGAATCTGGCTGAATCCAGAACCCAGCTTTTTCCATTTGGATTCAGATTAAAATGGATATTAAGTTTGGCCCTGGCAGGAAAAAATAGTCAGTCAGCCTGTCTGTGGGGATCTCAACTTATTAGCAATATCTTTTCCCATTCAAAATGTCTTAATCCTTTATTTTAGTAAATGGGTCCATCATCCCTCATGTCAACCAGAATCCCTGACTCCTCTCTCCTGGAGTCCAATTCATCACCAAGTCTTCTACGCAACCTGGAATCCATCCGCTTTTTGTCTTCTCTCTGCTCTGCCCTTGGCAGGTCTCCATCACTTCTCATGTGGTTCCTGTCTCAAGCATGGTCTGGCCCCTGCCTCTTTCTCTTACCTCATTTCTCTTATCTCTTGCCCATCAATTCTGCAATGCAGTTATAGCCAACTATTTTCAGGTCTTCTCAGGTGTTGTGTCCCCTCACCTGTGTCTGGTAGGTTGCAAGGCAAGCTGTTCCCTTGGCCCATGCACTCTTCCCCAATTCCCTTTATTGCCCAGTTAACTCCATTTATTATTCAGAGCTCAGATTAAATGCTGCTTCATGCAGGGAGCTTTTCCTGAGCTCTTAAATCTGGATTAAGTGTCCTCCTGCCCCCATGACTCCCAACCCAGCTTGAACTTCACCCATCACACCACTTCACTTTATTCCAACTCAATAAATATTTATTGAATATGTACATAAATGAGTGAATAAACAAAAGAATGAGCCGATGGTCCCTTGTCCCCTTCAAAGTCACTGCTGTTGGTCAGGAGTGAGAAAGTAAAACCTAGACTTGAAGTTCCTGAAGAATAAAAATGGAGTATCCGCTCTTCTGTTTGTTCTCTGCTATGACTGCCATATTCTCCAATTTACAAACACATTGATTCAAACACCAAAAATGTATGAGGCCAATCCCTTATCCTACCTCAGTTCCAGCCAACCGTAGCTGGGAATGGTGATCACTGCATCAGATGAGCAATATTTACTCTGCTACACTTCCTCTTATTAAATCATAACACCAGAAAAAAAGATTAAGCAACAAAAAAGAACAAAAATACTTGTATACACCAATGAGAACACATAGAATGATTCTGCCTCCACCACGAAAGCACCGTTGTCACTGCCTTCTCTTCTCTGCTGTCCATGTAGATGCATTACAAAGGGACTTGAAGGCCACATTTAAATAATTATTGAGTAGCTAGTACATGTCAGACACTGGTGAAGGTGCAAGGGCTACAGCACTGAGGAAAACAGAATTCCAGTCTGTATGGAACATAAATTCTAGAGCCAGGAGAAATGAAGGCAGATCTCCAAATATGGTTATTATGATCAATTTTTTAAAAAAAGATCTATACACATTAAAAATTAGAAGTGTCTTACTTTTTACCAAATAGACAAAGAACCTGTCTTGGCATAACATTTGGGGGCAAGTTGCTTCTAGTTATCTAGGACAGGCCTATCCTTTCACAATTCACATTGCATAGTAATGATCTATTATTATTATTATTATTTTTTAAATTTATCAAAATGTTTATAAATGTTTAAATGTTCTTTTTTTCTTTTTTTTTTAATTATTATTATACTTTAAGTTTTAGGGTACATGTGCACAATGTGCAGGTTAGTTACATATGTATACATGTGCCATGCTGGTGTGCTGCACCCATTAACTCGTCATTTAGCATTAGGTATATCTCCTAATGCTATCCCTCCCCCCTCCCCCCACCCCACAACAGTCCCCAGAGTGTGATGTTCCCCTTCCTGTGTCCATGTGTTCTCATTGTTCAATTCCCATCTATGAGTGAGAACATGCGGTGTTTGGTTTTTTGTCCTTGCGATAGCTTATTGAGAATTATGATTTCCAATTTCATCCATGTCCCTACAAAGGACATGAACTCATCATTTTTTATGGCTGCATAGTATTCCATGGTGTATATGTGCCACATTTTCTTAATCCAGTCTATCATTGTTGGACATTTGGGTTGGTTCCAAGTCTTTGCTATTGTGAATAGTGCCGCAATAAACATACGTGTGCATGTGTCTTTATAGCAGCATGATTTATAGTTCTTTGGGTATATACCCAGTAATGGGATGGCTGGGTCAAATGGTATTTCTAGTTCTAGATCCCTGAGGAATCGCCACACTGACTTCCACAATGGTTGAACTAGTTTACAGTCCCACCAACAGTGTAAAAGCCTTCCTATTTCTCCACATCCTCTCCAGCACCTGTTGTTTCCTGACTTTTTAATGATTGCCATTCTAACTGGTGTGAGATGGTATCTCATTGTGGTTTTGATTTGCATTTCTCTGATGGCCAGTGATGATGAGCATTTTTTCATGTGTCTTTTGGCTGCATAAATGTCTTCTTTTGAGAAGTGTCTGTTCATATCCTTTGCCCACTTATTGATGGGGTTGTTTGTTTTTTTCTTGTAAATTTGTTTGAGTTCTTTGTAGATTCTGGATATTAGCCCTTTGTCAGATGAGTAGGTTGCGAAAATTTTCTCCCATTTTGTAGGTTGCCTGTTCACTCTGATGGTAGTTTCTTTTGCTGTGCAGAAGCTCTTTAGTTTAATTAGATCCCATTTGTCAATTTTGGCTTTCATTGCCGTTGCTTTTGGTGTTTTAGACATGAAGTCCTTGCCCATGCCTATGTCCTGAATGGTAATGCCTAGGTTTTCTTCTAGGGTTTTTATGGTTTTAGGTCTAATGTTTAAGTCTTTAATCCATCTTGAATTAATTTTTGTATAAGGTGTAAGGAAGGGATCCAGTTTCAGCTTTCTACATATGGCTAGCCAGTTTTCCCAGCACCATTTATTAAATAGGGAATCCTTTCCCCATTGCTTGTTTTTCTCAGGTTTGTCAAAGATCAGATAGTTGTAGATATGCGGCGTTATTTCTGAGGGCTCTGTTCTGTTCCATTCATCTATATCTCTGTTTTGGTACCAGTATCATGCTGTTTTGGTTACTGTAGCCTTGTAGTATAGTTTGAAGTCAGGTAGCGTGATGCCTCCAGCTTTGTTCTTTTGGCTTAGGATTGACTTGGCGATGTGGGCTCTTTTTTGATTCCATATGAACTTTAAAGTAGTTTTTTCCAATTCTGTGAAGAAAGTCATTGGTAGCTTGATGGGGATGGCATTGAATCTATAAATTACCTTGGGCAGTATAGCCATTTTCACGATATTGATTCTTCCTACCCATGAGCATGGAATGTTCTTCCATTTGTTTGTATCCTCTTTTATTTCCTTGAGCAGTGGTTTGTAGTTCTCCTTGAAGAGGTCCTTCACGTCCCTTGTAAGTTGGATTCCTAAGTATTTTATTCTCTTTGAAGCAATTGTGATGGGAGTTCACTCATGATTTGGCTCTCTGTTTGTCTGTTATTGGTGTATAAGAATGCTTGTGATTTTTGTACATTGATTTTGTATCCTGAGACTTTGCCGAAGTTGCTTATCAGCTTAAGGAGATTTTGGGCTGAGACAATGGGGTTTTCTAGATATACAATCATGTCATCTGCAAACAGGGACAATTTGACTTCCTCTTTTCCTAATTGATTACCCTTTATTTCCTTCTTCTGCCTAATTGCCCTGGCCAGAACTTCCAACACTATGTTGAATAGGAGTGGTGAGAGAGGGCATCCCTGTCTTGTGCCAGTTTTCAAAGGGAATGCTTCCAGTTTTTGCCCATTCAGTATGATATTGGCTGTGGTTTTGTCATAGATAGCTCTTATTATTTTGAGATACGTCCCATAAATACCTAATTTATTGAGAGTTTTTAGCATGAAGGGTTGTTGAATTTTGTCAAAGGCCTTTTCTGCATCTATTGAGATAATCATGTGGCTTTTGTCTTTGGTTCTGTTTATATGCTGGATTACATTTATTGATTTGCGTATATTGAACCAGCCTTGCATCCCAGGGATGAAGCCCACTTGATCGTGGTGGATAAGCTTTTTGATGTGCTGCTGGATTCGGTTTGCCAGTATTTTATTGAGGATTTTTGCATCAATGTTCATCAAGGATATTGGTCTAAAATTCTCTTTTTTGGTTGTGTCTCTGCCAGGCTTTGGTATCAGGATGATGCTGGCCTCATAAAATGAGTCAGGGAGGATTCCCTCTTTTTCTATTGATTGGAATAGTTTCAGAAGGAATGGTACCATTTCCTCCTTGTACCTCTGGTAGAATTCGGCTGTGAATCCATCTGGTCCTGGAGTCTTTTTGGTTGGTAAGCTATTGATTATTGCCACAATTTCAGATCCTGTTATTGATTTATTCAGAGATTCAACTTTTTCCTGGTTTAGTCTTGGGAGAGTGTATGTGTCGAGGAATTTATCCATTTCTTCTAGATTTTCTAGTTTATTTGCATAGAGGTGTTTGTAGTATTCTCTGATGGTAGTTTGTATTTCTGTGGGATCGGTGGTGATATCCCCTTTATCATTTTTTATTGCATCTATTTGATTCTTCTCTCTTTTTTTCTTTATTAGTCTTGCTAGCGGTCTATCAATTTTGTTGATCCTTTCAAAAAACCAGCTCCTGGATTCATTAATTTTTTGAAGGGTTTTTTGTGTCTCTATTTCCTTCAGTTCTGCTCTGATTTTAGTTATTTCTTGCCTTCTGCTAGCTTTTGAAGTGTTTGCTCTTGCTTTTCTAGTTCTTTTAATTGTGATGTTAGGGTGTCAATTTTGGATCTTTCCTGCTTTCTCTTGTGGGCATTTAGTGCTATAAATTTCCCTCTACACACTGCTTTGAATGTGTACCAGAGATTCTGGTATGTTGTGTCTTTGTTCTCATTGGTTTCAAAGAACATCTTTATTTCTGCCTTCATTTCTTTATGTACCCAGTAGTCATTCAGGAGCAGGTTGTTCAGTTCCCATGTAGTTGAGCGGTTTTGAGTGAGTTTCTGAATCCTGAGTTCTAATTTGATTGCACTGTGTTCTAAGAGACAGTTTGTTATAATTTCTGTTCTTTTACATTTGCTGAGGAGAGCTTTACTTCCAAGTATGTGGTCAATTTTGGAATAGGTGTGGTGTGGTGCTGAAAAAATTGTATATTCTGTTGATTTGGGGTGGAGAGTTCTGTAGATGTCTATTAGGTCCACTTGGTGCAGAGCTGAGTTCAATTCCTGGGTATCCTTGTTAACTTTCTGTCTCATTGATCTGTCTAATGTTGACAGTGGGGTGTTAAAATCTCCCATTATTATTGTGTGGGAGTCTAAGTCTCTTTGTAGGTCACTAAGGACTTGCTTTATGAATCTGGGTGCTCCTGTATTTGGTGCATCTATATTTAGGATAGTTAGCTCTTCTTGTTGAATTGATCCCTTTACCATTATGTAATGGCCTTCTTTGTCTCTTTTGATCTTTGTTGGTTTAAAGTCTGTTTTATCAGAGACTAGGATTGCAACCCCTGCCTTTTTTTGTTTTCCATTTGCTTGGTAGATCTTCCTCCATCCTTTTATTTTGAGCCTATGTGTGTCTCTGCACATGAGATGGGTTTCCTGAACACAGCACACTGATGGGTCTTAACTCTTTATCCACTTTGCCAGTCTGTGTCTTTTAATTGGAGCATTTAGTCCATTTACATTTAAAGTTAATATCGTTATGTGTGAATTTGATCCTGTCATTATGATGTTAGCTGGTTATTTTGCTCGTTAGTTGATGCAGCTTCTTCCTAGTCTTGATGGTCTTTACATTTTGGCATGATTTTGCAGCAGCTGGTACCGGTTGTGCCTTTCCATGTTTAGTGCTTCCTTCAGGAGCTCTTTTAGGGCAGGCCTGGTGGTGATAAAATCTCTCAGCATTTGCTTGTCTGTAAAGTATTTTATTTCTCCTTCACTTGTGAAGCTTAGTTTGGCTGGATATGAAATTCTGGGTTGAAAATTCTTTTCTTTAAGAATGTTGAATATTGGCCCCCACTCTCTTCTGGCTTGTAGAGTTTCTGCCGAGAGATCCGCTGTTAGTCTGATGGGCTTCCCTTTGTGGGTAACCCGACCTTTCTCTCTGGCTGCCCTTAACATTTTTTCCTTCATTTCAACTTTGGTGAATCTGACAATTATGCGTCTTGGAGTTGCTCTTCTTGAGGAGTATCTTTGTGGCGTTCTCTGTATTTCCTGAATCTGAATGTTGGCCTGCCTTGCTAGATTGGGGAAGTTCTCCTGGATAATATCCTGCAGAGTGTTTTCCAACTTGGTTCCATTCTCCCTGTCACTTTCAGGTACACCAATCAGACGCAGATTTGGTCTTTTCACATAGTCCCATATTTCTTGGAGGCTTTGTTCATTTCTTTTTATTCTTTTTTCTCTAAACTTCCCTTCTCGCTTCATTTCATTCATTTCATCTTCCATCACCGATACCCTTTCTTCCAGTTGATCGCATCGGCTCCTGAGGCTTCTGCATTCTTCATGTAGTTCTCAAGCCTTGGCTTCCAGCTCCATGAGCTCCTTTAAGCACTTCTCTGTATTGGTTATTCTAGTTATACATTTGTCTAAATTTTTTTCAAAGTTTTCAACTTCTTTGCCTTTGGTTTGAATTTCCTTCTGTAGCTTGGAGTAGTTTGATCGTTTGAAGCCTTCTTCTCTCAACTCGTCAAAGTCATTCTCCATCCAGCTTTGTTCCGTTGCTGGTGAGGAACTGCGTTCCTTTGGAGGAGGAGAGGCGCTCTGCTTTTTAGAGTTTCCAGTTTTTCTGCTCTGTTTTTTCCCCATCTTTGTGGTTTTATCTACTTTTGGTCTTTGATGGTGGTGGTGTACAGATGGGTTTTTGGTGTGGATGTCCTTTCTGTTTGTTAGTTTTCCTTCTAACAGACAGGACCCTCAGCTGCAGGTCTGTTGGAGTTTGCTAGAGGTCCACTCCAGACCCTGTTTGCCTGGGTATCAGCAGCAGTGTCTGCAGAACCGTGGATTTTCGTGATCCGTGAATGCTGCTGTCTGATCGTTCCTCTGGAAGTTTTGTCTCAGAGGAGTACCTGGCCGTGTGAGGTGTCAGTCTGCCCCTACTGGGGGGTGCCTCCCAGTTAGGCTGCTCGGGGGTCAGGGGTCAGGGACCCACTTGAGGAAGCCGTCTGCCCGTTCTCAGATCTCCAGCTGCGTGCTGGGAGAACCACTGCTCTCTTCAAAGCTGTCAGACAGGGACATTTAAGTCTGCAGAGGTTACTGCTGTCTTTTTGTTTGTCTGTGCCCTGCCCCCAGAGGTGGAGCCTACAGAGACAGGCAGGCCTCCTTGAGCTGTGGTAGGCTCCACCCAGTTGGAGCTTCCAGGCTGCTTTGTTTACCTAAGCAAGCCTGGGCAATGGCGGGCGCCCCTCCCCCAGCCTCACTGCCACCTTGCAGTTTGATCTCAGACTGCTGTGCTAGCAGTCAGCGAGACTCCGTGGGCGTAGGACCCTCCGAGCCAGGTGCGGGATATAATCTCCTGGTGCGCCATTTCCTAAGCCCGTTGGAAAAGCACCATATTCGGGTGGGAGTGACCCGATTTTCCAGGTGCTGTCTGTCACCCCTTTCCTTGACCAGGAAAGGGAACTCCCTGATTCCTTGTGCTTCCCAAGAGAGGCAATGCCTTGCCCTGCTTCGGCTGGTGCACAGTGCACTGCACCCACTGTCCTGCACCCACTGTCTGGCACTCCCAAGTGAGATGAACCTGGTACCTCAGATGGAAATGCAGAAATCACCCGTCTTCTGCCTCGCTCACGCTGGGAGCTATAGACCGGAGCTGTTCCTATTCAGCCATCTTGGCTCCTCCCCCCGTAATGATCTATTATTGAAGTATCTCCTGGACTATCCCTATTGCCTAGTACAAGGCCTGGCACATAAATGAACAACTGGAGACTTTTTTTCACCCTAGTAGTAGAGAGAGGTTTATATTGATTTATCTATGTTTTCTGTACTAGATTGCAAAAGTAACCAAAATTCTTAACTCCTCCTTGCATTTATGTCCTTGGTAATATGGCTTTGTGGTCCTTCCTTAAAGAGTTTTCCTATAAAGACTCGATTCACCCTCCCCTCAAGTCTAGTCTGGACCTGTTTTGGCCAATAATTTAGCAGAAGTAATGATGTGCCAGTTCTGAACCCAGGCCTCAAGAGACCTTGAATATTTCCTCTCTCCCTCTGGATACCAGTCCAGTTGCCCCATGACCAAGCCTGTGCTAGTCTGTTGAAGGATGAAAGACCAAGACGAACAAAGACAAGCTGTCCCAGTTGAGTCCCCCTAGACCAGACAGACTTCAGCTAAGCTGGATGCTGACTGCAGATACATGGACGAGCCCCACTGCTACAATCTGAGAAGCTGACTCTGACCCAAATTGCTGATATGAAGGATTGTGAGTTAAATAAATGGCTGTTGTTCGAGCCACAAAGTTTGAGGGTGCTTTGTTACATAGCAAAAGTTAGCTTTTGTGATCAATAAATCCACTGCCATGCCCTTATAGATGTTAGGATGGATTAATGAGGATTTGTGTGTATCTAAAACCAGAGAACCCTTGTTCACAGAAAGATTGTACTTACGACTTAACTTTAGAACAAACTGAATGTGGGGAAAATTCAGATTTGGGGAAAATCGTGAGCTGGTTTTTTGAAGCATAGAAATTAATGTTTTTCTTTAAATTCACATGATCTCTTTTTAAACTGAAAGACAAATTGAGTTTGGAAGATTCCATCTACTTGGATCTAAGTTTCCCAAGCTTTGTAATAAAATTCAGACTAAAAAAAAGTCCAAATCTTTTATTCATAATTAATTGTGTATTTTTTTTTTTTTTTTTTTTGCCAGAAGGAGACAGGATATCATTTAGATGCTCAAACCAAACTCCTGGGGTGCTCCTGGTTCACATCCATTTAAGCTTTCTTGAGAGCCTAAGAACATTCTTTAGATTTCCTTTGATATGGCTCTCTTCTCACTTTTGGCCAAATTAATAAAATTCACATATTCAACCCCAAGTTAAAGATAAAAAAGAAGTATTGAACTTTTCTGATTCTTTCTTTGTGAAAATTAAATGTTTTACATGGGAAAATGGCACAGGACTTAAAATTTTATCGATCAGGCTATCAACTGGGGGTCCCCAGGTCTAGAGGAACTGGATACTTAAGTCTCAGAATGTTCTTATTGACAGAGTGAAATCAGCTGTGCAACTCAGAGCTTTTCTAACATGGCGAAGTCTTGAATGTTGAATCTTATTCCCCACCAAACCCCCAGGTCCAGAGCACTATAGTTTACTGCCCCTAGATATTAACCAAATTGCTCTTGATCATAGAGCTCCTGTTCTCCCAGGCCCTGTCTAGGTCTCTTGGATTCTAGACCTGCATCTTACGTTGAAGGCTGACATTAGGCCATCTCTTTCTGGGGCCACCTGGACTGACCAGCCTGACTGCTGCTACCTGTGTTCCAATGCGTTATGACCTAAGAACATCCTAGTTTATGAGGTGTTAATGGACTGTTTACACCATTGAAGCCTACAAATTCTGAAATGCAGCGTGGGCCTAATCATCCCACAGTTCATTTATTCTAACCTATTTTAAGACTGGGAAGAAAGTACTTAAAGGAAAACCCGGGATTAGGTCCCTTTTATGTTGATTAATTTCACAGAAAACCTTAGAAACCCCTGTCCTAGCCCACCCAGAATATTTGGTCACCTAACCAAGATGTACATGCCTAGAATTCTCTGTCTCCCATCCTCTTCAAAGTGAGTCAGACATTTCTGCAAGTGCAAAAATACAATAATGTAAAATATTATTTTTAAAAATATATAAAATTATCCTTTCTCTCACTTATCAATTATTAATGCATATTAAAATGTGGTAAAGGCTACTGTAAACTACCCATTGAATCATCAATGAATGACTAAATGAGTATGGATAAACTATATTATTAACAGAACCGACTTTTAAAAATTTTGCTACCAGTTTGGTTTCTAGCATTGAGGACACTGAGTCACCCTTTGCTCTAGAACAGAAGTAGCAGCCAGCATCACTTCCCTTCCCTCTTCTTCCCTTCCTCCTATCTTGAACAAACAGATGAAGTCTGGAACTGTATCAGCCATTTTTTTTTTTTTTTTTTTTTGTAAGACAGTCTTACTCTGTTGCCCAGGCTAGAGTGCAGTGGTGTATGATCATAACTTACTGCAACCTAGAGCTCTTGGGCTCAAGCTATCCTCCTGCCTCACCTTCCTGAGGTGCACACCACCATGCCCGGCTAACTGTAAAAAATTTTTTTAGTAGAAACAGGATCTCACTATGTTGCCTAGGTTGGTCTCAAACTCCTGGGCTCAAGCAATCCTTCTGCCTCGGTCTTCCAAGGTGCTGGGATTACAGGTGTGAGCCACTATGCCCAGCCTTCTAGCAGCCATCTTGTAATCAAGAAGCAAAAGGCATGGAGACAAAAGCCAACATCCTAAAAATGGTAGCGAGGAAAGAGAAAAAGCTTGGTCTTTGATGGCTTCATTGCCCAACTAGCTGAACCAATGCCAGCAACTGCCCACCTAAGGGCTCCTTATTTTGTGGAAAAAAAAAAGAGTCTCTACCTCTTTAATCCTCTAGTAGGTCTTTTGTTATTTGCCATGGAACGTAGGAAAAAGTTGACTCATATGACACAATATGAGAACTCAGAGTTATTTAAACAATTTTGAACACTAAAGTAATATCATCTTATTAGTAGCCCTCACTGGTGACATTGAGGTTTATTTTAGACATATTCTAAGTTAATTATTGTACATACACTTACTTAATGAGAACAATATCTTAGTTATGAAGTTTTACTTAAAAATGGATGGCAACTTGTGAACACATCTAGTATATACAATTTTCTCCTCTATAGAAAACATTTTTTTTATATCGGTGAAGGATTGTTAACATGAGCTAGTTATTGAGACATGCAAAAAGCCTCAGGAGATCAGGATGGATGTTGTAATTGTATTTGTTGAAACAGAATTCAACTTGTAAATATAATTACCCTTGGCTGTTCAAGTGATCACTTTTCATTTAGATTCCAGTCTGGTCCTTAGAACTTGAAAGTGAGATGAAGAGTCGGGGAGAGGGTTTGAACATTGAGAGGCCATAACAAAGAATGAAAAGGTCTGGGGTTGGTTAGTACAGATCGCAGAAGGGTATAGAACATTTAAAATTAGCCTTCAGATCTATTAAGGGATATTGCTCAGAAAATGAGAGCCAGCTGCACTCCATCTTTTATGATGAAAACCCCAAATCAAGTGGGCTTATACTTTTGCATCTAGGAATCAGATTAACCAAAAAGAACTCTCTTCTGGGAGGTGGTTAAATACTGGAGTTGAATATTTAGATAAGGTTTGAGATCTCACCCTCTGGAGAGAGTGGCTTAAATTTAACTCTGGGTCTCTGTATATTCTTAGTTAACTGCCAAATAACAGAGAGGCACAGGATCCCCCTTCATCTCCCAGCCAACACCATTGCTACCATCTCCTCGTTAGGGGCACCCATGGCCTGTAAGGGAGCAGCAGGGAGGCAAAGGAGGTCTAGGTGGCAGGCAGGCCCCAGAGAGCCTTCTAACTGTCAACCCCTAGGGAAGTCCCTCCCTCCCTCAGGTAGGAGAGGCAGCAGTTCTCAGTGGATGCACTGATGTCTGGAAGTCATTAAACAAAACTCAGGCTCATTCTCATCTACAAGAGGGTGGTTTCTGTGTGGTCCTGCCTGAAGCCAGTGGTGAGGACTGACTGATTTCTCCAGGTTGGCTCTATGATTTTATCAACGTGAGTAATTTGTAAGCTCTGGGCTATTTTTCTTTTAGTAAATCTTTCCTAGTACTGAGTAAACATCTTCCTTGGGAGGGAAAACAAAGTATTCCGCTCTTATAAAGTGGTCATGTGCCATACGAGCCTTTAAAAGCATAAGGAGGCTTGGTGCCTGGCTTCCAGTGAAGTGTCTCTTAAGACTGAAGTGCATGAAATAGCTAACTGGCGCCATCTGGAGGGGAAGTGGAGTCTAAACAACAACGCAAGTTTAAAAAACATTGACAATGACGTAAATGCAAAATTTTATAATATTTATTTTATTTACTTTTATTTTTATTTTATACTTTTAAGACGGAGTCCTGCTTTGTCGCCCAGTTTGGAGTGCAGTGGCGCGGTCTCTGCCCACTGCAACCTCCGCTTCCCGGGTTCAAGCGAATCTCGTGCCCCAGGCCTCCCTAGCAGCTGGGACTACAAGAATGCGCCACCACTCCCGGCTAATTCAGAACATTTTAAAAAATGAAATTCCCTGCTTCTCTCTTCTCCTCTCTTTTCAGAATCCATCCAGACTGATCACAAGGGGGCTGGGGCCTCGCGTTCCTATAGAACCTTAACTTCAGATCTGACGTCATATCCAGTGGAGGGTATGCGTCAGTTGTGGAGTTTTACTATACATGACACACTCCGTTATCAAATGGCACGATTTGGCATGCCATGTTAATCATATTTGAAATTAATCTCAGAATTACATTGTCTCAAAGTGTCATCCACTAATCATCTTCATCAGAATCAGCTGGTTTTTTTGTTTTTTTTTTTTTTGACGGAGTCTCCCTCTGTCGCCCAGGCTGGAGTGCAGTGGCGCGATCTCGGCTCACTGCAAGCTCCGCTTCCCGGGTTCACGCTATTCTGCTTCAGCCTCCCAAGTAGCTGGGACTACAGGCACCCGCCACCATGCCCGGCTAATTTTTTGTATCTTTAGTAGAGACGGGGTTTCACCGTGTTAGCCAGGATGGTCTCGATCTCCTGACCTCATGATCCGCCCGCCTCGGCCTCCCAAAGTTTTGGGATTACAGGCGTGAGCCACCACGCCTGGCCAGCTGGGGTAATTTTTAAAACTGCAGGTTTATAGACTTCAGTTCAGGCCCCCTGAATCTGAATTTCTTTCATAGTGCATGGGATCAATTAACTAAATAGAAGTAAATTTTGTTTTTTATTTGATCAAACACAAATATAGTGCTTACTATAGGCCAGGTGCTATTATTAGAACTTCATAAATATTAATGTATTGATGCATTTATTTGGTTTTTCTCAACAACCATAGAAACCTAGGTGTGTTTGTTCTGTTTTGTTTTGTTTTTTTTTTTTTTTGAGACAAGGTCTTGCTCTGTTGCCCAGAGTGGAGTGCAGTGACATGATCACAGATCACTGCAGCCTCGATCTCCCAGGCTCAAGCAATCCTCCCACCACAGCCTCCTGAGTAGCTAGGACTATGGGCATGTGCCACCAGAAAGCTCTACTACACATATCTGGTCTCTTGACACTTTCCTGGCTAGCTAAATATTTAGCTAAATATTGAACCCGGAAGGCAGATCAATAAATCTGACTGAGAAAAATGAGTGAATACTGGTGAGGCAAGCAGAGTTGGGGGTCAAAGGCAGAGACATATTTTAGAATAGGAGAGACCAAAGCACATGTGTAGGTTGAGACAATATGGCAAAAAGAGACAGAGAAAATAAAGTTATAAGAATACGAGGAGATAGGTCAAGGTTTAAGAGAAAATGGCACGTACTCTGGGATAAAACAGAAGAGAAACATTAGTAAATAGCGACATCTCATTCCTTGAATATGGAGGAAACAAGACAAGAAACTAGGCAGATGTAGGTCCATGTATAGATCCCGCTACTTGGGGTCATGTCCAGCCTCTGAAGCTTTTAATTGCTCCCCTCCTATCCCAACCTCTTTCTGACCCATTCTCTGCCTGCAAAAACTTGTGTCCAGTAGCCTAACAACTGTGGGAGTGTGACACCATTGATTGGCATATGGCAATGAACACCCCTAACTTTGGTAACTTTGTTCTAAAGGAGTAGCACTCAAAAAAGTCAAAGCAACATCTTTACTGATTTGTACTTATATTTCTAATTTGTACTTGCAGTGAGTGGGTGAGAACAACTTAAAAAAAATGAAATCCAAGTTCTGAGAGTCTTCCAAAATTGCTCCACAACGCTGGGCTATGGCGGAGGCTGTTTATTTTTTGAATCTGATAATGTTCTGCTTAATCTTCTGAAGTATTTGTATTGAGAGTATTGGTCCAGGAGATCAGATCTTCCACTTCCTCTTCCCTGGGCTCATCTGTGTCATTTTCATATAATGAAGTGTCACTCTTCCACCCCTCCTCTTCTGTTTCATAAATGTCTGTGATGCTATTTATTGCAGTTGGTGACTCAAGAAAAATTTCATCTGTGGTGGGAATTATAAAAAATAGAAATTTAATAGACATAATAAGAAAAACAATAAAAAGAGAAGTGTTCCTGCATTTGTAGGATAATGCCAAAGACCATCTGAATGAATGTGAGCAACCTTTTATACACTTTCTAAACTTCATGTTTTGTAAGTAACTTTATTTGTCAAAAATCATTCTTTCCATTTTGCTCAATCTTTTGATGCTTTGTTAGTTCATTCATTTAGCATATATATTTACTGGGTCTCTGCTAAGGGCCAGTTGATGTGCAAGGGAAAAGCTGCTTTGGGAGCACAGGGAGGGAATCACTGTGTCTAAGTGAAAACTGAGTCGGACTTTGAAACAGGAAGACCAGTTTGTTAGACAGAGAAGGGAGGTCAGAACATGTTAGATAGAAGAAACAGCACACATCGTATAAGCACAAAGGTATGAGAGGACTTGACAGGGTTAGGGGTGATCAGAATGGATTCTCCCGCGCTTCCACTGTGCCAGGTGCGGTGCTAACCCGTCGACAGCTATAATATTATTTAACTCAGACACAACCCTTGTGATGGGCAGGTATTATTATTCTTATTTTACAGATGAGGAAACTGAGGCTGAGCAACCTATAGTAACTTGATCAAAGATATCCAGCTAATAACAAGACTCGTCCCAGATCTGTCTATCCAAAAACACAATGTTATAGTATACAGAAAGTTTCGTGGAGCTGGAAGGGAGGCTGAAGCCAGATCAGGAAAGCCTCATATGTCATGCAAAGGACTTTCATCTTTATCTTATAGGCCTTGTAAACAGGGAAATAAACTGATTATACTTTTCAAAAGGAGAATATAGATATAATGTCTATATTTCTAGATGTATATTTCTACACAGCATGGGGACCTTGCTTTCTGGGGATGAACTCTAGCTGGTACTATTTATGTTCTGTTAACTCTAAAATCTCACTGCATTCTCTTCCCTTTTTCCTAGTTGTCACCGGATTCACTGCTGATTATGGGTTCCAGGACAAATTTTGTTTGCCTCATATGTTTATTTCCCTCACACATGAAATAAACCCTGTAATATTTGCTGTCTTCTAATGTTATAGACATGGGCTACAAGTGACTTGTTTTCCTTCTGTCTTTGGTTTATAGAAAGATACACAGACAGACCGGGCATGGTGGCTTACACCTGTAATCCCAGCATTTTGGGAAGCCAAGGCAGGTGGATCCCTTGAGGTCACGGGTTCGAGACCAGCCTGCCCAACATGGTGAAACCCTGTCTCTACTAAAATACAAAAATTAGCCGGGTGTGGTGGCAGGAGCCTGTAATCTCAGCTGCTCTGGAGGCTGAGGCAGGAGACTCACTTGAACCCGGAAGGCAGAGGTTGCAGTGAGCTGAGATTGACCCACTGCACTCCAGCCTGGGTGACAGAGTGAGACTCCCTCTCAAAACAAAACAAAGAGAGAAAGATACACAGAGAGATGTGAGTTTACACAGTCACCATTATCCTATGGTTATCCTGAGGCCCACAGTGATTTTTAATTTTTTGTACTTTCGGTACTAATATTTAGTTGTAATTAATTTAAAACTAAATTCTGTCTGTGCCTTGAGAAAAGCATCTATTTATTTTCCATGAACATATTATTGATGGACTAACTCCAGTTCTTTCTAACCATGCTTGGGCCTTTCTGACTCCACATGCTTTTGATTACAAGAAATATAAAGCCAAGTCAACCCAGTTTAAACAATAGGAGAGTGTTTTATCTCACATAAGAGAAAAGCCAGAGTGGAGAGCAAGACTGAATGTTTTCAGTGACTCCACAATGTCACGAAGGACACAGCTCTTCTTACTGCTTGCTTTGCTAACTGAGGTGTTGTCTTCATCTTCAGGTGCATAGCAAGAGAGCTACGGCCATTCTAGTAACCACACCGGACACAGCAACATCCAGGGGAAAAAGCGATCTTCTCACCAAGATCTCATTTTTAAGAGTGGACGGCAAAACCATCCCCTGAAGTGCCCAGCATATTTCCCCTCAAGCAGGATCCTGTCACATGCCATTTCTTTTATTTTAATTTAATTTAATTTTTTTTTTGAGGCAGGGTTTCACTCCCATTGTCCAGGCTGGAGTGCGGTGGCGTGCTTTCAGCTCACTGCAACCTCTGCCTCCTGGGATCAAGTGATTCTCTCACCTCAGCCTCCCAAGTAACTGGGACTATAGGCATTCACCACCATGCCCAGCTAATTTTTTTTTTAGTAGGGATGGGGTTTTACCATGTTGGCCAGGCTGGTCTCAAACTCCTGACCTCAGGTGATCCACCCACCTTGGCCTCCCAAAGTGTTGGGATTACAGGCGTGAGCCACTGCGCCCCGCCCCATTTCTAAACTAGTTACTGGGAAGGGAAATGGGATCACCATGATTGGCTGACGTGAGTTGCTGGCGTGGAATGAAAGTTGGGAATCAACCACCTTGACTATTTGCCTTCTTAGTTCCTGCCCTGTTAAAAACTCCCAGGAAGCATAAAAAGAAACCTGGCTAGATCAGCAGACTATAATGCAAAATAAATATAGAAATGTTTCTTTAGAACATAAAAAACAATATTATTTTGAATTTCTCTCCTCCAGGAAATCTTAAGCATTATAAATCTCTCTGAGACACCTTGGATTTGGTGGTTGGAATCAGTAATAAAGGTGGGGATTTTGTTACTATGTTAACAAAATAAGTTATGGAAGCACAAATTCTAACTGCCTTATATTTTCCATGCCTTTCTTGGGTTGGATCATGGAAACTCTGCCTCTGATAATTTATTTTTAATCTGAAAATAGTTTAGCTAATAAAGATATTAAAATCTGTGCTGACTGATGGGCTTTGATGATTGCCAAATGGTTTATTTCTATTCAGTCCTGTTTTCAGCCTGGGTTCAGTTAGGAAAACAGAGCCACTACAAGTAATACAAGAGTGAGAGTCTAACACAGGAATGTGGGATTATCCAGCTGTGGGAGGACCCAGGGGAGTGAAGATCTGGAAGCTACAGCTGGAGAATTGAAAAAAGAGTCGTGACCCACTTTAGTCTGATGCACTGACACGAGTGGGAAACCAGGAGCTCATAGAGTACAAGAGGCTGCACACATTTAGCCACCCAAAGTGGGACAAAAACAATGAGTTCATGGGGATATTTGTGCAGCCACCATGTCTGTGAAGTGAGGCTGTGGAGAGATGTGTGAAAATGCCATATCTGAGGAACCCGCCATGCCTGATATGAACAACTTCCCAAGCATAATGTCCTCAACTTCCCTCCCACCTGCCAAATCTCTGGTGAGTTTCTCCCACTGGCAAACTATGACATGCCATCCTTCTCTGCAAAAGAGGGACACACAATTCTTTCCTTTTCTGAGTCATACTTCCCTTTGATATCCTATATAAGTTCATTCTCGCTACATAATAACTCTCTTGCTACATAATAAACAACCACAAAATCTTAGTGACATACAGCAATAAGTATTTGTTTTGGTCACATGTCAGCAGGTCAATAGGTGGTTGGCTTCTTTGGCTGGGGAATGGCTGGGAAACGTGGGTGGGCAAGCTCAGATCTATGCCTTGAATCTTTCTCTGTGATCAGAGGGCCAGTCCAGGCACGCTCTGGTGATGATGGCAGAAGAGAAAAAGAGCAAGCCAAATCATGCAAACCCTTTCCAAACCCTGGGGGCACACTGCACCCACTAATATTCCACTGATGAAAACAGGTCACAGGGAAAAGCTCAAAGTCAAGGCACAAGGAAACATGTTTTGTTCATGTAGGTGGAGCAGGAATTAATATTTCTGAACAATAATCAAATTTACCACAACCTCTCAGGTATAGTTTCTTCCAGAGTAGACAGAAAGGAGTCTATTCCATGATTAAAGAGGACAAGGCTCAGCACTGGAGCGCTAACCAGTTTCTGGACATTAAACTTAAAATGTTGTCTCTTCCAACTTGCCTTTTCCCCACTTATCATGGGTTTTCACCTTTTTTTCCCCCAAATCACAAGGCAGATAAAAACATGACAATTTTACTTCATCCTACTATTTACTTACTCATTGATAGCTACTGTATGCCAACCACTGTGCTGTGGAAGACTGGGAGGTGAGCAGTCCCTTCCCTCAAGAATCTCACTCTTTTTCAAAGGAGACAGGCAGTAAAGAGAGTAATAACACAGCATGTGTGCCGGACAGACTCCAAGATGGCCCCTAGAATCCCTGCATCCTGGTATTTACACCTGAGTGTAAACTCCTCCTTTCTGAGTGTGGATAGGACCCATGACTTCTAACCAATAAAATAGGATGCAAGTGATAAGGTCTCACTCACATGATTATGTTACATCACATATGACTCCATCTTGCTATCAGACTTGCTCTAAAGACTCTTGCTGGATAAAGTAGGAGGCCAGGCTGGGAGAGCCCATATGGCAAGGAACTGTGTGCAGCCCTCAGCAGCTGAGGGAGGCCTCCCACATATACCCAGCCAGAAGCCAGGGCCCTCATTCCTAAAGACAGAAGAAAATGGATTCTGTCGACAACCTCACTGGGCTGGGAAGCAGATTCCTCCCCCATTCAAACCACTAGGATGAGAATGCAGCCCAGCCAAAGCCTTGATTGCAGCTTTCTGAGACCTTAAGCAGAGGATTCAGCTAAGCTGTGCCTGTACTCCAGGCCCACAGAAACAGTAAAATAATAAATGTGTGTTGTTTTAAACCATTCAATGTGTGCTAATTTGTGACACAGCAATAGAAAACAAATAGAGCATGATACGGCTATGGTAGAAGTGCTATGATAACCCACAAAGAAAGTTTCCTAAAAAAGGTAATACCCGAACTGAATCTCAAAGGATGCATAGGCATTAGAAAGTAAAGAAGGGGAGAGAAGAGCATTTAGAGTAGGGGTATGAGAAAACACAGTGTACTGCTCAAATTTTTTTATGAAATGAGGTAGGGAACAAACAATCATGACCCACTAGCTTAGTGTAGCATTTAGGTTGTGAAGGGGAGAGGGAGGGAATGTCACTGCAAAGACAGAGACAAGTATTAGAGCATTAAGGATTTTCTGTGTCAAAGAGTCTAAATTTTATCCTGAAGGAAAATGGGAAACAAAGTATTTTAGACCTGGTAAAAACATAAGCAGAGCTGAGCTATAGAGACATAGCTTTGTCACCAGTCTGACAAAGCATAGACAAAAATTACTGTAATCACATCAACTTAACCAACTGATCTCTTCCACTGGTGAACATGGTGGGGATGTTGAAAGACAGAGATTGCAGAGGGGAGTAGGGAAATCATGGAGAAAGCAAAGAGCAAGGCTGGAGAAGGCAACATTTCCTACCTCACAGGTACCCTGAAATCTGGAAGAAGGGAGAGTTGAATGGAGAAGGCTGAGGCTGATAATACAGAGGAGGAAATCTGCGTGGCACACCAAACAATTAGGAGGGAGAGAGGTGGATACTGAGCAGGGAAAAGAAACTTGGAGATACGGGGGCAGGGCCCTTGGAGAATCACTGAATGAAGGTGATTGCCTGTGCCTGGCATTTATATGCTGTTATGTTTAGTGGCCAGGTGACAGGAAAAAACAGTAACTATTTTTTTTTGTACTTTTCAGTTCACAAAGAAATTGTCTATACATGGAGTCACTTAGTCATAAGAATCCTGTGAGTAAGGGCAGATTTTTAGCAACTAGGATTTGTTGAACATCTTCCACATACACAGTACTAGCTAAGGATGAAAAAAACTAAGTTCAGAGGTTGAGTGACCTTTCCATAGTAGCACAGAACTGGAATCTGAACCTAAGTTCTCTATCCCCAAATGTCATGCTTTCCCCTCTATACCAGCTGACTTCCATGGTAAGTTACCAGCTCTCCCGGCTGAAGACTCACTCTCAACCTATCCCAACAAGTAAATGGTAATTTTTAAAAGAGCACGAAAAACAACTCAGCATTGTTTCTTTCTTTTCAACCATATTGCATATACCTTTGAATATACAATGAGTTTTAGGGATCAGTTTATTAGTGCTCTGTGTGTTTTGGCTGCTTTTTCATATTTTGAAACTTAGCCTTAAAATTTCAAATTGTATATCAACCTATTAAAGGGTAGTAAGCTTGAAAATATAAGTAACTCAATTCTGTCAAAGTTCCAATTCCTATGTGACTAATTTACCAAATTAATTTGGAAAGTCAGAAAAAGTTAAAGCAACCTTAAAAGGAGAACACAAGGATTAGCCCTCATATATTCCAACTTACTTAAATGGAAAAAAGTTTAAAGTTATGCATATTATGCATAATATGTTATTTATAAAAGCAAAACAAATAGAGTGAATCGATTTACTTAGAGTTGGGCAGAGCTTAATTTCTTCCATTGAGTGAGTGACTTCATGAGGCATTCTTTTTCTAGCAAGCCAACACTTGATAACGGAATACCTAGAAAGAGAAAAAGAAAACTAAATTCCCAAATGAATTTTGGTAAGGGTATATTTACTTCTGAGAAAAATAAGTGAAACAAATGAAATGAAACATAAAAGTAGAACAATAGGCTTTGAATATGGAACCATTCTGAGTCTTGACTAATTTAATGGTAAAGTAAAATTATTTCAATATGTGCTTTCCAACAGAATAGAAGTTGGAAAAGCAAATGAATATGACATGTTTACTACTTATGTCATAGTAAAAAACATCATAGTAAAAGTAATAAAAACATCATGTGGTATAGCAAGGTATATTAGTTTCCTTGGGCCACCTTAACAAATGACCACAAACTTGGTGACTTAAAATAACAGAAATGTATTCTCTCATAGTTCTGGAAGCTAGATGTTGGGGATCAAGGTGGCAGCAGGGCCTCCCTCCCTCGGAAAGCCCTAGGGAAGAATCTTCTATTGCCTCTTCCTAGCTTCTGCTGGCTGTCAGCAATCCTTTACATTGTATGGCTTATAGCTGCATCACTCCAGTCTCTGCTTCCAATGTCACATGACCTTTTCCGTGTGGGTCTCTGTAGTTCTGCTCTCTTATAAGGACAACAGTCATTGGACTCAGGGTCCACCTAAATCTAGTATAGCCTCATCTTAACTAATTACTATTTATATCTGCAAAGACCCTATTTTGAAATAAGGTCATATGCTGAGGTTCTGGGGGGACAGGTGTTTGTTTTGTGGGGACATGATTCAACCCACTACACAGGGGAGAAATTCTATCAGAAAAATTAATGACTCATCCTGGATAAAACAACAGGCTTATGGGAGACATCAATGAGCCCAAGTCAAGCTATTAGAGCATTTCCTTGGAGAAAGAGTTTACATATGGAAATCAAAAATTTTACAAAATTTTTTTGGGGGACGACTACTTTTTGGGGTACATAATGAAAAGAAAACTTTTGGCAACAAAGTTTTCTTGAAGAAAAGTAGGTGGCATAGAAATGTTTTTGTCAAAAACAAGAAATGGGGAAAGGATTCCCTATTTAATAAATGGTGCTGGGAAAACTGGCTAGCCATATGTAGAAAGCTGAAACTGGATCCCTTCCTTACATCTTATACAAAAATTAATTCAAGATGAATTAAAGACTTAAATGTTAGACCTAAAACCATAAAAACCCTAGAAGAAAATCTAGGCAATACCATTCAGGACATAGGCATGGGCAAGGACTTCATGACTAAAACACCAAAAGCAACGGCAACAAAAGCCAAACTTGACAAATGGGATCTAATTAAACTAAAGAGCTTCTGCACAGCAAAAGAAACTACCATCAGAGTGAACAGGCAACCTACAGAATGGGAGAACATTTTTGCAACCTACCCATCTGACAAAGGGGTAATGCCCAGAATCTACAAAGAACTTAAACAAATTTATAAGAAAAAAACAAACAACCCCGTCAAAAAGTGGGCAAAGGATATGAACAGACACTTCTCAAAAGAAGACATTTATGCAGCCAACAGACACTTAAAAAAATGCTCATCATCACTGGCCATCAGAGAAATGCAAATCAAAACCACAATGAGATACCATCTCACGCCAGTTAGAATGACGATCATTAAAAAGTCAGGAAACAACAGATGTTGGAGAGGATGTGGGGAAATAGAAACGCTTTTACACTGTTGGTGGGAGTGTAAACTAGTTCAACCATTGTGGAAGACAGTGTGGCGATTCCTCAAGGATCTAGAACTAGAAATACCATTTGATCCAGCAATCCCATTACTGGGTATATACCCAAAGGATTGTAAATCATGCTACTATAAAGACACAGGCACACATATGTTTATTGTGGCACTATTCACAATAGCAAAGACTTGGAACCAACCCAAATGTCCATCTATGATAGACTGGATTAAGAAAATGTGGCACATATATACCATGGAATACTATGCAACCATAAAAAAGGATGAGTTCATGTCCTTTGCAGGGACATGGATGAAGCTGGAAACTATCATTCTGAGCAAACTGTCACAAGGACAGAAAACCAAACACTGCATGTTCTCACTCATAGCTGGGAACTGAACAATGAGAACAACTGGACACGGGGCGGGGAACATCACACAAGGGGACCTGTCTTGGGGTGGGGGGATGGGGGAGGGATAGCATTAAGAGAAATACCTAATGTAAATGACGAGTTAATGGGTGCAGCAAAACAACACGGCACATGTATACCTATGTAACAAACCTGCACGTTGTGCACATGTACACTAGAACTTAAAGTATAAAAAAAAAAGAAACGTTTTTGTCACACAAGTGTACCTCACTTATACAATACTACCAGAAAGTTCATTCATTTAATAAATATTCATTGAACACCAACCTTGTGCCAGACACTATTTTAGGAGCTAATAATATAGGAAGAACAAGACAGACAAGGTCTCTGACTTCATGGAAGAGACAAAAATGAATAAATATAAAAATCAAGATAAATCAGTAGTGATACATGCTATAGTGAAAATAAAGCCTCCAATAAAATGTGTGAAAGTAGTGAGAACAGACATCCTTGCCTTGTTCCTGACATTCAGGGCAAACATTCAGTTTTTTTAGCATTATATATGATGTTGGCTATAGTTATGGAAATAAATATGCTTTATCAGGTTGAGGAAGTTCTTTCCTATTCTTAATTTACTGAGAGTTTTTTTTTTCAATGTGTGAAAATCTCCTTTATCTTTTATTTTAAAACTCTCTCCCATCTTTGAGAGATTTTAATTTTAATTTTATTTGAAAAGTTTATTGGGGTGAAATTCACATAACATATAATTAGTCTTTTTTATCTTCAACTTTTATTTTAAGTTCAGGGGTACATGTACAAGATGTGCAGGTTTGTTACATAGGTAAACGTGTGCCATGGTGGATTACTGCACAGATCATCCCATCACCTATGTACTAAGCCCAGCATCCATTAGCTATTCTTCCTGATGCTCTCCATCCCCCAACACACCCCCCTCACCAACAGGCCTCAGTGTGTGTTGTTCCCTGTCATGTGTCCATGAGCTCTCATCATTCAGCTCCCACTTCTAGGTGAGAACATATGGTGTTTGGTTTTCTGTTCCTGTGTTAGTTTGCTGAGGATAATGGCTTCCGACTCCATCCATGACCCTGCAAAGGACATGATCTCGTTCTTTTTTGTGGCTGCATAGTATTCCATGGTGTGTATGTACCACATTTTCTTTTTCCAGTCTATCATTGAAGGGCATTTGGGTTGATTCCATGTCTTTGCTCTTGTGAATAGTGCTGCAATGAACATAGGCATGCATGTGTCCTTATAACAGAATGATTTATATTCCTTTGGGTATATACCCAGGATTTGAACTGCTGAGTCAAATAGTATTTCTGCCTCTAGGTCTTTGAGGAATCACCACACTGTCTTCCACAATGGTTGAACTAATTTACACACCCACCAACAGTGTAAAAGTGTTCCTTTTTTTCTGCAAACTTGCCAGCATCTGTTGTTTTTTGACTTTTTAATAATCGCCATTCTGACTGGCATGAGCTGTGGTTTTGATTATCTCATTGTGGTTTTGATTTACATTTCTCTAATGATCAGTCAAGTTGAGCTTTTTTCCATATGTTTGTTGGCTGCATGTATATCTTCTTTTGAGAAGCTTCTGTTCATGTCCTTTGCCCATTTTTTAATGGTTTTTTTTTTCCTGTAAATTTGTTTAAGTCCCTTGTAGATGCTGGATAGACATCAGATGGATAGATGGCAAAATTTTTCTCCCTTTCTTTAGGTTGTCTGTTCACTCTGATGGTAGTTTCCTTTGCTGTGCAGAAGCTCTTTCATTAGATCCCATTTGTCAATTTTTGTTTTTGTTGCAATTGCTTTTGGCATTTTCATCATGAAATCTTTGCCCGTGCCTATGTCCTGAATGGTATTGCCTAGATTTTCATCTAGGGTTTTTATAGTTTTGGGTTTTACATTTAAGTCTCTAATCCATCTTGAGCTAATTTTTGTGTAAGGTGGAAGGAAGGGGTCCACTTTCAATTTTCTGCATATGGCTAGCTAGTTTTCCCAGCACCATTTATTAAATAGGGAATTCTTTCCCCATTGCTTGTTTTTGTCAGGTTTGTTGAAGATCAGACAGTTGTAGGTGTGTGGTCTTATTTCTGAGTTCTCTATTCTGTTCCATTGGTCTATGTCTCTGTTCTTGTACTAGTATCATGCTGTTTTGGTTACAGTAACCTTGCAGTGTAGTTTGAAGTTGGGTAGCATGATGCCTCCAGCTTTGTTCTTTTTGCTTAGGATTGTCTTGGCTACTTGGGTTCTTTTTTGGTCCATACATATTTTAAAATAGTTTCTTCTAATTCTGTGAAGAATGTCAATGGTAGTTTAATGGGAATAGCATTGAATCTATAAATCACTTTGGGCAGTATGGCCATTTTCACAATATTGATTCTGTCTATCCATGAGCATGGAATGTTTTTCCATTTGTTTGTGTCCTCTGATTTTTTTGAACAGTGGTTTGTGGTTCTCTGTGAAGAGGTCCTTCACTTCCCTTGTTAGCTGTATTCCTAGTATTTTATTCTTTTTGTAGCAATTGTGAATGGGAGTTCATTCATGATTTGACTCTCTGCTTGCCTGTTGATTGGTGTATAGGAATAATAGCAATTTTTGCACATTGATTTTGTATCCTGAGACTTCGCTGAAGTTGCTTATCAGCTTAAGAAGCTTTTGGGCTGAGACCATGGGGTTTTCTAGACATAGGATCATGGTATCGGCAAACAAAGATAATTTGAAGATAACTCCCTCTCTTCCTATTTGAATACCCTTTATTTCTTTCTCTTGCCTAATTGCCCTGGCCAGAACTTCCAATACTATGTTGAATAGGAGCGGTGAGAGAGGGCATCCTTGTCTTGTGATGGTTTTCAAGGGGAATGCTTCCAGCTTTTGCCTATTCAGTAGTTCTGTTTATGTGATGAATCACATTTATTGATTTGTGTATGTTGAGCCAACCTTGCACCCTAAGGATGAAGCCAACTTGATTGTGGTGGATAAGTTTTTTGATGTGCTGCTAGATTCAGTTGGCCAGTATTTTATTGAGGATTTTTGCATCAATGTTCATCAGGGACATTGGCCTGAAGTTTTCTTGTTTCTTGTTGTATCTCTGCCAGGTTTTGGTATCAGGATGATGCTGACTTCATAAAATGAGTTAAGGAGGAGTCTCTTCTTTTCAATTTTTTTTGGAATAGTTTCAGTAGAAATGGTACCAGCTCTTCTCTGTACCTCTGGTAGAATTCAGCTGTGAATCTGTCTGGTTCTGAGCTTTTTTTTTGGTTGGTAGGCTATTATTGCCTCAATTTCAGAACTCATTATTGGTCAATTCAGGGATTCGATTTCTTCCCGGTTCAGTCTTGGGAAGGTGTGTGTGTCCAGAAATTTATCCATTTCTTCTAGATTTTCCAGTTTATGTGCACAGGGGTGTTTATAGTATTCTCTGGTTGTTGTTTGTATTTCTGTGGGGTCAGTGGTGATATCTCCCTTATCATTTCTGACTGTGTTTATTTGATTCTACTCTCTTTTCTTCTTTATTAATCTAGCTAGTGGTCTATTTTATTAATTTTTTTTCAAAAACACAGCTCCTGAATTTGTTGATTTTTTAAGGGTTTTTTGTGTCTCTATCTCATTCAGTTCCACTCTGATCTTGGTTATTTCTTGTCTTCTATTAGCTTTGGGGTTTGTTTGCTCTTGGTTCTCTAGTTCTTTTAGTTGTGATGTTAGATTGTTAACAAGATCTTTCTAGCTTTTTGATGTGGGCATTTAGTGCTATAAATTTCCCTCTCAACACCACTTTAGCTGTATCCCAGAGACTCTGGTACATCATCTCTTGGTTCTTATTTCTTTCAAGTAACTTCTTGATTTCTCCCTTAATTTCTTTATTTACCCAGGAGTCATTCAAGAGCATGTTGTTCAATTTCAGGAGCAGGTTGCTCAATTTCCATTTAGTTGTATAATTTTGAGTGAATTTCTTAATCTTGAGTTCTAATTTGATTGTGCTGTGGTCTGAAAGTCTGTTATGACTTCAGTTCTTTTGCATTTGCTGAGTGTTTTACTTCTGATTATGCAATGAATTTTAAAGTAAGTGCTGTGTGGCAATGAGAACAATGTATATTTTGTTGTTTTTGGGTGGAGAGTTGTGTAGATATCTATTAGGTCCACCTGACCCAGAGCTGAATTCAGGTATTGAATATGTTTGTTATTTTTCTGTCTTGATGATATGTCTAATATTGCCAGTGGGGTGTTAAAGTCTCCCACTATTACTGTGTGGGAGTCTAAGTCTCTTTGTAGGCCTCTAAGAACTTGCTTTATGAATCTTGGTGCTCCTGTATTAGGTGGATATATATTTAGGATAATTAGCTCTTGTTGTCAAATTGAACCCTTTACCATTGTGTAATGCCCTTCTTTGTCTTTTGATCTTTGTTGGTTTAAAGTCTGTTTTCAGAAACTAGGATTGCAACCCCTGCCTTTTTCTGTTTTCCATTTGCTTGGTAAATTTTCCTCCATCCCTTTATTTTGAGCCTATGTGTATCCGTACATGTGAGATGGGTCTCTCGAAGACAGCATACCAATGGGTCTTGGCTCCTTATTCAGCTTGCCACTCTATGTCTTCTATTTGGGGCGTTTAGCACATTTGCATTTAAGATTAGTATTGTTATGTGTGATTTTGATCCTGTCATCATGATGCTAGCTGGTTATTTTGCAGACTTGTTTATGTGGTTGCTTCATAGTGTCACTGGTCTGTGTACTTCAGTATGTTTTTGTAGTGGCTGGTAATGATTTTTCCTTTCCATATTTAGTGCTTTCTTCAGGAGTTCTTGCAAGGCAGGCCTGGTGGTGATGAATTCCCTCAGCATTTGCTTTTCTGAAAAGGATCTTGTTTCTCCTTCACTTACGAAGGTTAGTTTAGGCAGATATGAAATTCTGGGTTGGAAATTCTTTTCTTTAAAAATGTTGAATATTGGTCCCCAATCTCTTCCAGTTTGTAGGGTTTCTGCTGAGAGGTCCACTGTTAGTCTGATGGGCTTCCCTACAGGTGCCTTGGCCTTTCTCTCTGTCTTCCCTGAACATTTTTTCCTTCATTTCGACCTTGGAGAATCTGATGATTATGTGTCTTGGGGTTGATCTTCCTGTGGAGTATCTTACTGGGGTTCTCTGGATTTCCTGAATTTGAATATTTGCCTGTCTTGCCAGGTTGGGGAAATTCTCCTGGATGATATCCTGAAGTATGTTTTCCAACTTGCTTCCATTCTCCTCATCTCTTTCAGTTACCCCAATCAGTTGTAGGTTTGGTGTCCCTACATAATCCCATATATCTCAGAGTTTTTGTTCATTCCTTTTTGTTCTTTTTTCTCTATTCTTATCTGCCTATCTTATTTCAGAAAGATAGACTTCAAGCTCTGAAATTCTACCCTCCACTTGATCTATTCTGCTATTGATACTTGTGATTGCGTTGTGAAGTTCTAAAGTTGTGTTTTTCAGCTCCATCAGGTTGTTTATGTTCCTCTCTAAACTGGATATTCTGGTTATCATCTTCTGTATTGTTTTATCATGATTCTCAGCTTCTTTGCGTTGGTTTACAACCTGTTCCTTTAGCTCAGTGAAGTTTGTTATAACCCACCTTCTGAAGCCTACTTCTGTCAATTCAACCATCTCAGCCTCAGCCCAGTTCTGTACCCTTGCTGGAAAGGTGTTGCAGTCATTTGGAGGAGAATAGACATGCTGGCTTTTTGAGTTTTCAGCATTTTTGTATTGACTTTTTCTCATCTTTATGGGCTCATCTACCTTTAATCTTTGAGGTTGCTGACCTTTGAATGAGGTTTTTGTGGGGTCTTTGTTGTTGTTGTTGTTTTCTGTTTGTTTGTTTTTCTTTTAACAGGTAGGCCACTGACTGTTAGCAAATGTAGGGCTGCTATGGTTTGCTGGGGGTCCACTCCAGAACCTAGTTGCCTCTGCTTTTCCTGTACTTGGAAGTATCACCAGTGCGGGCTGCAAAACAGCAAAGATGGCAGCCTGTTCCTTTCTCTGGAAGCTCCATCCTAGAGGGATACTGACCTATTGCTGTCCCAAACACTCCTGTAGGAGGTGACTGGAGACCCCTATTGGAAGGTCTCTCCCAGTCAGGAGGAACAGGATCAAGGACCCACTTATAGAAGCCATCTGGCTGCTTTTTAGTAGAGAAGATGTGCTGCATTGAGGGGGACCCTTCCTCGTCCAGACCACCTGGCCTCTCCAGAGCCAGCAGGCTGGAACAACTGAGTCAACTGAACCACAGAGATGGTGGCCACCCCTCCCCTCAGGAGCTCCATCCCAGGGTGAGATCAGAGTTCTGTCCATATAAGCCTGGCTAGAGTGACTGAAGGCCCCCTACAGGAGGTAGTGAAAAGGAATGGACTGGGATCTCGCTTAAAGAAGCAGTCTGGGCACAGTCTGGCAAAGCAGGTGTGTTGTGTTGGTGGGGAGACCCCTCCTCGTCTGGAATGCCTGGACTCTCCAGAGCTGGCAGGCTGGAATGCTGAGTCAACAGAACTGCAGAAATGGTGACCACATTTTCCCCCAGGAACTCCCTTCTGTCTTAAGCAGACTCAGCCTATTGCTGCTGGTTGGCTGGAGCTCCAAGCTAGCGGGCCCCAACTTGTGAGGTGCTGTGAAAGTGGGACCCTCAGGATGGTGCTGCTTGGCTCTCTGGATTCAGCCCCCTTCCTAGGGGAATGTATGGGTGGATCTGGTGCCTCACTGGAGGATTTTAGGACCAGATTATGTAAAACACCTGAGTCTCTGCTAAGATTACACACAGCTCTGTATATTGGACCCAAGGCCCTGGTAGCAGGGGCTCATGAGGGGATCTCCTGATCCACGAGTTGCAAAGATCCGTGGGAGAAGCATGGTTTCCTGGGCAGGGTCACACACTCACTCACTGCCTCCCTTGTCTTGGGGTGGGGATTTTGTTGGCGTCATGCTGCTCCTGGGTGGGCTCTCACCTCACCCTGCTTTTCTTTGCTCTCCATGGGTTGAACTGATTGCCTAGTCAGTCCCAATGTGAGAACCTGGATACTTCACTTGAACATGCCAAATTCACTCCCTGTTCTGAGTTTTCTCTTTTTTAAATCAGAAATGGATACAGAATTTCTTTTCATCTATTGAGAGGATCATATAGTTCTTCTTTCTTATACTAATTTACATTATTCGAAATTTTCAAATGTTAAACCAATGTTACATTTCTAGTATAAACTCCATATAGTCATGATGAATTATCATAATTATTTACAATTATTTATCATAATTAATCCTGACCAAGTATAGTTTATATCAGGAATGTAACCTTGATTTAACATTCAAAAAAACTAACACATTTTAAAACTATATTATATATGTTATATATATATTTAGATTAAATATACTAAAATTTTTGCATCTGTGTCTGTGAGGCATATTTATCTGTAGTTTTCTTTTTTTGGGGGGGCGGGGAAGGATTCCCTATTTATTGATTTATTTATTTTTTATTATACTTTAAGTTTTAGGGTACATGTGCACAACCTGCAGGTTGGTTACATATGTATACATGTGCCATGTTGGTGTGCTGCACCCATTAACTCGTCATTTAACATTAGGTGTATCTCCTAATGCTATACCTCCCCCCTCCCCCCACCCCACGACAGGCCTTGGTGTGTGATGTTCCCCTTCCTGTGTCCATGTGTTCTCATTGTTCAATTCCCACCTATGAGTGAGAACATATGGTGTTTGGTTTTTTGTCCTTGCAATAGTTTGCTGAGAATGATGGTTTCCAGCTTCATCCATGTCCCTACAAAGGACATGAACTCATCATTTTTTATGGCTGCATAGTATTCCATGGTGTATATGTGCCACATTTTCTTAATCCAGTCTATCATTGTTGGACATTTGGCTTGGTTCCAAGTCTTGGCTATTGTGAATAGTGCCACACTAAACATATGTGTGCATGTGTCTTTATAGCAGCATGATTTATAATCCTTTGGGTATATACCCGGTAATGGGATGGCTGGGCCAAATGGTATTTCCAGTTCTTGATTTGTAGTTTTCGTATACTGTCTTTGGTTTTGTTATTGAGGTAATGCTGACCCTGTAACGTGCTGGGAAGTGTTTCCTTCTTTTTTCTGAGTTTGTGTATATTCATGTTTTCCTTAAATGTGTGGGAAAATTCTCCAGTGAAGCCATCTGGGTTTAAAGTTGTCTTTGTGTGAAGGCTTTTAACTATAAATTCCTTTATTAGATACAGGATTACTCAGGTTGTTCATTTCTTTTTAAGTGAGGCTTGGTAGATGTTGCCTTTCAAGAAATGTGTTCATTTCAACTATGTGGTTGGATTTATTGGTCAAAAAACGTTTTTATTTTACCTTCATTTTAGAGAGAGCTTTTCACTGGTTATAAAATTCTATGTTTAATAATTTCTTTCAAGCACTCTGAAGTTGTCATTTATTATATTTTGACTTGCAAGGCTTCTGACATGAAGTTTTTGGCTATTCTTATCGTTGCTCCTTTATGTGTAACATGTGGGGTTTCTTTTTCTCCTTTGCTACTTTTAAGATTTTTCTCTTCATTTCTGAGTTTCAACAATTTGATTATGATGTGCTTTGGTATGGCTTCTTTATATTTCTGTTTCTTGGGATTCATTGAACTTCTTGGTCTGTGAATTTGCAGACTTCATCAAATTGGGAAAATTTTCAGTCATAATTATTTCTTCAAATATTTTTTCTCTCCCTTCCTCTGGAACACCATTTATATGTATCTTCTACCACTTGATATTGTCCCACAGCTCACTGAGGCTCTTTCGTTTCTTTTCAGTCTTTTTTTCTATCTTTTTTTAAAGAGATTATATTGCTACACTTTCAAGTTCATGGGTCATTTCTTCTGCAGTGTCTAACTTGCTGTTCTTCCCATTAAGTATATATATTTTTAAATATTTGATTTATTTTTATCTCTAGATATTCCACTGGTATATCTTCCATTTCTTTCATCATATTCATGTTTTTCTTTAGATAATTCAGTATATTTTATAAGATGTATAGTAGCTGCTTTAAAGTCTGTATCTGTTAATTCTATCCTCTCTATCACTTATGGATCTATTTGTATTGATGTAATTTCTTTTGGTTGTGGGTCATATTTTTCTGCTTATTTGTATGACTGGTGATTTTTTTTTTTTTTTTTTTTTGAGACAGAGTCTCACTCTGTCACCCAGGCTGGAGTGCAATGGCATGATCTCGGCTCACTGCAACCTCCGCCTCCCAGGTTCAAGCGATTCTCCTGCTTCAGCCTCCTGAGTAGCTAGGATTACAGGTGCCCACCACTGCGCCTGGCTAATTTTTTGTATTTTTAATAGAGACAGGGTTTTGCCATGTTGGCCAGGCTGGTTTCAAACTCCTGACCTCAGGTGATCTGTCCGCCTTGTCCTCCCAAAGTGCTGGGATAACTAACAGGCGTGAGCCACCGCGCCTGGCTGACTGGTGATTTTTCAATGGGTTGCTGGACATTGTAAATTTTAGGTTATTAGGTGCTAAATTTTGTTATGTTTCTTTAAATCTGATTGTTCTTCATTCTGGCTCACAGTTCAGTTTTTTGTGAAAATCAGTTTGATACCTAATATGGCCCCACTATAAAGCACAGCTCTTCTAAATTTTAGTCAATGTCTGTTAAATTATAGTGTCTCTCCACTCTAGCTGGCAGGATTTCCAGCTCTTTGTGAGGCTTGTGTAAGTTTAAAAAAACCGTTAGGATTTTATTTTCCTCAGGGCAAATATGACTTTAGAAAACAACATAACTTGATTTATACCTTTTCTTCCCTATTGACAAATCTTTGTCTTCAAAAAATTGTATAAGCAGTATTTCCTTCTTTATTCAACCATTTGCCTTTATATAATTAAAATGACAAACTATAAAAACAAAAATTTTTAATGTCACTAAAATATGCAAATCAAATGACTGTGAAGTAAAATGTCATAATATTAAGTAAAAAAAAAAAACAAGTAAAATGAAAAACCCTAATGCTTGTTCATTTTTAAGTTTCTCACATAGATTGGGGCACCACAAATTGTAACATGTTCTTGAAAAGGAGCTTTACATGTATAATAAGAAGAATAAAACTTACTGTATCCTTCCATTAGTAATTTGACTTTTGGTAACATTTTCTAAAGGAACTTTTTTGCTTCCTTCTCATTCCTGCCTTCTTCTGATAAAATGCAATCTCATATGACTCTGGGGAATATAGCCCTTCCCGCCTCAACCCTGCTCAGACAGAGAACCTGAGCAGGACCTAAGCCAACCCATGTATCGTATTTCTCTGGTCACAGGGAGGGGGACTGAGGGGAGAGAAAGAGGGACAGGAGAGGGAGCAAGGCCGTAGAGGGAGAGCGAACCCATTAAAATGTGGGAGCAGAACACCAAAGAAGGAGTTCTCCTAGGAAAAAAAATCATATGTATTTGTGACTCATATTAAAACTGTCTTAGTTCGTTTAGTGTTGCTACAAATACCTGGGAGTGGGTAATTTATAAGGAAAACAGGTTTATTTAGCTCACAATTCTGCTGGCTGGAAGACTGGGCATCTGGTGAAAGCTGTTTCCACTCATGGCAGAGGTAAAGGGGAGCCGGTGTGTGCAGAGGTCACAGGCGAGAGAGGAGGCAAGAGAGGGAGGGGAAATGTCAAGCTAATTTTTTTTTTTTTTTTTTTGTGAGACAGGTCTTGCTCTGTCACCCAGGCTGGAGTGCAGTGGCACAACCATGGTTCACTGCAGCCTCGACCTACTGGGCTCAAATGTTCCTCTCACCTCAGCCTCCCACTTAGCTAGGACCACAGGCATGTGCCATTATGCCTGGCTAAGTTTTTAATTTTTTGTAGAGATGAGGTCTCACTATATTGCTCAGGCTGGTCTCAAATACTGGCTTCAAGCATTCTTCTTGCCTTGGCCTCCCAAAGTGCTGGGATTACAGGCTTGAGCCTCCATTCCCAGCTGCCAAGCTCTTTTTAACAACTAGCACTCCCGGGAACTAATGGAGAACTTACTTATCCGCCATACTCCTCCACCCTCCTTCCCTGCCCAAGGGAAGGCATTAGTCTCTTCATAAGGGATCTGCCCCCATGACCCAAACACCTCCTATTTTCCAACACTGGGATCAAATATCAACATAAGATTTGGGGAACATCTAAACTAGCACCATATATGTTTGTGACTCATATTAAAATTCCGCTTTTTCAGGAGAGAGGAAGGGAGAAGCCCTAAGCCATGGTGTTTATAGTAGGGGTGGTTCCACTGGATTTTGTGCTACAACCAGAAATCCATGGTAACTTTTTGAGGCTACATTGGAGAGAGAAATTGATGGAATGAATTATATCCATAAGAGGGAACCAATAAAGAATACTGAATTCATAAAAATCAGCTGAAAGAACGGAGTGTGTTTATTCTAAAAAAGAGATGTAAGAGGAGGTAGGAGAAAGACATAACTATCTTCTGAGACTTCAAGGGCAATTTCACAAAGCAGAAATGGCCTTATTTGTGTTGTTTCCAAAGACAAGTGGCAATAGTTTCTTTTCTGCCCTAATAGCCTCCTTTGAATCCTGCCTTCCACCAATCCCCAAGGCCATCCCCAGGTCCTCAGTGTCTGACATGGTGCCTGCTTGATTTAAGGAAAAAAGCGTGGCTTGTGGTATCTGGCAGGCCTGCATTTGAATTTCAGCTTTGTTACTAAGTATATAACCTTAGGGAATTTTCTTTAACCTTTTCTGCACATCTTCTTTATGAAATGGAGCTAATTTCCCATTTCTGGAATGGTTGACTATCAAAAGGTGTTAGATACAAGCTAGAACTGAAGAAGATTAGAGCTATTTAATGCTTCTTGAATTACCAAGCTTCCTATCTCTAAAAACATCCAAGCAGAGACTAAATAGTTGCTTGGCAAAAGTCATTTTTTCCTAAAGGATTTTCCTCCCTTTGTTTATAATTTTTCCCACGTGTGTATTTAAAAATACAGGCAGTGTCCATTCTAATGCTAATTCACTTGTTAACCACAAGATGGCAGTCAAGGTTTAATTTTAGGGAATAAAGCTAGCACTCCTTAAAAAATGCATTAAATACATAATTAAGTAAACTTATAAAAAACATGTTTAAATTCAATAACCCTGAAAGGACAACACGAACATATATTAAAAGAATCTACTCAGCATGAACGTTTTCCATATAAAGGGGATCAAACATAGGTATACCAAAAGAAAGATTACTTATCTTTTGTGAGTTAAAACATGCTCACAAAATCAGACACCAAAGAAATGTAGAAAAAATATGTATTAGTCTCTTAATTTAAAAGACAGGACAACTAAGTCCAGAGTGGGATTTACAGATATAAGAAAGTTTTTTTATTGGTATTTGATATTGCACAGATGTTCTTTTTTTACATATAAGAAAAAAAAGAACTAACATTGTTTAATAATAGAATTTAATATTGAGAAAAAACACAACTTTTTCACAAAATGTACACTTGATTGTGCTTGCGATTGGATAGGCAATATTTTTACACTTACCTGAACAATTTAAACTTTTATTAAGTACATATTAGTAGGCAAGAAAGAAACAGTTTAGTTTTAATTTGCAAATAAAATTTATGTTTATCAGTAACCTCAGGAAAACTCGCTAATCTCTGTGCCTCCATTTCTCTCACTGGTAAACTAGAGATAATATCCATCTCCACCTTTACGGAATGTCTGGGGCGTCAGGGGTTGGGGGATGGGTCTTAGGAGCGGTTATCCATTGAAAAGGAGGTTAGGAATCAGGTCTTGGGCTGTCAACAAGGCAAGCAAAGTGGTCTGACTTGGAGTACAGGTTGATTTGTTGTGGCTTTGAAGGAGGCTGATGGGTATTATTGTGGGTTACACTTACACGTGTGACTGTCAACTCCACAGGATGGCCAACATGAATTAGGAAATGAAGGGAGAACGCCGGGCATACAGGAAGTACTCAGCCATGTTAGTTCCGGTTCCCTCTATACCTACTCGGTATAAACAAGAAGCAATATTCTTTTCTAAAGCTACACCGAATGTAAACCACCACCAGGACTGATAAGTTTTATTTAGACAACTTGCTAGCTGCCAAAGCTTAGAATACTGATAAAGATTTTTCTGTTGTCACAGAAGCAATCATTAGCTAGAGTATGGCACAAACATAGTTTTATATGTGCACAACCAAGAACACTCGAAAGAACAGCTTTCATTGCTTTCTGATTTTATATCTTTTACTATTTCTCTGGAGAACTTAAATACAAACTACTGATTAGATTACAGATTCGTATCCTTTAACGGAAAGAAAGCACTTTCATGAATACAAAAGACACTCAAGCCAATAGGAAAGAAAAAAGGCTTTAGAAAGGAACACCAAACCAAATAATTGATTAATGAATATTTATGAGCTGCTTATAATGACAATGTTTCTATTAATAGTAACAAAGACTTGCCAAATTAGAGATTTTGCATAAAATATTCATGAAAGCCATTTACATTTCCAGTTTTCAATCACTGTTTCCAACTACACCTTAGAACTCCCAAAATAGAATCCTAAATCTTTACATTAGAATGAACCTTAAAAGTTTGCAACTCAATTTTATTTTTCTAAAATGAACTTTCTTCACATTTAATCCTAATACTAATTGAGAAAACAGGGTGAGGATGCGTTTTTCAACTAACATTAATTGAGTGCCTACTATTTGCCAGGCACCATGCTAGGTACAGAGAATGCAAAGGGACACAAACATCCCTGCCCTGGTCCCTCTTCATGAACAGATGAATTTCCACATCACACATGCTGAAAGACATGGGAACAGAGAATATGGAGAGAGAGGATGGGGTAACTGTGAATGCCTGAGCTTGTCAGTGACTGTCTCTACAAAAAGACATTTGGGCCAGCTCTTCACAACATCTTTGTGAAGCACTTCACCAGGCAGAAGAAATGATGGAGGTGGAGTAGAGAAGGAAAAGGAACCAGAGGCATATAGGAACTACAATAAATGTAGTTATGATAGGTGTTGTTTTCTAACCTGAGAAAAGACAAATTTTACATGTTTCCAACAGATTGTTTTTATTCTCTGAAAAGTAGGGTGGCATGAACTTTCATCTCCTCCTCTCCCCAGGAACTAAAATTTATTGAATGCCTATGTGTGATGCTATATTAATTTTTATTTTATATATGTAACAGATATATAATATACACATTTTTATATAATTTTTATTTATATCTCGAATGAAATCATATATATAAAATAATAAGCGTCAAATGCAAAACAACTTTGCAAGATAGGTAAGGTTATCTCCATTTAACAGATAAAAAAACAAGTTCAGAGTGGTTAAGAATTTCTCCAACATCTGTTTGACTCTGAAGCTCATGCTCTTCCCCTATGCTGCTTCCAAAGAAAGATTTTTCATCTGCAAATTGAATGAGGGCCACAGTAAAGTTTTAAAAGCATGAATAATAGCGAACTTTATGAGTGCTTGCCATGCACCAGATACTGTTTGAAGCATTTTACATATATTAATTTATTTAATCCTCACACCTTCCCTGGGAGGTAGGTACACTTATTACTGCCACTTAACAGATAAATCTGAGGCACAAAAAAAATCAGTGACCTTGCTCAAGGTCACAGAGCTGGTAATTGGCAGAGCCAGAATTCAAATCCAGACAGTCTGGCTCCAGTGCCCCTGCGCTTAAGAGCTCCACATTCCACTTTTTAACTGACAAAATCCTAGCTCTACACCAGCAGCAAAGACCTTGCTGATCCGAGGCAGAAGGTACAACGTGGTAAGGAGGTCTTAGGTCCCCAAATAATAGTGAGAAAAAAGAATTCAGTGTGGCTTAAGAATAAGGTATTGATTGATGAGGGGAGGGAAGGAAGTAGCAGGAGAGACAGGTTTCTCTTTTTCTTCAATGCTATGCAAATACAGGGTTCTCAATTTACATTTCCTGTTTTTTTGAAACAGGAAATTTCAGCGTAAGGAAAGCATTTTCGAATATTAAAAACTGAGAGATGCTTAATATGGCATGCACAATATAGACCAATTACTCATGTGCATAGATCCCCAAACATTTTCTACTTGATTCTCTATGAATTGTCCTCTTTATCATACCCCATGTATTTTGATGAACACAAGACTTTTGATAATTATTTGAAGAGAAGTTGAATTTTGCCATTCTTTAGATTTTTTAGATTTTACTATACCTCTAACATTTGCATAGTCAATATTTATGCCACAATAAAATGCAGATAAATATAATATCTTTTTAAAACTGCATTTAAATAGTGGAGTTTTTGACTAATCAACACCAGCGTTTTGAAGCAGCAAATATCACTTGATCTAAATATATTCTCATCAACCACCAGATGGCATAAGGTGTGAGGGTTTTATTCTGACAGGGTCACTATGCACATGATAATTTGACCTGTAACTTTGAAATAATGTATTTGGAAAAATGTTCCAGCACTCAAACAGCTCACAATTATTTTAGCCATATGTAGAAGTGGATGGATAAATTGAAAATGACACGGTTCTACTTTTTCTAAATTTTTGGGTTCTGCAGGATGTTGGCATTACATAATGAATCGATGATCAAACAAATAAAACAGTTCTGTTAAAGGAAATAAAAAAGGAAGTCACGTCAAAGAAAAATTAACCTTATATTCTAAGTAGGTTTCTTCAACTCTAAAAGAAACTTAAAACATGCCTTCAGGAAAAAAACATGCTTATACTCCTTCAAATTTTGCTGGATAAAAAACTTTCTACTTCCTGTAATTTATCCTGAAAGCAGAAAAGTATATCAAATGCAAAAGCTTTTCTCTACTTTAGCTTGAAAGAAAGTTGTTACAGAATCAACAGAAGAAAGAAAATCCAACTGAAAAACTCAGTCTGAACTATATGATGTTAAAGGATAGGGAATTACATTTTAATATACTCAATTTAAAAAAATATATTCAATTCCTCAGTTGCTTCAGAAATTCAAAATACAGCACGTTATCTTTATTCATCGTGTATTTCCATCTAGAAAAGAGGGCACTTGGTTAACAGTAAACTGAAGAGCTAAAAATTGAGATAAATGAGATAAACACAAAAAATAGGATCTTTAATTCCCCTACCTTTATGGTCACACACTCAGAGTACCTTGGAATGAGCACACCAGAAAAAATGACTAGCACAACACAGCCAATACCACAGAACTGAAATGGCATCTTTGTTGTAACATGATGAAGCAGAAAAACTGCCTTCAGGGGTCAAAAGACCAAAGATGAGATTAAGGTTCCTTCCTTAATGTGGTCTAAGAGTCAATGATTTCTAAAGATATAATAATTTATGTTTGTATTTTACTATATCCTTCTTCATTAGATTTAATATATTTGGTCTTGAATGAGAAATCTGTGGGAGAAGAAACAATGTTTGGAGCTACAAAAAGGATGAAAAGCTAATTGATGATATATAGTTTTTTGCTTTTCTTTTTTTTAAAAAAAAAGCTATTTCTAAGTCACATGTTGATAAGGATGATGGAAATGAGAGTAAGAGAAATAATGGGAAGGATATTACGAGATTTCTTCACTGCAGATCATGTCCTATCTCCATCTTTGGCAGCAAATATGTAGCAAAGATATTTCCTACCTGGGTTCATATGAAAGCAAGAAATGATCATTTCTTTTATTCTTGTTCTTATACTGAGAAAAGGGTATAAGTTGTTATTTCCAAGGGTTTCTTCTGTTATTTCCAAGTTGGATAGTAGAAAGTGGAATAATAGACAATTCAAGTTAATGTACACATTCAAGGCACTTCATATTTCTTACTTTAAATTCCATTCTTTCTGATGCTGTAGATCCATTTTCTTCCATTTGTAATACTGTCCAATGAAATTTGGAACTTTGAGCACTGAAATTAGAATATTAAAAAAAGAAGCTATACATACATTCTTTAATAATAGTTAATAGTTAAAAGTTAAAAATCATTCACTTCTCATTAACTTGATATGTGGCAATAACATGCACTATATAATTCAAGTCATATTACAATCCTTAGAAACTTTCCAAATTACTTGCTTTTATTGGAACATCATAATATTAGATATTGTTTGAAATAGATTATGACTTGGAAGTTATTTTCATTATAATGAAAAACATTATATATCCTTTATCATGTTAAATAAAATTTATAGGAGACCATTGTTTTGGACTGAGCACCTACCTTAGGCATTAACAGACCAAACAAAATGGAGTTACTCATGCTAAGTGTCATGCAATAAAACTGAAACTTTAAGGAAGCAGGACAATCTTAAGCAGATCAGTTTTTTCAAAAGAAGAGATTCACAGCCACCAGTCAGAAGGGGCCCAGTCAACTTGAAGTGGCATGATAAGGAAGTCCCTGTGCTTTAACCCTTACAAGGAAAGTAACTGAAGTGCCTTATGTTAACCAATCCAATTTTTGTATTATTCTGTTTTCTTATTCCTGCTCTAGTTACCTTATAAAAACTAACTGTTCTGCTATGCTCAGTAGATCACTTATCTGTTTTTAAGATGAGATGCTGCCTGATTCATGAATCACTAATGCAAGCCAATTAGATCTTTAAATTTATTGAAATATAGCCTGGCCAATGTGGTGAAACCCCATCTCCACTAAAAATACAAAAATTAGCCAGGCGTGGTGGGACACACCCGTAATCCCAGCTACTCAGTAGTCAGAGGTTGCAGTGAGCTGAGATTGCGCCACTGCACTCCAGCCTGTGTGACAGAGTGAGACCCTGTCTCAAAAATAAATAAATAAAAATTTAAAAAGAGAAATTTTGTTTTGAGCAACAATAATGAAGAAAGTATTAAAATAACTCATATAAAACCAAGACATCATAGTTTAACAAAATTCTAATTCAGCACTTCAAGTAGAAAATTAGAATTTTGAAGTTGGAAATGACATTAAAGACCTTGCTTGATCCTTCACAAAGCAAGAATCTCCAACAGATGATCATCCAGGTTCTGAATGAATTACTTGCAAACTACAGAAAACACACCACTTTGTAGTTGGGAGACTGCCCATTCCATTGGCAGATAAGGGTTACAATGTCCTTCCTTAATCTGACTGCTGTGAGTTTCCACTGGTCTTAGTTCTAACCTCTGGAGCAATACTAAGTTCATCCCTCTCCCACAAGAGAGAGCCCTCTAATAGCTCACAGGGAAGCCTCAGTTCTTTTAACTTGTTCTTAGGATATGATTTTCTAGAAACTTAACCATCCTTAATGCCCTGGTGATAAACTCTTTTGATGTTCCTATTAAAGTTAGTGTCCCAAACTGGATCAGGACCTTGAATTGGTTTGAAGCAAAGATGCAAATGGGCTTACTACCTCCCTTGCTCTGTGGACTATCAATTCAGCTCAGACCTGCATTAGTATTTTCTGGAACTCATATTACATCACCACTGGCTCTTAAGTTTGTGGTTAATTACAAGCCTATACCTTCAATCAAATTCATATAAGATTTATTAAAAACCTACTATGATTAACAACAGGTGCTGGAGAGGATGTGGAGAAATAGGAACACTTTTACACTGTTGGTGGGACTGTAAACTAGTTCAACCATTGTGGAAAACAGTGTGGTGATTCCTCAAGGGTCTAGAACTAGAAATACCACTTGACCCAGCCATCCCATTACTGGGTGTATACCCCAAAGGATTATAAATCATGCTGCTATAAAGACACATGCACACGTATGTTTACTGTGGCACTATTCACAATAGCCAAGACTTGGAACCAACCCAAATGTCCACCAATGATAGACTGGATTAAGAAAATGTGACACATATACACCATGGAATACTATGCAGCCATAAAAAATGATGAGTTCATGTACTTTGTAGGGACACGGATGAAGCTGGAAACCATCATTCTCAGCAAACTATCACAAGGACAGAAAACCAAACACCGCATGTTCTCACTTACAGGTGGGAATTGAACAATGAGAACACTTGGACACAGGAAGGGGAACATCACACACCAAGGCCTGTCGTGGGGTGGGGGGAGGGGGGAGGGATAGCATTAGGAGATATACCTAATGTAAATGATAAGTTAATGGGTGCAGCACACCAACAGGCAAATGTATGCATATGTAACAAACCTGCACGTTGTGCACATCTACCCTAGAACTTAAAGTATAATAATAATTAAAAAAAACCCTACTATGTTTAAGGCACTGGTAATTTTTACATGAAATATTATTAAGCCAGATCATATGCTCATATATACTTTATCTATTTTCCTATTTCTTATTATTGTTCTGAGCTTAGCTTACAGTCGAACTATTTAACCAGCTAGATGCTCTCCACCAGTCTTGTCCTTGTCTGGGGCTTTCTTCTTCTTCTTCTTCTTCTTCTTCTTCTTCTTTCTTCTTCTTCTTCTTCTTCTTCTTCTTCTTCTTCTTCTTCTTCTTCTTCTTCTTCTTCTTCTTCCTCTTCCTCTTCCTCTTCCTCTTCCTCTTCTTCTTCTTCTTCTTCTTTTTGAGATGGGGGTCTCACTTTGTCACCCAGGCTGGAGTGCAGTGGCATGATCATCGCTCACTGCCACCTCCAGTTCCTGAGCTCAAGGGATCTTCCCACTCAAGCCTCCCAAGTAGCTGGGACTATAGGCACATGCCACCATGCCTGGCTAATTTTTAACTTTTTCGTAGAGATGGGGTCTCCCTATTTTGCCCAGGGTGATCTCAAATTCCTGGGCTCAAGAAATCCTCCTGCTTTGGCCTCCCAAAGTGTTGGGATTACAGATGTGAACCACTGTGCCCAGCCTGGCGCTTTCTTCTTAATAATGATGAACTTACCCCTTTTAGCTTGATGACATTTGCCATTGATAGAAAAAAAAATTTTTAACTGAATAGTTTCCTTTTTTACATGATTTTCACCAGTAATATTTTTGTCTGTTCCTTAATTTTCTTGCTTCAAACACATGTAAGCACACATACATACATATTCTTACAGACGTTATTAATACTTTTTATTGGTATTTGGATATATGCTCCTCCCTTCCATTAAAGAAGTAAATCTTAGCTCCCCAGAGTTCTTGTGAGGTCTCATTATTTCCTTTAGATGATTATAATAATTAACATTAGCAGATTTTTCTTTTTTATCTTTTCTTTTTTTTTTTTTTAAGATAGTCTCACTCTGTCACCCAGGCTGGAGTGCAGTGGTGCAATCTTGGCTCACTGCAACCTCCATCTTCCAGGTTCAAGTGATTCTCATGCCTCAGCCAGTGAGCAGCTGGAATTATAGGCATGCGCCACCATGCCGGGCTAATTTTTGTATTTTTAGTAGAGATGGGGTTTCGCCATGTTGGCCAGGCTGGTCTCAAACTCCTGGCCTCAACTGATCCACCTGTCTTGGCCTCCCAAAGTGCTGGGATTACAAGTGTAAGCCCGCTGTGTCCAGCCAGAATTTTTATTATATGCTAGGCACATGTAAAATAGATATGGTTACCATTAGAATACCCACTGTACAGATGGTCAAACAGACATAGAGAGGTTGAGTAATGTCTTCTCATTGGGACTCTTCATTACTCTTAGCCAAAATTTAAAATTTAATCTCTCACGAATGCTATTTCCTTTTGAGGTTTCTATTTAAGGATAATTCATATCTTTTCTTAAACTTTTTGAAATTGCCTTTCCTCATTTTATATTTGAATATGTATGGCTGTCTCTTCCTTATATATTATGAAACCCCAAATGACACGGTCATCTTTCCTGAATAGTCCTATTAGTTTTATATCATTGACTCATTTTCTTCATTGCTTTCTCCATCATCTGAGAGATGAAAATGCCACAGTACTTTGTACAAATTTTAACACATCTCATATTTTATCCCCATGGTTTTTTTTCACTCATCTGTCTCTTACCACTTGTCTGTAAACTCCTTGAAGAGCTTAGCACAATGTGTCTTCTTATCTCCCACACACAGCCAATTGTCTAGATATAGAAGGTGCTCAACGAATGACACTGATCGGAGAGAAACAATGAAAGAATGAGGACAGGAGAGAGACAGAGAGAAGAAAGGAACCATGTAATTTTAGCAGAAGTTTTGCACGTTGAAATTCCTTCATCACTACGATATCTTGCATTTGTGGCAATTTTGTAATCTGTGGTAGGAAAGCATCCTCTATTGCATCCACAGTATAGTTCTTCTTGCTTTTCTGTTGTGCCTTCTGCAGCTTCCAGGGCATTGCTTCTACTCTGCTTTTTTTTTTTTTTTTTTCTATGATACATCTCTTGTCCAACATCTGTACGGGTTGCCCTGAATTTTTTTTTTCCACTGCTAGGATGGTCACATCCAAAAAAACCAATAGTACCAACTTGCCTCAGCATGTTCTATTTTCACACATGCTAACCATAGAGCAACATAAAGGAGGATAGAATATTTTTGTCAATCAATAGAAATGAAAACCAAAGTACAAACAGTTAAGTGACTACCTTAAATTCACTTACCTGCACATGGCAAAACTGATACAGGGCTAAGGAGTTTCTAACTTCTGACATCATGCTTTTCCCACTAGGACCTTCCCAGCCTTGGTTGCACATTGTAGTCACCTGGGGAGCTTTAAAAACTACTACTGCCTGGTCCTACTCCCAGAGATCCTGATGTAATTGGTCTTGGGTGTGCCATCTATATTGAAAGTTTTACAAGCTCCTCAGGTGGTTCTCATGAGCAGTCAAGACTGAGAACCACTGCATTAGAGTCAGATGATACTGCTTCTTGCATCTAAATGTGTTTTGGAGACACTTGCCCTTATTGCTGGCTTAACGACTCAAAGAATAAAAGTCTCCTAGGGTGAAGCAAACATCCCCATCATGCTTCAGGCTGTTTGGTCTGTCTTGATGACAGCAAACAAACATCAGGAAGCCTAGGCTCAGTATTAAAGAGTACACTGGTCTGGAGGAATTCTTTTCCTCTAACATAAACATTTCCTTATGGGGATCATATTCTGTCATTAAGGCTCTGTTGCCCACAACCATATATATGTATTGGTTTGTTCTCTGCCAAACCTTTTACTTGCCATTCTATAGCAGTGGAGAGAGAACAGTGGATCCTTGGTACATTTTCCATACGATTGCCTATGCTTATGAACTAAAAATTATAATTATTTACAAATATGCTGCATGTACTTCCGAGTTTGAATTTAAATCTCATACATACAGAGATAAAAATTTGATGTCATATTACGGAGGCAGTAGAGTATCAGAGAAAGAGCAACAAATGTGGAGTGAGAAGATGTGGTTCCAGTCTCTGGACCACAGCCTACCGAATTAATTGAGAACACACTTATTGAGAACTTATTGTTCACTTATTGAGAACTCACTATATGCTGGGCACTGTTTTAAGTGCTTCAACCCTATAAAGTATGTGCTGTGATTATTCTTATTTTATGGATGAGAAAACTGGGACACAGAGAGGTTAAGAAACTTAACCAAAGTCACACAGCCAGTAAATGGCAGACCCAGGATGAAACTCTGGTAAATCTGACTCCAGGATGTACATTCTTTACCAACATATGATATTCTCCCTCACATGTGTAACCTTAGGTAAATTACTTAGCTTTTCTGTCTTAGTTTTCTCATCTTCAAACAAAGTAATAATAATAATAATGCCTGGCACGTAGGGTTGATATACCACCGTGCACGACATATATTAGGTGCTTAATAATGTTGGTTGAATAATTGAATAAAAGAATGATAGATTGAGATGGCTAAAAATATATAGGAGCATACTTCATAAACTGCATTATACAAGAATAAACTTACTATTATGATGATGCCAACGACTATGTATAGATTTGTGGCACAAGATAGGGAAAAGAGTTAATACCCCAAATCAAAATTTAACTACTTACCACTACTCATAAAAGATAAAGCTCTTAAAAATATGCACAAGAGTTTAATAATCTTTCTAATGCTAAGAATGTAACTGTAGAAAATGAAGTTATTAGAAGTTTCTCTTTTATTTCTGAGTTGTTGAAGAAGCATTCTATAATCTAAAAGCTTCATCTTTATTATTGCCAGGAAATTAGGCCATTAAAAAAAGATAGTGTTGGATCTCATCCAGCTGAACTATCAAAAGATAAAATGGCCAGCAGCACATGTAAAGTTTACATTTAATTTTTTTAAATTAAGTGCTGGTTATTATTCAAGGAAACTCTTGAAACATTCTTATAACAATTCCCTAGAAGAAGAAGAGGCAGGGTGATTGTGAAATCATGCACCAAGTGCTAGATTCAAAGTCTCAGAAATTCATCTGGGCTAGAGATAACAATGGCCAGTTATTACCTTTACAAACAGGGATGAATCACATACTAGGTTAGTGAAAGATGTAGAAACAACAAAATTAAACATTTTGGGGCCAAACTCTTTTTGAAGAAGAAACTGTGGTCAGTGGTGCCTTATTATTTCCTTCCATTTTTTAATTATTCTTTATTGCAAGACAATTATTCCCAAATCTCCTTAAGTTTTGGCACATGCTTCTATTTTTTTTTCCTCTAGCAGTTTGGAGTTTCCAAGTGGCCCTATATATTTACATGTTATTCTAGAAAGCACCCTCCTGTAACAATCTGTTTTTTGGTGGAAGGAGTTTGACTCTGAGTGGTTCCCTAGAGTGTGCCAATTAATGTCTCTCAACACAGTGTTTGTGTAATTAAGGGTTATTGCCCCTGCAGCCTATATGAGCTGCTCAGTGCCTCATACATAGTAGGTACACACAGCAGATGTGTTTGCTGAATTGACTAGGCAGCACTCAACAACAAATCTTTGACCTGAATTAACCATTCAGGTACTCTGGTATCAAAAATAATCAATATTTTATACTGATAGAGCTGCTAAAGATTGTATATCTTGATGTACCTTAAATTGTTTTGACCTATGAGTGAGGATGGTGATATATAATCACAAAATAATTAATAGCCAACCTCCTGAAAGAACATGTGATTTCTTAAAAGTTATTGATCTAATTTACCTTTTAAGGATATTTATTAAGCTTAGTACTATTTTTTGCCCTCATTTGTACCTTAAAACTTGATACTATTTTTCACTATAGGAAACTATCATAATGATGAGATGAAATATAAAGAGACTTCAAATTAAGGCAATGGTCATGGGGGTGTAGTAGAGTGGAAGCATTCATAATGTTGCAGCAGATAAAAATCAACAAGGCTTAATGAGAGAGATAAAGAGATGTAGGAAACATCTAAGATTCTGGCTTTGGTAAGAAAATGTAAAATTAGTGATCTACCACTAACCAAGAGAGGGAATAAAGGAAGAAAGATAGATTTGGGGGCAAGATGATGAATTCACTTTGAGATATCTTGAATATGAGATGCCTATAATACACATAGGTGAGATGTCCCCTGCACAGTTATAAATATGCATGGAAAATTCAGAAGAGGGATCTGGCTAGAGATGCAGCTTTAGGAATCGCTGGACTGTAAGCAAATGAAAACCATGGTAGTGGAAGAGGTCTTTCAGAGAGAGTAAGTAGAGAGGACTGAATGAAGAAGATATTGCCAAGGGAAGAGGCAGCAGTGTGCTTAGGAAGGGAGATGAAAAGCCATGGATGTATGGTATCATGTAAATCAAGGAGAGCACAGCTAATGGGAGTGCAAGTAAGAAGAGGACTAAAACGTAATCACTGCATCTGGGAATTCAGAAGTCTCTGCTACTGCAGAATGCACCATTTTAGAAGGATGGCTGAAGCAAAGTCGTATTTCAGTAAGTGTATGCAGACTGGACAACCTACTTTCATCCAGATAATGAAATAGTACTCTAAAGATCCAGTTAAATGGAACCGGAAAGTTGTCCAGCTCTCTCAATCTGTCTTTTTAGCTCCTGATGTATGATGGTAACAGATGATTTTTCCTTTTAGATTGATATAATTGAACAGCCCTATGTTCTTATGTTTTCTTGTTGAATTTCTACCTAATATTTCTTGTGGCTTAGAGGAGAAATAAAAAGGTTCTCTCTGGTGTGAAAGCTTTTCTCTGGGGTAAAGGAAGTAAAGTAAACCTCATAAGATTGGGAACTTTTCTGTTATTCCTCCAATTGACTATCTTTCTTTCTGGCTTTTAATCAGACTTCAGTCCAGGGCTCTATACAAAAGAACTTTGTATTCTTCTTTGAGAGGCTGAGGCGGGAGGATTGCTTTAGGCCAGGAGTTCCAAACCAGCCTGGACAACATAGTGAGACCCCATCTCTAAAAAGTAAAAATAAGGCCGGGTGTGGTGGCTCACGCCTGTAATCCCAGCACTTTGGGAGGCTGAGGCAGGCGGATCACGAGGTCAGGAGATCAAGACCATCCTGGCTAACACACTGAAACCCCGTCTCTATTAAAAATACAAAAAATTAGCTGGGCGTGGTGGCAGACACCTGTAGTCCCAGCTACTCGAGAGGCTGAGGCAGGAGAATGGCGTGAACCTGGGAGGCGGAGCTTGTAGTGAGCTGAGATTGCGTCACTGCACTCCAGCCTGGGCAACAGAGCCAGACTCCATCTCGAAAAAAAAAAAAAGTAAAAATAAAAAATTAGCCATGCATAGTGGCTTTTGCCTATAATCCTAGCTACTCAGGAGGCTGAAGCAGGAAGATCGCTTGAGTTCAGGAGTTTGAGGCTGCAGTTAGCTATTATTGTGCCACTGCACTCCAGCCTGGATGACAGAGTTAGACTCTGTCTCCAAGACAAAAAGTTAAAATTATTTTTTTTTGAAAAAAAGAACTAAAGTAATAGTTGTTGAATGAATAGTATATAGAGCCTACAGAGAAGTTTATCACTCTTACATAGCAGATGTGTGTCAATTAGTCTTTGAAACCAAGATAAATGTTAACAGATTAACATATACCAAAAGGACATAGGATAAGGATAGTTCACCTTACATGGAGTTCTGTAGTATTCTGTGGCTTTTGATGTAGCTATTCTGGACCATGTCTGGTAGTAATCACTAAATGAGGTTGTTTTAATTGGTCTGAAAATATAAATAAAAATCAGACGATGGGCAGTTTGTAAATTTTCTTTTTAAAATTATTGTACTGCTATATGGACTGTTCACATAATATCTTGTCACAAGATATTAAACTGACTTGCAAATTGTAACATGCATTTTTAACAATTGTATCCAATATACTGATTCCACCAATAATGAATACAAATAACGAAAAAGAAAATGTTCAAATCATATTTCAATGATAAATGTAAATATGGACCCACATGTATATTATAAAAAGAAAAATACAGGTTTAAGACATCTGCCTTTCATGACTAACATTAAAAAAGAACTCTAAGCAAAGCGTTATACCTGTCAATTTCTCATTCTATAAGAAACAATAAACATTTTTCTTGAACTTCAATGCCAAATTCTAGTAAAAAACCCTTATTTCTTATAATGGGGACAGAATACAAGTATTAGAATTGAGATTAGTTTAGTTTTTACAGAGAATCTGGCTATTTTCAAAGAGGGGAAAAACAGCTCTTTTCTAATACTCCTGGGTGCTACTTTCCCCTCCCTGTGCTAATATTAGTATGTCCTAATGGAGAGCAAAGATTGTTATAAGGTGTTAAATGAAAACTATAAAGCAGTCCCTTAAATAACTGCATTTCCAGGCATTTTTCCACAAACTTGCAGAGATTCTCAACACTCTATAAACAAAACATTACTTAAGCATATTTTTTCAGACATGTGAAATCACTAATTAACTGGCTTAAACAGCTGCTTAGACATCCAGTGCAATATGCCTTATGCCTGTTTTCCAATTGAAGTTCTTAGCTCTTTAGAAGAAGAAGCAAGTTTTCAGTCAGAACAAGTATATTAGCATTAGTTTTTAAAGGTAAATCATAGGTACCTTAAATTAAGTATTTGACTCAACTTTTAAATTAATGAGGCATTATCTAAATGTGTTAATTCATTCATTTATTTAAATAACAATTATGCACACCTAAGACTAACATTTTTCGAAAGTGTTGTTACTTTTACAATCACACTTAAGTAGAAATTTGAAACTTGAGGAAGATAAATTAATCATTACTATTATTGCTTCCAGAGCCGCATGCTGTGCTGTAGATGACTAAATGATATACTAAACTAACATGAATTTGCCAATGAAATGTCTCAGCATTTGGCAACAGAGGTAACAAAATGAAAGGCTGCATTATATCTCCTGCATGAAAAAGCTTGTGATCAATTTGCTGTCACAGATCATTTAGCAGACAACAATGACTCAAGAGGAAGGAAACTGTCAACACACTGTCTCGTGAAAAAAAATACACCATCTTCAGGCACAATCGTCTCCATTGTTTTTTGTCTGTTTGACCACGACCCATGACCTTTTCCCTTCCCAGGGTGTCCTGTTCAATTTCAAACTGTTAGCCTTCAGGGGCTTTCTGTTTTTTCCTCCATAATAATTAAAAATATTACCCTAAAAGGTATAACTTTAGTGTGGTTTGAATATACAAAGCAAAATGTCTTACACATTTGGGAGTATCTGAATTTTCAATTCTATAAAGGAAACAGCCCCTTAAAAAAAGAGAACTGTAACTATATTTTACTATTATTCAGATAAAGTAAGCTTACAGGGATACATGCAGCATAAAAATACATGTGTTTATAGTTTCAACCAATGATGGGAATTTACTGAGTATTATCATTGACGTCATGAATACAAAAAAGTAGAAGACATAATTTTAAACTGAACATTAGAGTTTGTTATCCTGTTGGAAAAAATAAGATATATACCTGGACTAGTGAATTGAACAGCTTTATATATTAACGCGATAAAGTGTTATATGGTTTAACGGAGACATTTGGAGAATACAAGAACAGATACTTCTCTCCTCTGGCAGTGGCAATAAGCAAAGAAGTCGGAGGAGGGAGATGTAATTTTTTTTCAGTCGTCAGGGAAAGAGTCATTTGGGATACAGGTCTGGAAAAAAAAAATAAGGGGGCACTGTAGGCCAAGGGAAGAGTAATAGTAATTGCTCAGATGGGAGAGAGCATGGCGTGCACATATGTACACACAGAGGATGTTGGGGGAAGAAATTATAGAACAATTGACTAGAATGGAGACTTCATATTCACAGGAGTTGGAATTGATAAGTGAAACTGGGCAGTGCAGGGTCCTCAAATTTAGGCAGAGAACGGTTTAAAGTTGATTCCGTAATCTTGATCTTGATTTGTTGGGTAATAGACAGCCATCAGTAGTTCTCGAATAAGGCAAGTAAATTATGAAATCCATGTTGGAGCAAGACTTTTCCTTGAAAGTAATAAGCAGGGTGGAGTATAGAAGGGAGATTAAATGCCAGGGGACCAGATAGGAAACAAACGCAGTAATTCAGGGATTAACTACTGAGAGCTAATAGCAGAGTGGCAGCAAATGTTATGAAAGGGAGGAGATGAGTTGAAGGCAATGCTAAAAAATTGACTGGACTGGTTGGTTGCCTGATAGGGTGTGAAAAGTGAAGGAATATTACAGTCAAATATTCTTCTAAAGCCCAGAAATCTGGTTCGTTTTGCTGTTAATAGAAAGCATCAAGAGAAACTGAAGTAAAATACGAGTTTAATTTTAGATATAGATTTCAGGTGCTGTTAGTACAGACAAGTCAAAATGATCTTCAGGAGTGTGATTAAGACACTGAGATTAGAAATAAGAGATTTGGGTCAAATCAACAAAATCATTGATAGAGGAAGCTACTAGAGAAAACCACCTCCAAAAAAGTTAGTAAGTATTTTGAAAAGAAAGAGCAGAAACCAACTTGTAATTAAGAGGAGCCAATGAAAGAAAGAAAGGTTCATTAGGGGAAGAAGAAAATCATGGCAGTGCTATTTCAAGGAAGCAACATCCCAGCCACAACGAAAGCCTAACAATTAAACCCCTAAATATCTCTGGTTGGAACCTTCCTGTCCATCATGACCTAGTTGTTTAGTATCATGGATACTCAGGGTCTGGAATCAGCTGGCCTGGGTTAAAACCCTCCGGCACTTCTACTTGTTAAGTGTGTGGCTCTGGAGCAAGTTATCTAACCTCTCCAGGTCTGTTTCCCCATCTATAAAATCAGGAGATAAAACTTTCTCAAGTGGTTGTTTTGAGCACTCAGTGAAATCATGCATGAAAAGAGCCAAGTTTAGCGCCTCTTCAGCACTTAGGTGTCAGCTGGTCTCCATTGCCTTGATAAGTACCTCATCATTTCTCTCCTATTAACTCTAAACAGCTTCCTTGTAGTTTTTCTACCCCTAGCTCTCCCTATTCTAGGTTATCATACCTCTGCTTGAAAACCATATTTGGTACTGAGGCGAGAGGATCACCTGAGGTCAGGAGTTCGAGACCAGCCTGGCCAACATGGTGAAACCCCGTCTCTATTAAAAATACAAAAATTAGGCCAGGCGCAGTGGCTCACGCCTGCAATCTGAGCACTTTGGGAAGCTGAGGCGGGCAGATCATGAGGTCAGGAGATCGCGACCATCCTGGCCAACATGGTGAAACCCTGTCTCTACTAAAAATACAAAAATAAGCTGAGCATGATGGCGTGTGCCTGTAATCCCAGCTACTCAGGAGGCTGAGACAGGAAAATTGCTTGAACCAGGGAGTCAGAGGTTGCCGTGAGCTGAGATCGCGCCACTACAATCCAGCCTGGAGACAGAGCGAGATTCTGTACTCAAAAAAAAAAAAAAAAAAAAAAATTACCTGGGCAAGGTGGCACGTGCCTGTAATCCCAGCCACTCAGGAGGCTGAGGCAGGAGAATCGCTTGAACCCAGAGGCAGAGGTTGCAGTGAGCTGAGATTATACCACTGCACTCCAACCTGGGCGACAGAGCAAGACTCTGTCTTAAAAAAAAAAAAAAAAAAAAAGAGAGAGAGAGAGAAAGAAAAGAAAAAGAAAACCATATTTGGTTATGTAATTCTATATGAAAACATCTAAATACTTTCAAATAGAACTTGAAGCTCTTCACCATCTGGCCATTTCCATCCTTTTCTTCTGTTATCCATCCCCACATCCAGAGGCTCCATCACACAGAATTTCTTACTAATCCAAGCACACCATGGTATTACACTCCTCCTTCTGTGAAAGCTGTTCTAGAGACTCCTGTCTCCTCTGTGCCTGTCAAACTCTTACTCATCAAAGTTTGGGTCCAGTAAAAATATTTTGCTTATGAAGGTTGTCACAGTGGACATTGTGGTTGCCTCCTCAACAGCTCTTGCATTCTTCCCCCGTTATGTAGATACCATACACTCTGATGGGACTGACCACACCTCTGGCTCTAAATTAGAGCCTGATGGGTTCAGGGCTGTCTGACCATGGTGCCTAATTCAGGAACACGAATTTGACCTAAAAAGATCCAATTAGAGCAAAGTTATAGTCGTTTTCTAGTACATCTTAATATCTAGGGGTATCTATGCTGTAACTTTGTTCTTCAAAATTGCTTTCTCATTCTATGTCCTTTGTGCTTTTAGATATATATTTAGAGCTTGCTTACAAATTTCCAGAAAAAAAACAACTGCTAAGATTTTGATTGAGACTGAATTTAATCTACAGTTTAATTTGGGAAGAATTGACAATATAATAATATTGAGTTTTTCCCAAGCCACAAACATTGGATATTTCTACTTCTTTAAGTCTTTTAAATTTTCTCTCAGAAATATTTGTGGTTTTCAGTATACATGTCTTGTACATGTTTCATTACATTTTGATGCTGTTGTAAATGGTATTTTATTATCATTTTTTTTTTTGTGAGATGAAGTTTTGTTCTTGTTGCCTAGGCTGGAGTGCAATGGTGTGATCTTGGCTCACTGCAGCAACCTCTGCCTCCCAGGTTCAAGTGATTCTCCTGCCTCAGCCTCCCGAGTAGCTGGGACCACAGGCATGTGCCACCCATGCCCGGCTAATTTTGTATTTTTAGTAGAGACAGGGTTTCTGCATGTTGGTTAGGCTGGTCTCAAACTCCCGACCTCAGATGATCTGCCCACCTTGGCCTCCCAAAGTGGTGGGATTACAGGCATGAGCCATGGCGCCTGGCCGTAAGTGGTATTTTTAAAATTTCAATTTCTATCTGTTGATTATGAGTATATAGAAACATAGTTAATTTTTAATCTTAACTTTGATCTTATACCATGAGTCTTTGCTAAATTCACTAATTAATTTTCAAGTTTTTTTATATTCATTTGGATTTCACTATGCACATAATCATGTTATCTATGAATAAAGACAATTTGCTTCATCCTTTCCAAACCTTAAAATTTTTATTTATTTTCCTTGCCTCATTGCACTGGCTAGAACCTCCAGTACAATGTTGAATAGAAGTGGTGGTAGTAGACATACTTACCTTATTCCAAAACTCAGGAGAAAAGCATTAAACATTTCACATTTTAGTATGAGGTTGGCTGTTGGACTTTTGTAGATTCCTATTACTGAAATAAGGGAATTTCTGTTTCAGTTTGCTAAGAATTTTTATCATGAATGGGTGTTAAATTTTAACAAATACTTTTGCTGGATTCACTGAGATAATTTTACGGCTTTTCCCTTTATTTGGCTAGTAAATGTGTTAAACAAATTGATGTTTGAATATTAAACCAACCTTGCTTTCTTATAATCAGACCCATTTGGTCATTGTTATCCCAATGTGGATTCAATTCGGTAATATTTTGATTAGAGTTTATGCATCTATGCTAATAAAAGGTATTGACCTATAATTTCCTTTCGTGTAGTAATCTCAGATTTTAGAATCTGAGTTTGGAGGTTTGGAAATGTAGACATTTTCTCTACTCACTGAAAAGGTTTGAATACCTTTTTTTTTTTTTTAAGTTTTATTTTGAAACAACTTTAGAAATATAAGAGAGTTGTAAAGATAATTGAATATCTTTTTCTTCTTTTAAGAGATGGGTCTCAATATATTGCCCAGGCTGGTCTTGAAATCCTGGGCTCAAGCAATCCTTCCACCTTGGCCAAATAGCTGGGATTACAGGCCCAAGCCATCTCACCTGGCTTGAATAGCTTTTTAAAATAAATTTTATTGCAGCATAATTTACACTCAATAAAATGCACACGTTTTAAGTGTACAGATTGATGAGTTTTGATACAAAAGTGTACATCTGCATAAGCATTACCTCATACAAGATGTAGAGTATTTTCATTATTCCAGAAAGTTTCCTACTGCCCCTTCCCAGTCAATCTCCCTTGACATTCTGGGCAATCACCGATCGGATTAATCTGACAGATTAGTTTTGCCTGTCCTAGAACTTCATATAAATTGAATCACATAGTATGTACTCTTTTGTTACTGTGGTTTTTTTCACTCAACATAATGCCTGCATACTTATTCCCTATTGTTGCATGTATCAATAATTAATTCATTTTTATTTGCTGATAGTATTCTATATATTAATAAAGCACAATTTATTTATGCATTCAACTGTTGATGGACATTTTGGTTGTTTCTAGTTTGCGATATTATAAATAAAGCTGCTACGAACATTTGTGTACAACTCTTCCTGTGAACATATATTTTTCATTTCTTTTAGGTATATACTTAGGAGTAGAATTACTGGATTACAGGAAAGGTAATGTTTGACATTATAAGAAACTTAAACTGTTTCAAACTGGTTGTGGGCATGTAAAGTGATAAAACAAGATATGCAGCAATGTACGAAAGCTCCAATTACTCCATATCTTTACCAACAAATGGAATTATTCATCTTAATTTGAGTCAATGATGTCTTCTTTCAATCTTCTCCATCTCAGTAAATGACAGCAGAACCCACCCAGTTCAACCCCAAATCTAGTAATTACCCTTGGTCCCACTTTTTCTCACAACTCACATCGAATCAGTAATTCTCCTTCGGCGCAAGCCTTGAATCCACTCATTTCTCCTCCTCCATACCTATGCCCAAACCCTTGACCGAACCACCATTGTCTTGCCCCTGATCAACCAAAATAACCTAATAACTCTTCTCTTTGCTTCCACCTTAGATCCTTCACAAACTATTGCCCTCATGGCAGTTAAAAGTACTCCTTTTAAAAGTTAAATCTGATTCTGTCTCTCCTTTTCCTAAAAGCTGTTCAACAGTGTCCCAATTTCCTTACCTGGTATAATAAAATTAATCTAAATTCCTTACACGGTTTATAAAGTCCTAAGTGATTTGGCCCAGCCTACTTCTCTTACCTCCAGCTACCTCTCTTCTCTTTTCCCCCTTGCTGTGTTCTAGCAACAGCAGCCTTCTTACTGATTCTCTCACAGCATACAAATACTAAATTTAGGGTCTTCACATTACTCTCCCAATTTTTTACTCATTTTTCCTTTCAATTTCACAAATCTTGATTTTTCAAGATAATACCATTTACAAGTTTACTTCATAATGGTTCTCGAGTTATCTTTGACTAAAGTTATTATAATTACTTTCTATGTACTTAACTCATTTAATCTTCATAGTAATTCTATGAAATCAGTACCATTATTACTAGCATTTAATATATAAAGAAACTGAGACACAGAGAAATTAACTTTTCTTAGTCACATAGTAAATGGAAGAATTGGGATTCTCTCACTTGCTATTCTAGAAATGCCTTTCAGTTGTGTGTGTGTGTGTGTGTGTGTGTGTGTGTGTGATAATATCCTATACAGTATTTTATAAGGCACTCTTTTCATTTATTTTTTATTGTGGCAAAACACATAACTTTATCATCTTAACCATTTCTAAGTGTACAGTTCAGTAGTGTTAAGTGTAGTTACATTGCTGTGCAAGAGATCTCTAGAACTTTTTAATCTTGCAACACTGAATTTCTGTGTCCAACTTTTCACTTAATTTTTTTTTTTTTTTTGACACAGAGTCTCGCTCTGTTGCCCAGGCTGGAGTGCAATGGCGCAATCTCGGCTCACTGCAACCTCCACCTCCCGGGTTCAAGCGATTCTCCTGACTCAGCCTCCTGAGTAGCTGGGATTACAGGCACGCGCCACCATGCCCAACTAATTTTTGTATTTTTAGTAGAGACGGGGTTTCATCATGTTGACCAGGCTGGTTTTAAACTGCTGACCTCAGGTGATCCACCCGCCTCGGCCTCCCAGAGTGCTGGGATTACAGGCAAGAGCCACTGCACCCGGCCCGCTTACTTTTAATGTTAGCAACTATGTCTCCAGAATCATACCCAAAGGCTGCTTTTTGGACATTATTGCCTAAACCAATGTTTACTTAATCAGTTTTGTTGGACATTCTGTTTTCAATTTCTCATGATGTATAATTCTATGATGAACATTTTTGGAATCTCTATATATTTGTTTAAATATATCTATAAAGATAAATTTCTAGAAGTGGAAATGCTGTGTCAAAGGCATGCATTTGTCTTAGGATTTTTAATATGAAATGCAAAAGTTACACTCTTCTGTCTGTATCCCTCAAGTTTTGTCTCGTGCCTGCCCCTTTAAATGATTTAGCCACTCGCATACAGGTGTATATTTAGCATGTTCACCATCTATGTTTCATTTTCATCTCCTCTCATGATTACCGAGCAACCAATCCTCCCCTCCCTTTCCTCTTCTAGTTTTTATCTCAGCTCCTGATAATCTTATTTTGGTTGCCCCTGGCATTCATGATTCATTTTAACTTTTTATTTAGGTTGTCAAAATGCATTCCCCTGTGTCAGGCTGTTGGAAAGATGTCCTGCTGTAGCTCCATTCCTGTTGAATGTGCTGTTCCCTCTGCCTAGGATCCCCTGGCCCCATAGTCTATCAGTGAATCCCCATTCTGCCTCTAGAAGCCACTTTGGCATCACCTCCTATGAAAACTTGTCTTTATATGTTCGTCTCCCAATCCCTGCCAAGCCTGAGTAAGATGTTTCTCCCTCTGTGCTCCCCCAGCATCTTGATCTTACGTCTGTCATAGCACTTACTATATTATATTTATGTACTACAACAATAAACAGTCATGGCCCAATAAAATGCTGATTGCATTTAAAAGAGGCAGTTCCACTTAAAAGAGGCCCCAGAGATGGATGACTTAGTGAAAAACTGAAGGCCTCTGAAGGAAGCCTAGAAAAAATAAAAACCACAGGGGAAAGTTTCTGCTAAATATGACTCATTTTAGATATGATTCAATCTGCCCTCAGCATTCTTCCCTTAGCCACGATCTTGATACCTTCCCTGTGGTCTTCCAACTACATTCTCTGGTGGCAAATACTGTCTACATTGACCTAATGGATCGACAGGCCTACTTCTTGCACTGTCTCCCTTTCAGAAGAGGAACATCTTCTGATACTGTGCAACAATTAATACAAAATAAAACAAATAATTTGTATTTATGGAATGGGGAAAAAAGAAGAGGGCTTCCAATGCTAGAATATAAATCTCGTGAGGTTAGGGATGACATATTAATCAGGTGTGTATCCTCACACTGGGGCACAATGCCTGGTATACAACATATGCTCAGTGAATTCATTCTAAGTACGTGGATGACTACAGTACATTCTAAGTACATTCTAAGTACTAGCTGTTCTCCCAAGGGCTGAAAACCTGTCTGTAAGTGGTATCCTATAGACCACTGCAAACATCCCAGATGACTAGCACAAGTTCAAGTCACCTTCAATTCCTGAACATCAACTAGATTCCCCCAACTATACTGTACCCAGTTGAATAGACCTTGCCTAAGTTTTGCTATGTCTTTTAGAAACCGGGGGTCCAACTGCCTGGATATATCTTTGGAATACATTTCTACAGCCAGGCCAGTTCTTCCAGCTCATGAAGTAATGCAAAGTTCTAAGCATATGGCACTAGACACACAATATTAACAGCAGCATCTTTCTTTGAATAATTTCTGCAAGATCTTATTGTGAATGCATTATTTAAAAACTAAGAACTAGACATAACTGAGCTCTGTTTCAGAGCAACTGTACCAGGGGCTAACATTAGAATTCACAGACACACAACGAAGTGCAGCCTGATACACAGCATGAGTCTAGCGTATCATTGAAATCTAGACTGCATTGCCTCAAATAAGTATTACCTAAAGGCTTCTCTAGGAAGTTCAGGCTGGCACAAGGTGAATACCACAAATCAGACCTGATTCTAGCATCATTTATCCTTGGTTTGGCTCAGAGGACCTGCTGAAGCTGAGACCACAGAAGGTCTTCTGCTCTGTTCTTACTGCCTTATTAGTAAACACGGGCACTGTATCTTTATGAACTGCAAATAACTATACCATAAAGAGTAATAACTTTTGATATCTAAGGACATTCATGTTTTAGGTGATAAAACCACCTTTATGCATTGAATATTTATCATAGGCCTATTTTATGCCAGGATGGTCAACCACATTGACACATTTAAGGGGTGGCAATGTCCTCTATTGAATACCAACTTAGTGTACCATTAACTAGATTATGCTTACCTTTCTGCAATTTTTCAACATTTTTTCATGAAGATAAGCCACTTAAGTTTTTGTGTTTTTTTTTTTTTTTTTTGAGATGGAGTCTCTCTCTGTCGCCCAGGCTGGAGTGCAGTGGCACCATCTCGGCTTGGCTCACTGCAAGCTCTGCCTCCTGGGTTCACACCATTCTCCTGCCTCAGCCTCCCGAGTAGCTGGGACTACAGGTGGCTGTCACCACGCTCGGCTAATTTTTTTGTATTTTTTAGTAGAGACAGGTTTCACCATGTTAGCCAGGATGGTCTCGATCTTCTGACCTCCTGATCCACCCGCCTTGGCCTCCCAAAGTGCTGGGATTACAGGCGTGAGCCACTGCTCTCGGCCATAAGTTATCTAATTTTACTCAACTTTTATACAGAGCTAGTCAAGGAAATATGAGCTAAAGTAAACACTGTTACAACACTAGTTAATTGGCTGTTTTCTAAATCTGATTGACTATCAAGATAAAGCTGATGGAAATGCTCAAGAAATTAAATGCCGCCGAACCGTATGTGTGTTTCTAGGCCTATACCTTGTTCAGGTGTTCAAGATGAACTGATGCCACATTTACAGACTGTCTCCCAAAAGGTACAATGGCTTCAGCCCTAACTCTTACCATTTTTATCTAGACCTTATCTTCTCCTAAATTGCTTGAATTTTTGTGATCTATAATGATCTGTGCTGATTTTGTTGACAATACATTCTTCTCTTTTCAAAAATATAAAAAAGGCAAGATCGGCCGGGCACAGTGGCTCACGTCTGTAATCCCAGCACTTTGGGAGGCCGAGGCGGGTGGATCACCTGAGGTCAGGAGTTCAAGACTAGCCTGACCAACATGGTGAAACCCCATCTCTACTAAAAATACAAAAAATTAGCCGGGTGTGGTGGAAGGTGCCTATAATTGCAGCTACTTGGGAGGCTGAGGCAGGAGAATCGCTTGAACCGTGGAGGCTGAGGTTGTGGTGAGCTGAGATTGCGCCATTGCATTCCAGCCTGGGCGACAAGAGCAAAACTCCATCTCAGAAGAAAAAAGCGAGATCATGTAGTTACATTTAATTTTAATTCAACTAGAAAGAATTCAAAATTTTCCATGTTCTTTCTGAAAACAATATTTTAAAAAGATATTATAAGATGTTTCTAAATTAAAAACAAACATTTAATTATGATGAAAAACATAAAGAGTTTAAATAAATAGTCCTTTTGGTAAATAAATCGACATAAATTGTATAAAGAAAAACTTACCTGATACATTTACGTGGGTCTTTAGGTAACTCCTGGCTGTCATCTTTCACTATAAAGAAAAAATATGAAAGGATTCTGGTTTACTTGGAGATTGAATATATGGCTTTATGTGCACTATTTCCAAAGCCTCAATAAAATGGTAATAAAGGAATAAAAATAAGATATAAAATCTCAAGGAGAGCAAAAGAAAGATGACAAGAAAATTTTTCAAGATAGAAAGCAGATGTCAAGTGGTAACTGTCTTAGCAGGCCATAGAAATTTGAAAAAAAAAACTGCTTGATGAGAGGAGACCAACGAAAAGCAAATGGATTCGCACTTCAGAACCTGTGAAACAGTTCAGGAATTGAATGTGCCAGATACCTCTGGAAGGAGGGGTAAGAGGGAGAGCACAGACAAAAAACTTATACCCTCATCTTGTGCAATCACATGATGACCACTGCTCACGCAAGAAGGAAGATATTTAACCTCTGGAAAAACTGGGCCAGAGAGACTCAGGACTGGAGGACAGTAGAAACAAAACAGGATGGAGTAAGAAACTGAAAATGGAATAAATCATATCGAACAGACAAGATTCCTGATTCTCTCCCCTCGTCCAGCTGTCAGAGTATTAGCAGTGCTCTCTCTCTCTCTTGCTTGCACTTGCTCTCTCTCTCTCTCTCTCTCTCCACAAGCCTGGCAGATTCCTCTCAGGAGAAATAGTTAAGTCTAATGAAATGGCCAGGTTCTCACTGAATAATTCTACAATGAAATAAAACTGTCAACAAGCCCAGCCTGTATTCAGAACTTCCAGTCTTTTTAATAGTCCATTCATCATATGTCCATCATAAGAATGGATAGTCAAAGATCACTAGACATTTGAGCAAGGTCAATACCATAAAAGAGAACAATCCTAACCACAAAAAAAGAGAAAAATAGGAAACAGAAACATTTTTCTCAAAATCTTCCAGAATATACAACGAACAAAGAGATGGATAATAGGAGAAATTTGGTTTTAAAAAATTAGAGGATTGGCTGCACGCAGTGGCTCATGCCTGTAATCCCAGCACTTTGGGAGGCCAAGGCAGGCAGATTATGAGGTCAGGAGATCGAGACCATCCTGGTTAACATGGTGAAACCTCATCTCTACTAAAAAAATACAAAAAAATTAGCCAGGTGTGGTGGCGGGCGCCTGTAGTCCCAGCTACTTGGGAGGCTGAGGCAGGAGAATGGCGTGAACCCAGGAGGTGGAGCTTGCAGTGAGCCCAGATTGCCGCACCACTGCACTCCAGCCTGGCAGCCTGGGAGACAGAGTGAGACTCCGTCTAAAAAAAAAAAAAAAAATTAGAGGATCAGATCAATAGACCCAACATTCAAATCAGAGCAGATCTAGAAGAGTCAATAGGGAAAATGAAGAGAGAAGAAATTATAAAAGATATCACATAAGAAAGTTTTCCAGAACTGAATGATTAGAGATTGAGATTTCAATAGCTTATCAAATGTCCTATGTAATGTGGAGGCAGGGAAGGGGAGGATACACAAAGAAATATTATCAAAAATTTCAAATCACTGGGAATAAAAAGAAGGTTTAAAAAGCTTCCAGAAAAAAAAAGAATAAATCACATGTGAAAAATTGGACATCGGAATGAAATTAGACTTCTCAAGAGCAACACTAGAAACTAAAATGTAGTAAAGTATTTACGATTTGGAAAGAAAACTATTTCCAAACTAAAATTTAACCAAACTATGAGCATATGACAGTAACGTAATTACATTTTTAGGCATGCAAAGTTATAAAAGGTTTAGCTCCCAGGTACTAGGAAGCTCCTAGAAGATGTACTCCAACAAAACAAAGGAGCAAAACCAACCACAAGGAAAATGGGGATTGAGCAGCAAGCAGGAGCTCCAACCCAGCAGGCACCAAAAAGGCCATCCCAGCACACCTGCAAGAGAACTGCCAATTCAGAAATGGAGAGGAAGGATAGAGTGCCACAGGAAAGAGGGCTCCCAAAACAAAACAGACTCGATGCTGACTGAATACCTAGTAGCTGTTTTATAGCTTTGTCAGAAAGTTTAGAAGAAGAAAAGATAGTACACACATAAAAAACAAAGGAATGTAAAATCAGACCTTTTGTACAAGAAAAGAAAGATAATCATTTATGGTTTATCTGTGGCAAGTATTTATAAAGTCATATTAATGTAACCAAATCATATTAGGAGGATGGGGGAGAGGAAATGTGGGTAGCAATAGTAGTATAAAAGCAAAATCTTTGTATTTTATAAGATGAAGTCTATAAATAATATCTAAAACCGAAAAGCCTAGAAATATTAGTATAGAATCAACTTAGAAATGTGGTGGTAAATGCCAGAGGAAACAGCTAAATGTGTTGAAAGCTATTGTTGCCTCTGGCAGGCAGCACTCAGGGATAGAGGACATATTTCATTAAAAACTGATTCCTATTATTTGTCCTCTAAAACTATCAACATATATTTCTTTGATAGAAAATAAATATTTAACATTTCTCGTTAAAACTAGCAACTTAGAAACTTTGCCGAAAAGTTACTGGACTATCTGGTATAATGAAATACAAACAGGAAAAAAGAGGTACGTAACTCGAGCAAATAGATCCACACTCTACCCTGCTGTTAAACTCAGTTTTTTAGTATCTTATGACATTTTTAAGTAACAGAATATCTGTAACAAAACTGTAATCATCAACAACAAAACTGGTTCTGAATGATGGTGCTAAAAAAGCTCATGTTCTTGAACAAGTAAGCAATGCTACTGGACTAAATTTTGTGTTCCCCCGACACCCACAAAGTATATTTCTCAGGGGAAGGGGTATACTTACACCTAACCAAAGAAGTATACTCACTTTAAAAAGAAACGGCAACCTGGAATCCTATGAGACACCACCTGCTTCAATTGTAGAGACAATTTGCTTTAAAATTGCTCTATTATTAAAAGGATTTTTTTAAACCCAGTGAACAAACTGGGAACTTGAATTGGAGAAGAATCAAATGTCTGTCACAACATTTTCTTAATCACAAGCAGAATATGATGTATTTGTAGAATTATCAGGTTTTTAAAAAGTATATCACACAAATTAGTATTACAATCTCCCTAATATTTCTATATTCTCCTTTATTCTAGTATTATGACTCAATGTCAATTATAGCTTATTTAGATGAGCATCTGAAATGTATTAGATGATCCTCCTTTTTTATCAAAAACTATAGGAATATACTTGGCTAAGAAAAAATAATTACCTCAGGCTTAGCTACCATCACTCAGCTTTACTCTTTTTATACTCTTGTATTTTTCTTCAACCAAAGGTTTTAAAAATGACACAAAACTTACATTTTAAAAAATCAAAGCAACTATGACAAACAGAAGATAAATATTACTTGATAATATAACTACATAGAAATCAACATTCACAAGGATGAACTGAAAAAAGGGGCAGATAATTGCTCATATGAAACCTATGAAAGCTCATAACAAATTAGAAAGTAAGTAGCAATACTCAGAATCTATGAGGCAAACAGTTGTTATACATTGTCTCCAGACCTTCCTCCTCTGAGTTTTCATAAACTAGTTGAACAATAGGTTGGAAGGTATTGAAAAGGCCCCCTTATCCAATTCTTGGCGCCAGAGCTTTTTATCAAAGAAGCTCTTTGATAACATCTCTGAAAAATGGTCATTTAGCTCTATCAAATAAACACTAGATACAAAGAATACCTTTAGTAATAGAGAGTTTACTAACTGCCAGCCTGGCCTTGTCCATTCTTTTAAGCAACTTGAATTATTTCAAACAATTCTTCCTCATGTTTGGCCAACTGGGACCTGGATGGACTTTACCATTAAGAATGGCACAACTATAGAGTCATTTGCTTTTAGGAAAGATCAGCTGGGCACCCAACTGGCTAGATAATCGTTTGTTCAAACTGGTACACTGCAAGTGAAAGGAGGTACTGGGAATAATTATACCAGGACTTTCCCAGGCAGTCTGGGGTATGTGAGTCCTCTAAGAAAGGAAAAGGGGCCAGGCCACAAGGAAAGGAGGCTGTCAGGAAATGGGAAGGTCATCAGACCTCCACACTGGGTTTGAGCTTAGAGCTTGGTCTTCTTGTCAATACACTGAGGCAAAGACCTAGCTATTCAGGGTAGGCAAACATAACAAATGTTGGGGAAAAGTTTGGGTAATGAGCGACATTTACATGTCTGCATATCACATACCAGGCTTAGACTTAGGACAATAAAATTAATTCCAGACAACTGATCACGGAGTAAAGTCCCTGATACATTTAAGGTATGTACTGACACGAGGCAGGGCCAAGCCTGCGTATGTGAACTTCAGTTCTGCTACAACCCAGCAGGCCCGGGAAAGTATGACTGACGTGTAACTTCAGTGTTTGTCCTATGTTAGTTTTCTGAAGCAACCCAGAAGAAATCTTTTTCCATAGGAAATCCCTTCGAATATTTGAAAACAGCTTTTACAACTGCCCTTTATCTTTTCTTCTGTTGGCTAAATATATACAGTTTCTTCAGCCTTTAGAAATGTGAGGTTCCAAGTGGAGCCTACTGGTATTCCAGATGAAAGCCCACCAAGCCAGAGAAGGGTAAAATGAGTATATAACACATACTTAGAAGAAGGGAATTTTCTATTACTGCTTCACCTTAAGCTTGTGATCAAATAGCTCCCCCAAGAACTTTGTCGTAGAATAAAGTTCTATGGTACTGGAAAAGATGCTTGATCAACACCATTTGATTTGTATCAGACCCAAAAACCCTGTGGAGGAGGAGCAATTGAACTTGGTCACAATTATACAGACCTAGCTAATGGACTGGGAGTCCTGGAAGGGAAACAGAAAAAGAAGCAATGTAAATCTGAGAGAAAAAGTACTATAAGAAATCAAGGCCTGTTGATTGGGAAGGTAATGATACCAGCTACTATGCAAGGTTGCTGTGTGCTACCAGAAGAAGGTGGGGCAGGATATAAAGGAAATAACTATGTCAGTAGGAGCCCAGCTCTCAGCTGTGGGAAACCCTTCTGTGCACAAGAAGCCAGAAGCAGTGCTCTACTACCTGGAGAGAAAGAGAGAGAGAGCGCACAGGGGCAATGGAGGCAATGGAGTTAGGAGTCATAACGAGGCTGCTGGCAGGATACCAAGGGTATCAGGAAAACACTGCTCAGTGGAGCAGAAAGACTGAAGAGCTTCAGGCTCTATTTCCACATGGATTCTTAGAAGGAATTCCTGGGGAGGGAACTCTCCGGAAAAAAATCATTGACATCTTGCTAATCAAGAAGAAAAGTGGTACAAATCAGTAAGATCTGGAGTACTGCAGGTGAAGTCTGGGAAATGTCCATTACAGATTGAAGAGTCAAAATTAGATGTCATACCTTTATGATGGGTGGACTAGTTTCATTTGGCACCATCCATGCATATGACCATAATATTTAAAGATACGGAGCTTGAGATCTTTGATGATCTTTAAAAAAGGATCACACTGATTGGTTTCACAAAGAGTTACAGTAGGAGAGATCTTAATACCATTCATTACTGAAAATGGATACAGAAAATATTTCAAATATTCCCTTATATAACAGTTATTTCCTAGATCACTATGCTATAAATGTTTAAAGTATAATTGATAATTGCCAAATAACAAAAAGTAGGTACTTCTTTTTTTTTTTGAGACAGAGTTTCACTCTCGTTGCCCGGGCTAGAGTGCAATGGCATGATCTCGGCTCACCGCAACTTCTGCCTCCCAGGTTCAAGTGATTCTCCTGCCTCAGGCTCCCGAGTAGGTGGGATTACTGGCATGTGCCACTACGCCCAGCTAATTCTGTATTTTAGTAGAGACAGGGTTTCTCCATGTTGGTCAGGCTGGTCTCGAACTCCGGACCTCAGATGATCCACCCACCTGAGCCTCCCAAAGTGTTGGGATTACAGGCGTGAGCCACTGCACCTAACAAAAGTAGATACTTCTTACTTTGTAATGGCCTGTTGAAAAGTCTTAGAATTGTTCTGTACAGAGATTCATCTTTAACCAGTATTCTGGCTGCTTCCAAATTCACTGGATTCTCTAGCACTGGATTAGAAAGCATAACCTATAGGAAAACACAGACAACATATAATTTCAGAAGTAAACTTTTTTTAGAGCAAAACGACAAACCAATATATACAACTTTCAATAAGCATGTATTAAATGCTTACTATGTATGGATCTGGAAATAGATTAAAAAATAACATGAGACATAGTCTGTACTCTCAAGAAACCTAACCTTAGGCTCATGAATGTACGGTATAAAACTGTGATAGATCAAAAAGCAAGTTACAAGTTCCTTTCTGTAACTTGTTCCTTCCTAGCATATACATTTACATTGAATTTAAATTAAGATTATAAAAATTTTAGTTGATGGTGGTTAGTGTATTTAAAATTCAAAATATTTTAACCAACATTTCAAGTACACTTCCCTTGAATAACAGTGTGATAATTGAAAATGTATCTAATTTGTTATCAAGAAAGAAGTAGTTAGTCATTATGGTCTCAACTTGTATTGCCCATCACTGTAGGCACAGTCACAGGTGGTTATTTACATTTAAAATAATTAAAATTAAATAAAATTAAAAATTCAGCTCCCTAGTCACAGTGGTAACATTTCAAGTGCTCAGTAGCCACATATGACTAGTAGGTACTGTATTGAACGGTGAGATATATTGGACATTTCCATCAATGCAGAAAGTGCTACTGCGCAGCACTGACCTTCAAAGGAATACTGAATAGCTATTAAAATATTGATTATAACCATATGGAAGTTACTTGAGAGACAATGTTAAGTGAAAAAGAAACAGGCTGTATAGTTTACATACTCACGTGCCACATAACAATGTTTCACTCAACAACAGACGGCATATATCATGGTGGTCCCATAAGATAATAATACCAAATTTTTACTGTACTTTTTCTATATTTAGATACACAAATATTTACCATTGTGTTACAATGGCCTATAGTGTTTAGTACAGTAACATGTTGTATAGGTTTGTAGCCTAGGAGCAACAGGCTATAACATAGCCTTCGTATGTATTAAGCTATACCATCTTGGTTTGTGTAAGTACGCTCCATGATTTTCAAACAACGATGAAATGTGTAACAACTCATTTCTCAGAATGTATCCTTGTTGCTAAGCACATGGCAATATACATACCATAATAGCAATAATGTAAAAATTCAGGTTCATTCATTCATTCATTTTATTTAATATCTACCAAATGTCAGCATTGTCTTTGGTATGCTCCAGGAAATCAAGGATGAATTAGACCTGTTTCCTGATTTTGGGGAGCTTGCAGTCCAATAGGGGAAGACAGATAAGTAAGCAGTGTGTGCTTTATAGTATTAGTGTTCTAACAGAAATCTGCTCAGGGTACTGTTGGGTGTGTAGCAAAGGAAGCTCCCCCAAAACCAAAGCTATTAATTCTCCCTAGGAAAATAAATCAGAAAAGGTATCCTAGAGGACGATTCATTTGTTCCAACTCTTACAACAACATGAACAACTGCTTGCTGGACAGACTGAGGAAGAGAAGAGGAGAAAATGAGTTGCCAGGCAGAGGGGAACTGGAGACTGACCATTTCTAAGGTAACTTTAGAACTCTATGAATGTTTTTTTTATCTGAATTGACCCAAGCAATGTGAGTGCAGAAAAGCATGAAGATATAAGTATGAGCAGGATTGCCTGGTGTGTTAGGGAGAGTCTAGGTGTGAGGATTAGATATGCAACAGAACTAGAGCTTACACCTGTGGAGAAGGTGGGATCCACTGAAAGATTTTAAACTGAAAAACAGGAGAAAAGAGCAGAAAGCTCTTTCCTAGTAACAGTAAAGTTAAGGGTTTTCTTTATAATTGTCAGTGATTTTCTTTTCCTTCCCATTATCTTAAAAATCTTTTGTAATGTGGGCATATTTGTTTTATTAATGTTTTCGAAAAATAAAAAGACAAAATTGTGTTATCTACTGGCTTTCCATGATATATTTGGCAACACTTTGGTGTCACTTTGCATTACTCTTTAATAGTAAGAACAATCATAATGTTAACTAACTAGAGGTTCAGCATCCTAAATCTGAAAATCTGAAATCCTAAATACCCCAGAATTCAAAACTTTTTGAGGACCGACATGATGTGCAAAGGAAATGCTCACTGGAGTATTTCAGATTTCAAATTTTCAAATTTGGGATGCTCAAATGGTAAGTATATGTAATGCAAATATTCAAAAATTGGAAAAATTTCCAATTCCTAAGCATTTCAGATAAGAAATACTCGACCTGTATTAACTATTGAGTTATTTTCTTGGACCAGGCACAGTTCCGAATTCTTTACACACATTAATTAATTTCCTCCTCACAGGTTACATGAGGTAACAACAGCCCCATTTTACTGATGAAGAAATTGAGACATTGAGAAGTGGAAAAATTTGTCCAATGATAGATACAAAGGTATCAAGTGGCAGAACCAGGATGTGAAGCCAAGCAAGCTAACTCAGAGCCCCACATTTTCCTTTTATCAAATTATTCTGCAATTCAAAATTTTCACCAGTTCATTCTGGTTTGCCCTTACTCATTACATTTTGGGATCATTTTGCTATTCTTAGGGCAGACTCTAGTTTAGGTGGATGAGATCAGAATATGTCTCAGTTTAAAGGAATCCAAAGGATTAACCCCAGATTTCTGCATATCACACTCACTCACTCCCTTAAATTTTTTGCTCAAATGTCTCCTTCCTAGAACACAACCTCACACAAGTAGATCCTCAATACATATTTGTAGAATGAATGAATGAACTGAACATTGAATCTTTCCTAAAGATTATATTTTACTTAGTATGCTAAGATGACTAGCCAGGAAAGTATTATTTTATTTATTTTCAAATACAAGAAATAGAAGAAATGCAATTTATATTATAATTCTATATTTAAAAACTCAATTATGCCAGAGTATTTTATATTCCAAGTATTCTAGATAATCAAAATGTAATTATTTATCTTCAGATATTATTGGTGATAAGTAGGTCATGGATAGATTATTGCTAAGCTAGCTCTAAGAGGTCAAAGCAAGTTCACTGAAATAATTCATTTTAGCATTAGATGAGAAAGGAGGCATTTTTAAGGACCAGAAATAACACAACACTGGGTGGATGTGGTGGCTCTTGCCTGTAATTCCAGCATTTTGGGAGGCTGAGGTGGGAGGATTGCTTGAGCCCAGGAGTTTGAGGCCAACCTGAGCAACATAGTGAGACCCCGTCTCTACAGAAAATTTAAAAAATTAGCCATCCATGGTAGGGCATGCCGGTGGTCCCAGCTACTTGAGGGGCTGAGGTGGGAGGATCACTTGAGCCCAGGAGGTTGAGGCTGCAGTGAGCCAGGATTGTGCCGTTGCACTCTAGCCTGGGTGACAGAGCAAGATCCTGTCTCAAAAAGAAAAAAAGAAAAGAAAAGAAATAGCACAACACTGAGGTATGCTTCTAAGGACCATGGGTCCAGTGGGTAAAGGTGGCATCTGAGAAACAGGCATCTGAGGAGAGGAGAAAATCCTTGGTATAAATTGTTCACTGGGTTTGATGTGAACACTATTGGGACAGAAAGTAGCTAACTAGCACTGTCAGAAACAAAAAACAAAAGTGAACATTTTAAGTTGTAGTCATTCGATCCACCTCTCTCAGGAAGGCAAGGTCCATAAATGAAGAAAGATCTAAAAGGCTTGCTCAACATCAGGAAGTGAAGTTAGGAACCAAAAGAAAACCTAAGGTTATATTTTCAGAATTGAAACCATCTAAATAATTATTTTATTCTTTTATAAGATATGCATTCTTTGGTCTTGAGGGGCCTTAACTATCAATTTCACTTTAAATAATAGTTTTTATAATTTAAGTAAGTTCCACTTTGTAGCCTTCATATAGAAGTATGGATTTAAATAAACTTCTCAAATTCTTTAAACACTTAAATATGCATTGTATATTTTAATCCTTGTAGTTTGAATAATTAGGGTAATTAAAAGTATTAAAGAGAGGATTATATGAAATCCATTCTTACCTGTAGGGCAAGTAAGATGCTGCTCAATGTATAGTTTGTATTCCACTTCTCAGGGTTGTCCAAAAAGTCTATACAGGGCTGACCAGTGTGTGGGTCTACTGTATTAAAATAATACATTAATATTTGCATTTATAATAAATTATTATTTAAAACTTACAAACATCAAAATGATAAGCCAGAAAAATTATCTGCATTTACTCTTCCTTTTTCCTAGTTCTTCTCTCTGTACTGAGAAGCACTATACCCATCCCTGGTTCCCACCCATTACCATGTTGTTTTAGCTGAATACATAGGTGCCCCTACAGTTTTTCCTATCCTCTCCTTTAGCAAGATGTGGCCTTGTGACTAAGTTTTTGTTGTGGGACATAAGGATAAGTGTGCAATTTCTGAGTCTTTTTTTAAAGGAAGCTGGCTTTCCTTCTTTTCTTCCCCCTTCCCCCAGACTGGAAATGGTGACAAACAGTAAATGCCTTAGTCCCAGAAATGGAATCTTCACATTGAGGATGGGCACAACCTCCCTCCAGCGTTGTCCTGTTATGTTAAGTTGGAAAGATGTACAGGAGCTTGGCATATGCCCTAACACAGTTAAGTAATTTAGTGTTTGAAAAAATAATAGAGTTAAATAAGAAAAATAAAACTGTAGAATGACTAGAAGAAACTTAAAATGACTATTTGATTTTCTTTTGGGAAAGGATCATCTAAGATGAAAGACAACTGCAAAAGCCTCAAAGGACAAGATTAATAGATCTTAAATATAAATTTATTTTAAATCATAAAAATCTCTAAATCCCAGATGTGAAAAAACAGCATAAACAAAGTTGAAAATTAATGACAAATTAGAGGAAATATTTGCAACATCTAGGACAATGTGATAGCACTGTCAATTGTATCATACGAGTCACAAAATAAGAATCAACAAAGGTGGGAAATGTTTACTTCTCAAGTATTCAAAGAAGTGCTTATTAAAATAATAGCAAGACTCTTACCAAATTGGCAAAAAAATTTTCTTCAAAGTTTCAATGGCCAGAATTGGAAGGTGCTAAAATAAGAACTTTATATGTACTTTTTGGTAGGAGTACAAATACCACCGAAAGGCAATTTGGCTTTTTATATAAAGACTTAAAACTGTACATAGCCATCTTTTGCGGGGCGGGCGGGGGCGGGGGTTGAAAGCTAGTAAATAACCCTTCTCTCCCCTCAAGTTCATATGTAATTATAAAATAGATCAAAGTATTGAAAGGTGGAAGTAAAAACATCAGCTTCATTGCACATAAGACTGAAATGGAGAACGCACTTGATGAATGGCTTTAATCAGGCTCCACAAAAGTCCCCCTGATTTAAACTTAACTCCCAAACCGAAGGCCTGCCTAAGTTTCCTGCCTGGAGCAAAAGAGACTATACCCAGTATGGTCAGAAGGAGAGAGTGTTGAGCAAGTTCTGGGCCACATATGCTCAATTCTTTCCTTCATCTCCCTAATCAGATAAGTGACTTCTAGGAGGAGTGATGGGGGAAAAAAAAAGAGCAGTCACAAGTTTTCCTATACCTTCCCCCTCCTAGAGACTAAAGTTCCCTCTACTTTATGGAAGTGGGAGGGATGAGGACTAGGGGATAAGAGTACCTCCCCCCATTGAATTTAATCCAATAATTCTAACTATTTTAAACAAATAAAGGCACACGTATGTAATTAATTTTGTGTTATAGATACCAAAAATAGGTTTTAATTACAATAAAATAATGTACTTGGGAAAAAAACATAAAAAATCTAATGTAAAATATGAATGTTCCCCTGCCTACTAATTCTACTATTCAAGACCAATATTACCAGTTGGTCTATACAAATATACACACAAACACATATATGTATACACACCCATATGTGTGTGTTTATTAAATGGGAATATATTTTACATTTTATTGTTCAATGTATTTTTTCACTTAACAATGTATTTTCAACATATTTCTGGACACAAATATTTATTCAAAAAATATCTGAATACCTACTATATGCCACGCAGTGAAGATTCTAAGGATATAGCAATGATCTAGACCTAAAAGGTTCGTAGACCTTCCTCGTTCTGTTTAGAAGCAATACACGTAACTGTAGGATATTTCACTTAAAATTCCTGTGTTAATGGAGATTGAAGTTATTTCCATTTTTCCTATTTCTAACATTGCTGTTGGGAATAAACATCTTTTTTTTTTTTTTTTTTTTTTTTTTTTTTTTTTTTTTTTTTTGAGACAGCGTCTTGTTCTGTTGCCCAGGCTGGAGTGCAATGGCACAATCATGGCTCACTGCAGCCTCGACCTCCTGGGCTCAAGCAATCCTCCTACCTCAGACCTGAAGTAGCTGGGACTACAGGCACATGCTACCATGCCAAGCTAATTTTTTTATTTTCTGTAGAGACAGGTCTCACTATGTTGCCCAGGCTGGTGTCAAACTCCTGGACCCAAGCAATACTCCCCACTGACCACCCAAAGTACTGGGATAACAGGCATAAGCCACTGAGCCTGGTGGGAATAAACGTCTTTAAATATAACACACTCTTGCACACTTGTGCTAATATTTCTACAGAATAGTTTATAAACATGGTATTACGGGAATTTAGGGATATATGCATTTTATACCTGATTAGAAACTGTCACACTACTTCCTCAAAAGGTCATGATTATATCAGAGGAACAATGTCTGCCCATGCCTACTAAATATGTATGTTATATTTTGACATTTTATGAATATGTGATAAATAACAATACTTTTTGTTTTAATTTGCTTTTATTTTCTTAGTAGTGAGATTGATAATCTTTTTATGTTTATTTTTGTTGTTTATTCTGTCCAGTGTTTGTTTATAGCCTTTCTCCATTTTTTAATTGCTTTATGTTCTTTTTATATTGATTGACAAGTGTTCTTCATATGGTATACATATTCTGTTACATGCATTGCAAATATTTTCCCTCAGTTTGCAAAAGTCAGTGTCTTTGACCTCTGAGTATAATGTCCTGGGCCGTAGAGAAGTTTTAACAGGTTTTGCAGTTTAATGTGTCATATTTTCCATACAGTTACTGGGTTTTATCATGCTGAGAAACGTCTTCCTCACCAAGCCCATAAAAATTCTATTAGATTTCCTTCTTTTCCAGCATTTAAAATTTTTAGATTTTTGATCCTTCAGGAATTGGTTTTGTGTATAACTTTAAGTAGCAATCTAACTTACCTTTTATTTAAAAAAAGTTAATCTGTCCAGTGCATCGTTTTTTTATAATAATGAAAAATTAGATCCAACTAAAATATTGAACAATACAGAAATGGTTAAGTGTATTGTTGAACCATTTAAGATGATCTTTTGAAGACTGTTTAATAATGCAGAAAAAAGACATATAGTTTTAAAATTAAAAACCTAGGCCAGGCGCAGTGGTTCACAGCTGTAATCCCAGCATTTTGGGAGGCCAAAGTGGGCGGATGGTCAGGAGTTCAAGACCAGCTTGGCCAACATGGTGAAACCCCATCTCTGCTAAAAATACAAAAACTAGCCAGGTGTGGTGGCGCATGCCTGTAGTCCCAGCTACTGGGGAGGCTGAGGCAGGAGAATCGATTGAACCTGGGAGGTGAAGGTTGCAGTGAGCCGAGATCACACCACTGCATTCCAGCCTGGGCGACAGAGAGAGACTCTGTCTCAAAAAAAACACCATAAAATAAATAAAATCAAAAACCTAGAGGCAAAACTTCATGCATAATACCTCAACTGTATAGAAAAAATTCATACTTAGAAAAAAGGAAAATAAATTTGGCAAAATGTTGACAGTATTTTCTCTTTGCATTAGGATTTAAGGTGATTGCTAATTTTTTCCAGCCTTTTCATATTTTCCCCAATGAGAGTTCTTACTTTTAGAATCATAATAAAGTTCTTAAAAAGAAACATGATTATTATAAGAAACAAGGATAATAGGGACAAAGCCTCTAATGATAAAAATGTCATTTAGTTCTTACCATTTGGATGAAACGGAATTGTTATAAATTTCACAACTGGAGGAGCATAGTTGTACTCCGATGTAAAATGTATTGTCAGTTGGAAGACTAAACCTATAATATAGAAATAAACATTTTTACTAAAGTGTCATGTTTATTGATTAACTGTAACCTGATTAACACTGGAGTTTCTCCCTATGGTTTAGTCTTTCCACAGTTTTATTTTTAAGTAAATTGATTCATAGAGTGCACCGACTCCTCTGGATAGTATAACAGACACTTCACAATCTATTATAATCATACGTTTTCAGTCTCTTTCCCACTAGTCCTTTCCATCTACTACCTTTGTCGCCCTAACATCCACCCCCTCTGTTGTATCTCGTATTGACTGAACTCATGTTCCCAAAATCTGCTACACCCTTTCTTGTCTACAAGTCTTTGCTGTGCTGTTTACTCTGCCCGAATTTCCTTATCCTTCTTCTGAACCTGGCAGATTCTTCAGGACTCAACTCAAATGTGATCTCCTTGGGAAGACATTCCTGACTCCCTCAGGCATAATTAACTAATCCTCTTCCTCTTTAGCATTCTGTTCAAAATCCATAATAATGTATATTTTATTGTAATTATCAGCTGATGTGTTTGTCTCCCCTACCTCACTCAAGGAATCTATCTTATTAATCCATAATTGAAAGAAAACATGAGCATTAAAGTTTATAGTGGCTTAGTGTTCTTGAGATTTTTTGATTTATGAAAATTTGGGGGAAAATCATAAAGGAAAAAATGAGAAGTAACTGTGGGGTTTTGAAGCCAATAGGAATTTTGATAGTTATTCCCTGATCTCACGGAAGGCAGACGATATTCTCTCAATTGATATGCTCTATTGTGTCTGCTTCTTAAAAATGTAATAAAATTAAGATTTGGCATAAAGAAAAATACCCCAAATTTCCATCTATGTTGACACATGGCAAAAAAGTCATAAATAAAAAAAATGGGAATATTTTTAGAATTTTAGACAACTGGTATAATGCAAACTTATGCATATGAAGAAGAATTTCAGGAAATTTATATAATGCGACCTTATCCTACATAAAAAGAGGATGGGCTAATAATGGTATAAAGACTTTTTTAAAAAATAGATTGGTTTTGAAAATACAAACCCTGCCAAACTGAATTCTGTAGACCTTCAATTTCAACTTCCCATTCCATCATATCTTCACTTACAGGCTTAGCAGTGATACCCTTGAAGTTAAAAACAAAATTAAATCAGAAAAAACTTATTAAGTATTTATTGAAGTTTTGAAAATCATATACCAGGTCACACTGAATTCTAAAAACTCTAAATTTTCTTTCCTTGATAAGTTTATTTATTTGCTGCTCTGGGGAAGTGTTACATGTCTTATTTCACGGAAGTTAATATAGATCCCAGAAAACATATGCAATAGTAATTAAAAATAAATCATAAGTGTGGAAATCACAAGTGGGACTAGAGAGTCAAGATTAGAATGTGTGGCTTATATACTGTTTGTGTAAATCAATAACCAATTTAATATTCAAATTTTAAAAGAAAGAAATAGTTGGAAAGTGCATGTTTCTTCAAAACATTTTAGAGCTATATGAATGCTATATGAAAGGCATGAAGTGGGAACATTTTCATTAAGAAAAAATCCAAAATTACACTTGTATATAAAAGCAAAGTTTTCCTATACTTGAGGAGTTGTTCCAATGGAGGGACAAGAATGTATTTCATAGAAAACCTTATGAATTACGTTAAGTAACACACTTACAAACACATAAAAACACTTCTGAGCATCCACATAGTTATTAAGTATGTTAGTGCTTGTCTGGGTGAGCCCTGTCTCTCTATTATCTATATTTACATATTCCTTCATTGGATTCTCTTTCAACAGAGAACTACAGAGCTCAGGATGAGCAGAAACAATATCAAATGTTAGGTCCATGCCCCAGGAATGTTCGCTGTTGGACTCCATAATTGTTCCTAACATCTCCAGTGAATGCAGTACTTTTATAGCAGAGGTAAAAAATGAACAATGCCACTGAACTACACCTGAAGCAACTGTGGGAAGCACTCTATACCTTTCATGGACAGCTTTCTTTCTGTTCTTTCTCTTAAGCACTCCCTCTTCGCCCCCTCTTCCATTTTTCATTTTCCGTAAATCAGCCTGTGGCAGCCATGGACATTGATAACCTCATTGGTGGCGTTTAAGCCCAAGGACATTGCTTCTTTTGTGTTAAAACTATAAAGGGAAGGCATTTATGTGTCATGCTGGTAAAAGTACACTAGACAGTAAGCAGTGGAACACAGGAATTAAGAACTAGGGCTTTGAAGTCCAAAAACCCTGTAATGGAATCATGGGGCAAAATCTTTACAGAATATTTCTGAGGCTTAGGTTTTTGGTAAGTAAAATGAAATACTACTTATTGTATAGTATTATAATTAATGAGCATAAGCCTGCACCTACTAGTCACTAACTACATGACAGACCCTGATATTCAGTGCCTAGATCCACATAAATTACTCTGCATAATATGTTCAATATTGTTAAGCATTATTATTTTGAAGTAATAATAATTGTTATTAATATGAAACACATTACTTCAGTGAAATGGATTTATTAAATAACAATACTGTAGTGGCAAATCAGGTTTAACTAAATTACTACTTATAGAATAAAATGGGTTAAACTGCCTCTTAAAAATTATTGCACAATGAAACACATCTCTCCACGTGCCCAGTACTTACCTTATAATTGTTCTCCTTGAGATCACAGAAGTCTCTGTGCAGCAAGAGGTAAGCTCTGCCGTGCATGATAGGCAGCGGAGGGTCTGACACTTGTCCCCAAATGCCTCAGGTTTACTCTGAGGCAGATGTTTGAAGTTATGGGTCACTTTCCCACACTTAGTAAACTGATATAAGTTACTTGCTTTCTAGAACCTCAGAACGGTACCAAGATAAGCGGCTTCTAAAGTTGGGATATAACAATGACTTTTTCTCCTGACTCCTCTAAACGAGAACTTCCCGAAGGAAGACTTGGGCACTTCCTCATCTGCGGCGTTTCACTGCAGTGCCGGCTCACAGCCCAGTCTCAAGACAAACTTGGATGAGTAACGGAGACAAGCCCATGTCGTCGGCGCGTGAGTGGGAGTGAGAGGTGTACGCCTATCAGGGTCCTAGCAGGTTGTCTTCGCTTCACAGGTGCAACCCCGCAGCCACGCACCGGAGGAAGCAAATCGGTTGCCAACCAACAGGCCCCCGTGGGGCCGCCGAGAGACGGAGGCAGGGGGTTGGCCGCTCTCACCCAATCAGCGACAGGGGGCAGGCCTCTTGCTATCTCCACAGCCAATCCTACAACAGTTTCCCCTTTGAAAGGCCAATGAGATTCGTGGTCAAGGCAACACCACGCCTTCTCAGGCCACGAACATGGACTGTACAAAACTAGTGTAGAGGATGGGGTGAGGTCCCAGGACCCAGCATGTAAGTCACAGAAGCCGTCCCACGAAGTCTTTCTTCGAAATTATCCTTCCTTTTTCTTTGACTATCAAAAGATATAGTAAGTGACTGGTAGGTACAGGTCTGCATAACAATATCTTAACTTACATGGCGAGTTACCATTCACAGTAGTGTGCATGCTATTATGTCATCAAACCCTACAATCACCCTGGGAAAGTGCTCCAGGAACAGGGAACTGCTTAAAATTTCTCTGATTCCCATCTCTTCCCGCACAGTTTCGCACCTGCTGTTCCTTCTACCTAGGAGTTTACCACATTCCTTCCACCCCTTCAGCCCTCATTTCCCCTTCACTCACTCATCCTTCAGATTTTAACGACTCTTTAAGGGATCCTTTCTTTTGTGATCCCACAGGACCTTCTATTTGCCTCCTAGTTAACATTTGCCATACGGCATCACAATTGTCTATTGTCTTCACCAGAGTGGGAACTACTGAAAGACACGGTTCCATTGCCAGCGCCAACTACAAAGCCTGGCATCTTTGTTCAGAATACTTTCTTTTTTTACTTTTTACTTACTAATTTTATAGAATCCGGATGTTCATTTAGTCCATTCATTTTACAAATATTTATTAAATACTTTTTTTTTACTTGAAAGATTCAAATGAAGTAAATGTCTTTATGGCTCCAATATACAATAAACAAGTATGCAAAACAAAAATCATGATTTCAGATGGTGATAAACGTTATGTGGACAATAATAAAACAGTACCATGATAGAGATTGGGGTAGGTCATTAAGGATTAGAAATGGTAGTCAGGAAATGCCTCTGTAAGGAATGGGGTTTTGAACTCATACATGAAAGATGAGAAGGAGCCTGCTACATGAAATATTGAGGGCAGAGAGTTCTAGGAAGAGGAAAACAAGATATTTTTGAGTCAGGAAAGAGCTTGTCTTGAAAAGGGAACAAGGGAAGGTCAGGGAGGTTGTGGAGGAGCCTGGGAGGGGTGTGATAAAGATGGGCACTATACAGTAGGAAGTTTGGGCTTTATTTGAATAGCTATGGGAATCCATTTAATGGGTTTAAACAGGAGAGTGTCATGCTCTGATTTATTTATTTATTTATTTATTTATTTATTTATTTTATTGATCATTCTTGGGTGTTTCTCGCAGAGGGGGATTTGGCAGGGTCATAGGACAATAGTGGAGGGAAGGTCAGCAGATAAACAAGTGAACAAAGGTCTCTGGTTTTCCTAGGCAGAGGACCCTGTGGCCTTCCGCAGTGTTTGTGTCCCTGGGTACTTAAGATTAGGGAGTGGTGATGACTCTTAACGAGCATGCTGCCTTCAAGCATCTGTTTAACAAAGCACATCTTGCACCGCCCTTAATCCATTTAACCCTGAGTGGACACAGCACATGTTTCAGAGAGCACAGGGTTGGGGGTAAGGTCACAGATCAACAGGATCCCAAGGCAAAAGAATTTTTCTTAGTACAGAACAAAATGAAAAGTCTCCCATGTCTACTTCTATCCACACAGACCCGGCAACCATCCGATTTCTCAATTTTTTCCCCACCCTTCCCGCCTTTCTATTCCACAAAACCGCCATTGTCATCATGGCCCGTTCTCAATGAGCCGCTGGGCACACCTCCCAGACGGGGTCGTGGCCGGGCAGAGGGGCTCCTCACTTCCCAGTAGGGGCGGCCGGGCAGAAGCGCCCCTCACCTCCCGGACGGGGCGGCTGGCCGGGCAGGGGGCTGACCCCCTCTCCCCCCTCCCGGACGGGGCGGCTGGCCGGGCGGGGGGCTGACCCCCCCACCTCCCTCCCGGACGGGGCGGCTGGCCGGGCAGAGGGGCTCCTCACTTCCCAGTAGGGGCGGCCGGGCAGAGGCGCCCCTCACCTCCCGGACGGGGCAGCTGGCCAGGCGGGGGGCTGACCCCCCCACCTCCCTCCCGGACGGGGCGGCTGTCTGGGCGGGGGGCTGACCCCCCCACCTCCCTCCTGGACGGGGCGACTGGCCGGGCAGAGGGGCTCCTCACTTCCCAGAGGGGGCGGCTGGCCGGGCGGGGGGCTGACCCCCCCCACCTCCCTCCCGGACGGGGTGGCTGCCGGGCGGAGACGCTCCTCACTTCCCAGACGGGGTGGCTGCCGGACGGAGGGGCTCCTCACTTCTCAGACGGGGCGGTTGCCAGGCAGAGGGTTTCCTCACTTCTCAGACGGGGCGGCCGGGCAGAGACGCTCCTCACCTCCCAGACAGGGCGGCGGGGCAGAGGTGCTCCCCACATCTCAGATGATGGGCGGCCGGGCAGAGACGCTCCTCACTTCCTAGATGGGATGGCGGCCGGGAAGAGGCGCTCCTCACTTCCTAGATGGGATGGCGGCGGGGAAAAGGCGCTCCTCGCTTCCTAGATGGGATGGCGGCCGGGCAGAGACGCTCCTCACTTTCCAGACTGGGCAGCCAGGCAGAGGGGCTCCTCACATCCCAGACGATGGGCGGCCAAGCAGAGACGCTCCTCACTTCCCAGACGGGGTGGCGGCCGGGCAGAGGCTGCAATCTCGGCTCTTTGGGAGGCCAAGGCAGGCGGCTGGGAGGTGGTTGTAGCGAGCCGAGATCACGCCACTGCACTCCAGCCTGGGCACCATTGAGCACTGAGTGAACGAGACTCCGTCTGCAATCCCGGCACCTCGGGAGGCCGAGGCTGGCGGATCACTCGCGGTTAGGAGCTGGAGACCAGCCCGGCCAACACAGCGAAACCCCGTCTCCACCAAAAAAATACGAAAACCAGTCAGGCGTGGCGGCGCGCGCCTGCAATCGCAGGCACTCGGCAGGCTGAGGCAGGAGAATCAGGCAGGGAGGTTGCAGTGAGCCGAGATGGCAGCAGTACAGTCCAGCTTTGGCTTGGCATCAGAGGGAGACCGTGGAAGGAGACCGTGGAGAGAGGGAGAGGGAGAGGGAGAGGGAGAGGGAGAGGGAGAGGGAGAGGGAGAGGGAGAGCATGCTCTGATTTATATTTACTTGATTACTCTGGCTGCTCTACGAAGAATGAATTGTTGGGGGGGACCACTTGGAAGGATCCCACAGTAAATTTCACCTCCAGGTATGGTAGCTTAGAAATCACCAACAACATATTCACTGTACTAAAATGCTGACACAATAAAATGCTATTATTCTATGTTTCCTAAAACTAAATAGAAAGGATTTTTTTCCTGTGAAAACATCAACAGGATCTGGGATTGAATATTTTGGCCCTTCTTTCCAGCCCATCAGATTTCAACATGGGCTTGCATAGGATTGGAAATATCAGGTGAAAGTGAGTAAAGGGCTACTTCAGTGAGAAGGGAATAGGCCCAATTTGGAGATCGTAACTAGGTTTGTCCATATCACTGTGGTCCCACAATCCTTTCTCCCACCCTAATGGATTATTGTGATAATGAATTCAGAATCTTTTGTATTTAAAAAATATATTTATTTATTTATCATGGAAAACATGATATTTTGAAATATGTATATGTTATGGAACGGCTAAATTGAGCTAATTAACATAAGCATTACCTCATATGTTGAGGAAACCTAAAATCTATTCTTATCTATTTTCAAAGATACAACATATTTTTATTAACTGTAGTCATCATGTCATACAATAAGAATCCTCCATCTTTTGTTTAGAATTTCATTCTAGGGAAAATTTTGTTAAAGTAAAAGAAAGATAAAAGTAAGTAAGGTAAAAGAAAATTAAGGTAAAGAAAAACATTTTTTGTTGTGAATTTTTAGAAGATGGCATTTATATGATACTTTAGCACAATGAAAATCAAGTTGGAAGATATTCATATGACTCCCCCCACAACAAACCTATATTACTAGCTTTGACCTCTTCTTGGGACTTCTGACTAGTATACCTACTAATTTATATCCAAATGCCTGGTTGTCACCCAGCTGTCTTGTCCCAAACACATTTCAAACTCAAATGTCCAAAAATCAACTCATTACTGTTTCTCTCAACCAAGCTTCTGTCCCAGTTGGAAATTTGAAGTCATCTCTGACTCCTCCTCGTCCTCATGACTCCTCCTCTTCCTCATGACTCACAAGACATGCTGTTGTCTTAGCTTCTTCTCAAGCCTTACCAATAATGCTCAATTTCATAACCTTGTCATCTCTTGCCTAGATACAGAACATCTTTGTATTGTACTCCCTGACTCCAGACTTGCTTGTCATGAAACGTGATAGTAATGTATTTAAACTAACATGTGATCATGAAATTCTCTACTTAAAATACTTTGAGGGATTCCCCTTCATCCCAACGTATCCCATCTTCAACATGTGGATTTACTTCCAGGGATGTAGGTGGGATGGCTGAAATCACAGGCAACTTTATATGTGTCCGTCTCTACATTTGTATGTGTATGCAAATGAACTTTTTTTTTTTACTTGATAAACCACACACTACAGAATTAAATCTAAGTTTCTTAACATGGAAAGCAGAGCATTCCATAATATTTTCCTATTTATGCCTACTTTTATTGACACTCACTCTGCTTCATACTTGAGGTACCCGCTCCATTAAACTGCATTATCTTTTTCCTGTATGTACCCATCTTGCCTAGGCTCATCATCTTTTCTCCCTGACCTTTCTTCCTCTTTTTAAATCTAATTAAAAACTGTTAGCACATCCTGAAAGAGATAAATGCCTCCTTGGAGCCATCCTGAACTGCCAGAATGGGTTGTGTTCTCATTTGACCTGGGTTCACCTTTGTATATTATCACCACATTATTTTGAAACTATTTGTTTATGGGGTTTTCTCACTCACTAGAATATAATTTCTTAAGGCCATGGAGACCTGTTTATTCATCGCTGCATTCCCAGCACCAAGCACCTGGCTCAGAGGTGGTATCAGTATATTCTGATTGAATTGAACTTAGCAGAATAGAAAGTTTTGGGGCCAGGAGAGTGACCTTCCATGAAAGAACTAGGCATAAGCAAAGGAAGAGGGTTGCAGAGATGTGAAAAGCTGGGTGATGTAGAGAAGCTCAGCCAGCTCCATGACACATAGGAGGCTAAAGTCTGAAGGACAGTGACAGAGTAGACAATGAATCAGAAGCACCCCTGAGAGCAAGAGCCACCAGAGCAGAAGGGGCTGCAGAGCTTCAGCCAAGGCACCTTTTATAAGCAAAATCCCCAGGACGCCAAAAAGGAAGGGAAAGACACTTATAAAGGTCCCACACCCGGAGGGGCTGAGGAGACAAACAGGTTAAGGTTTCCAGAAATATTTTGGGAATGAATTTTTTGAGAAATAAAAAGCTTCCTGCCAATGTGAGGGTTTGGTACTGTTGTGTTTGGAGATGCTAACTAAACAAGATCACAGATATACTCACTGGCTGGCCAGCATCTTGTATTTTTTCTATCTTTTTGTTTTTTAGAGAGTTTTCCTCTGTTGCTTAGGCTGGAGTGCCTTGGCGCAGTCATAGCATATCTTATCCTGTGCATGCATGTGTGCGTGTGTGCATGTGTGCGTGTGTGTGTGTGTGTGTGTGTGTGTGTGTGTACCTAGCATCTAGCATCTGTGTAGCAACTGGATAGGTTTGCCTCCTACAATTAATATTATAGCAGCAGGAGCTGAAAACTAATAGCATCAGCTGTTCAGCCATCTGAGTCACTCAAAATTGGAAATTTATAAGGAGAGGCCCATCTGAAAATATTTTCTCTGCATGGGATCACCTTCCATTTATTACAACAAATGTCAGTTTTAGTAAACTTTTCACATACATGATATTATTGCTGTCATAATCTTCTTGTCACTTCTCACTCCTGAGCGTTGTCTTTCTCTGCCTTGTTCATCAGCTTTGTTGTGTTTGGTTGTGAGTTAGACAAACCAACTCAACTGGGAAAATAAATCCCCATCTTCAGTTCTTCCACTGCGTTAATTTATTAGTAAGTCTGTTGATAAATAGAATGTGCCTTCAAGGCAGACCTGGGTTCTGTTCTGTGTCTTATTAACCCGTAAAGATAGTCTTGAAGAAGTTACTTAGCTTCCCTGTGCCTACAATGTTCTCACCTGTAATTTGCGGCCAATAGTAATACTTACTTTGCAGGATCATTATGAGGATTAAAAGATATAATCCCTGCCAATGACTCAGTCACACCTGGCATAGAGTAAGTAATAGCCAACACCTGCACTTTCCGTGTGCTGAGCATGCTGTTCTAAGTGCTCTATGGGAATTAATTTCATCCTCACTAATAACTCTGTACAGTAGGTACTCTTAAGATTCTAATTTACAGATGAGGAAAACCAAGGCACAGAGACACTGGATGATTTGCCCAAGGTTGCACAGCTGGAATGCAACAGAGCCAGGATGCAAACCTGAGTCCATACTTTTAGCCACTAAGCTACTCTGCCTCACAAGTATCTCATGTTCTACTAAGTGAGCTCTCCGGCCTTCAGTAAATTATTGCTACTCTCAATAGTTGTGAGAATATTTTTGTCCGGCTGTTATTTTTGTTTTTGTTAACTATTGTGGCTGCATTTCTACCTGCTGTTAAAACGTAAACCCAAGAAAGCCAGACCACTGCTGTATAAAATAGTGCCCATCCGTGGCTGGCCTTCTCCCAGGCTGGCTGGACCCCAGGGCCTGGCCCTGCCTGAGCCTCCTGTGCCAATACTGTGACTTAGAAACAATGTTAGTGCTGGGCAGCTCTACGTCCCTCCCCGTGCTGCCTGTGCCAGCCCCAGGCTGCTGGCAAGCAGAGGCCAGACCAGGGCCAGTCTGGGTACCCTGCCCCTCAGCTGGCCCTGCCCAGCCACCCAGCCACCCTGGATATGGCTCTGTCCCTCTGCCACACCCCAGGCCCTGTGAGGAGTCCCCAAGAGGAGCCCACTGTACCGTGGGGTTAATAACCTCTGCTGCCTGCCTGGGTATCTGGGCCTGGCCACCAGCCGTGTTCTTCATGTGTTGATTTTATTTGACCCCTGGAGTGGTGGGTCTCATCCTTCTCATCTTGGCAGAGAGCGGCAGAGGGCTGCCTCACTGCAAACCCTCCCTTCAGTGTCAGTGATGGTTGTCCTTGTCTCAGAATAACCAGGGGCCAGCCAGTGTCTGACCAAGGTCAAGGGGCAAGTGGAGGGGCGGCAGGGATGGCTCTGAAGCCAGAAATGCCTTAAACTGCAAAGCCCCATCCCCTCTCCAGCCCCAGCCCAGTCCCCTTAGGAGCAGGATCAGATAAAGAAGGCTGTGGGGAGGCTGGGCACCGCATTACTAACTCCAGTACATTTCCATGTTGATCCCTGTGAAACAAAGTCTGAAAACTTAAAAAAATTAAAACAGTGCCCAAATACATATCTGTTAACTAAATGTGTATCCTATCTTCTCTTTTAGATTGTAAATCCCTTGAGAACTGAGTTTGACCTCTGCAACTTATGAATACACTTATCATACGCTGTATGTAGCTCAGAAAATACCAACTATTATTATTTATAAAAATAATTTTAAGATGTTAACTTTTAGTAAATTTGTACCTTTAAGGGAAAGTAGATTTAATTAAGTCCTACTATATGTTTTCTTGGACTTTCTCTCCCAGTCCTTCCACCTAAAAATAGAACTACAAGTTTGAAAAGAAAAATCTTGCATTGTATTTTTATGGTAGGCAGGATTCTAAGATGACCTCCAGGATCCCTACTTGCTGTACAATCCTCAGGACTGTGAAGATGATGGATTTTACTGCTGTGATTAAGTTATATGGCGCATTCGACTTGAAGAAAGGGAGATTATTCTGGGTAAGCCTGACCTAATCAGGTGAGCCCTTAAATGGGACTAGGCCCTTCCTGAAGTCAGTGACTCAAAGCATGAGAGGGATTCCGTGTAAGGGAGACTGTCTGTTTCTAGCTTGGAAATGGAAGGGGCCACATGGCAAGGAATGTCGGTAGCCTGCAAGCGCTGAGAGTGACCACTGGCTGACAGCCAGCAAGAGAATTGGGGCCTTAGTCCTAGAGTTCCAAGGAACTGAATTTTGCCACAACCACATGAGCTAGGAAAAGGACCTGAATTCCAGATCACAGCAGAACCCAGCCAATACCTTGTAAGACCCTGCACAGAGAATCTAGTCAAGCCATGCCCAGATCAGACTGACAGAGTGAGCCAGGCAAGTGAGCAAGGCAAGGCAACTGACAGTGTAACTATTTCCCTTTTGTAATGTTACTGAGGCTGACTCCAGCTTTAACAACCAGGCATCCTCTCCCCTCTATGTAAAAATAATTCTTTCCCTCAGGACTCAAACAGATGTTTTCATTTTACTTAAACCGAAAGACTGTTTTCCTCCTCCACCAGGAATATGTAGCAGTACAAAGTGCTAACGTCGTGTGGATTTGAACCCCCATCCTCGAGAGCAAAAGAAGGCTGGGGATTGCCAAATGTCAACTGAGCTGTGAGAAGTGTTTTAAATCATATTTTGACGTAGGTTATGCTGTTAACTAGAAAATGAAGTGCAGCACACATGCTTCTAGTAACTCTAGTTTCAAATCCTATGATCTCTTCTTTGTCTTGAAGACCTTTTGATGTGAGTTCCCAATATTGAGTTTCTCTGCTTTTAATAATCTTATATTCCTTCCTCAATATAAATGTCATGAAAAATACTGAATGCTAATCTTCAAAGATCAAACAGGAAGAAGGAGGTGGGCAGCATAGTTCACTGACTTGAATTCCTGAAATTTCTCATTTAAACATTTTATTTTAGCTTATAAAAGCCTTGGCTCAAGAAATGCTTGGTTCCTCTTTTTAAAGTTGGAGTTGTGCACTCCCCCACATTTTCAGAAGTGTGTTAATTACAAAATAATTAGGCCTCTCTCTGTAAGGCACCTGACATGCAGGGGCCACTTAATCATTATTTGTATCTGTATTTGTGTTTACGGGGAGGAATTCAGAATCAATACTTACTGGTTTTTAGTTTGCTGTCTCTGCTTTAGCTAGGGTGACCAACACTCTTGGTTTGCCTGAGACAAAGAACTTTTCAGTGCTAAAACTGGGACAGTCCCTGGCAAACCAGCAGGGACTAACTTGGGCATCAAGGACCTTTTCAGAGTGGGAATTGTGTAAACAACTCGGCAAGAGCTGTTAACTTGTTTTGGGAGCTTGGTATTTAAAGGCACCCAATTTGGTTTCCGTGGCAGGCTGGTGCCCAAAGCCCGTGATCAATGTTATAAAAAATCTTGCTCAGAATTGTGTTAGGAGATGATTCTAGAGGTGTCTAGAAGGTGTCTAGAGGTGTCTAGAAGGAAAGCAGTGCCTGCTTGTGTGCTTTACATGCACTGAAGTGTTTTAGAAAAATCAGCTCTCCATTCATTTCCCCACATGAGAATCTCAATTGTTGAGCGATGCTGCATTCAATAACATCTATTTGTGACTATTCAGTGTGTGTATACAGGTGTTTAAAAGATGTAATTATTCTAGGCTCCTTTCATATATATCAGTTTAATATACCTTTTTACAGTGCTCTCAGTTGCCCCCAAGGGTAAACATGGAATTGGACGATGGAGAGACTTTGAGATGGCAATCATCTTGGAAGAGGGGGTTTAAGGGATGACATATGGTTTAGGGATGGCTTAGGGATGTGTCTTGAAGCTGTTTTACTTAGTTTATGTTTATTAGGGGTGGTCTGAAGGGAGACGATAGAACTGAATGAGGAGCTGGCTAACCCCACCCCCACCTCCTTAGCACCAATCTTCTGGGTGTTCTATGTGATGGCATATACATTAATAATTAAATGGAATATTTTGTTCTCTGTCTACCATACTAGAAAATATGTATCCCTTAGTAAAAGTTGTTTAAAACACATTGAATAATAACAATCTTACCACTCTTTGAGCACCTACTATGTGCCCAGATACCTCTCATATACTCACATATATTCTCATTAAATGCTCATACAAATTCGGAGAGATAAATATTATAGACAAAAATGATAAAATTAGATAGATATTGTGTTTTTAGAGGACTTTATGTCAGGTGCTCTTCTATTCAGATTACATGAATTATCTTGTCTAAATCTCATAACAATTCTGTAAAACAGATACTTTTTCAGGTGAAGAAACAGCAGTTCAGTAACTTGTCTGAGTTCACATGGTTACCAAGGTACGAAGGGGATATTTAAGCCAGACAATCTGACATCAGAACTCTTGGTGTTCAGAATGGTGTAAATGCTATATTTACACCATTTGATGCATAAGAAAATAGAGATTGCCTTACTTGCTCAATCAGCTAGCTCACCTTCCAGTGCAGCTGAAAAATACATGCTGTATGCTTGCATTCTCTTTGTCCAAGTCCCAGGAAGGAGGAGGAACTACAGATTACAGTGCTGTACGCTACGTGTCAGGGATTTATAGGAGATTTTCAAGGTAGCTTTTCTGGTACATTCTGGAATGGTCCTGAGAAGTTATAATTTTTAGGTTCTCCCCCAGACAATTGTGATAATAACCTGGTTTGACAACTATTGCCCCAGCACAGGGATGGCTAATAAGTTTTATTTCTAGTGCCATTTCTGAGTGGTAGGTTGTTCAGGCAACTATGTTGAAAATTTTAAGGCTAAGTCTGAGTTCAGTTGGGAAGAGCACCAATTAGTGATGTCTGCCATGAATTTGAGGAAAGAGAAGGACATGGGTGCCCTGGTGTCAGGTTCTAACTGAGGTCTGAGGGGAGTCAGTGGGTGAGTGGTAGGTAGCTGGAAAAACACTAGAGGAATTGTAGACAGTTTTGACATGGCTTTACTCTCTCTCTGGGCACAAGCGAGCCATATATACAGCGTTAGCAGGGTAATTGTATGTTTTACAGACAATAGTCCCTCCAAGCCAAGCACAAGCTCACATGGGTGATCACCTAATATGCCTCATGCGGTGTGGTTACATAATGTGCAGGGTTGTACGCCTGCGCTCCAAACCCACTGAGTCATGCTGCGCTAGAAGGCCGCCTTGGCCTACTTCTGAGTAAAGCACAGCCACTTCCCTTACACTCCACCAGCTAGGCTCAGGGCATCCTCTGGGCAGGGACACATGCCCATAGGGCGGAGCCCTGAATCCATAGCTCAAACAACAATACAGAGAGCAATAGCTCACTACTAGGATCCCAGTTATGCTACTTATGACTGTTAGGGCCCAGCATAGGCCAGAGCCCAGGAATACCCACCATAACTTCAGTGGAGTGACATGTATTATGTTTACACAGGCCATGACAGGTACCCATCCCGCAGTGGTGTTACCCCAGTGTTGCTGTATGCACCGCGGTGCCTGGGCTAGGGGTACTACATGTTCCCCCACTAGCCAGCCCCACCCATCATAAACACTACAGGCCAGCCAGGGGTGTGTGTGCCATGGGTCTTGCAGTGTCTTTTGTCCAAAGCTTGCTGCATTGCGTTCCAGGTGTCAGCCATGGGACCCCAAGTCTCCAGCCATGTCCAGTTCTCTGCAGACACTGAATGCATGTGCCAAGGCAAGCTGTCCACAACTGCTGCTGGAAGAGTGGTGCAGAGCCAACAGTTGGAAATATTGGTCACCTCAGCCTACGTGTGGGCCCAGTTCATGATGCAGTTGGAGCATGTTAACCTGTGGTTGAAATGACAGAGCAGGCATAGGTACTAACAGAGGTAAATCACGTCTCTCAAGCAAAATACAGGCTAACCTTTCATCCCTGGATAACAATGCAGCCAACAAGGGATTTTGCCCTGGATGATGGTACCACACCTTCTCAGCTCCCCATGGTTCTTTTGAGTCCTGTATCTGTGCCAAAGTCACAGGGGAACTCATAATAGGTCACACAAGCAATACATATATTCCCTGGAGGAGGGTGCCTTCCCTGGCCATTCCCCTACAAACAGTCAACTGCAGGGGCCATGTATTGAATACCCAAGGAGTGACATGCAAGTCATAGTGTATGCCCTACCCCCAGGGAGCTACGATGGCCAACCACTGGCAGTGGGGGGCTTGGAGGGTCCATGGCCACAGCCAGGTTTTCTGTTCCCCTGCCTTCAAGGGTGTTGGGGCTAGTAACAACAGGTTACTGTTCATCCCCATACCTGGTTGGAGGAGGTCACCCTTGGTATGTATCTGCAACCGGATGGGGATGGTGGCCCAGTGTAACAAAGCCACCATCAGAACTGGGCCAACTTTCTGTGGCTGTTAATTCAAGGATTGAAGTACCAGGTCCAGCCTGGAACTCCAGCCCCACAAAGACAGGGGTGTGACATGCAAGCATAACCCATTCTTTAAGAGCCTCTTATACCACTCAATTATATGTGCAGCTTGCGGGTTATATAGTACATGGAATCCCCACTTTATGTCCACTTGTTATGCCCATTTTTGTGCCTGTTATCCAGTGATATGTGTTCTCTTATCACTCTCGACAGCCAGAGGGTGATCATACAGGGCATATAAGTGTTGCAGGGCCTGGATGGTGTTCTGTTGGTTGGCCACTCTGCAAGCATAGGTGAACAACAGGCTCATGACTGTGTCCACAGCTGTTAACACATGCATATACCCTTGCAACTTCAGCAGCAGCCTAATGTAATCTACTTGCCACTTGGTTAAGGGCACTCACCCTATTGTCGTTTGTTGTGTAATATTGGGCCCCTGCCTCCATTTAGGGTGTGCCTGAGCATATGCCAGGCATTTCTGACAAGCCTCTCAAATGCCTTGCTTGGGCAGGAATAGACCCCAATGCTTATTGACCCGTTGCATCAGTTCACCCCCCGGCTTGTCCCAGTTTCCAGTGTAGCCACAAGGCCACATCTCATGTTGGTGCTGACTAACCATCGGATCTTAACCAAGGTATCTGCCTCATCATTGCCGGGGGTAGTGAAAGGCATATGGCCTGAGACATGATAAAGAGTTACCTCTTTCTGATGACCCATTTCCCAAAGGTCTTGCCACATGACTTGGCCCCAAATGGGTCAGTGGCTGACTAACCCCTTTTGTATTTTCCAGGTAGTTAACCATAAGGTTAAGCCTTGATAGACTGCCCAGCTACCGATACAGATAACTATAGGTGTCACCTCCTTGGTGATCACCATCCATACTACTCTAAGTTCAGCCCATTGGCTACTTTGTCCATACCTGGTTTCAAACCATACGGTGTCAGTACTAGGTTGGACTGCAACAGAAGTCCAGGCAGCAGTAGCACCTCGGCTAGACCCATCTGTGTACCATGTCCCATCGGGAATAGGGGGACACCCTTAAACAGTGAAAGCTCAGGGTTTAGGGGCACCTCAGGCCCCATGGCCTTATCTTACATTAGGACTACAGGTTCAGGTTTTAAGACCTCTTGCAACTCTGCTGCTAAGGGACTTGTACTCAGCGTTCTCCACTGCTCCAAGTAGGCACCCCACTTTGGCAAAGTGGATGTCTGAGCCATCCCAGTCCAGGAGGTCATTACCCATGAATGTACCCATCCTGCTATTAGGTAAGTCATCTGCATGATGACTGCAGCCCATCCTGTCACACTCTCACAAGCCTGAAAGGCGGCATACACAGCTGCTAGCTGTTTCTTTATCAAGGAATACCAGAGCTCAACTCCCTTCCATAGTTAGGACTAAAAGCCTACTGGCGTTCTCAAGCACTCCACGTGCTGCCACAGGCCCCAGCTGAAGCCATCTGTGGTCACATGCATACCAACTCAAACAGGCACCCCTGGTCAACTACCTGTAGGGCTTGTGCCTGCTGAATAGCCCATTTGGCTGCCAGGAAGGTGGTCTCAGCTGCATCATCCCAATCCCAAGTAGGTCCCTTTTTTATTAACCATGCAACCGTTTTATCATCCAAGCTAAATGGGGCACAGATGTCCAACAATATCCCATAACAATGTCCCACAAAAGTTTACAGCTGCTTCACCGTGGTGGGCCAGGGATATGCCTGAATCTTATCAATAATAGCCTCTGGGATGGCCTTTGTCTTACCCAACCAGATAACTCCCAAGAATCTGGCAGATAATCCAGGCCCTTGGACCTTGGATTCATTGACAGCCCAACCACATGCTGCCAAATGTTGCCACAAGAGGGGCATCACCGCTTCTAAATCTGCAAGAGAATCAGAGGTTAACCTAATATCAGTAATATAATGCAATAGGCAGACCCCTTCTGACATTGTCAGGTGGCTAAATCCGTGGCAACTAGACCATGACATATGGTGAGGCTATGCACATAGCCCTGTGGCAACACTGTAAAAGTCCACTGTTGCCCTTTCCACAAGAAGGTGAACTGTTCTGGTTCTCTGGAGCGATTTCTATGGAGAAAAATGCATTGGCCAAGTCCACTACATAGTGGTACTGTCCCAGTTCCATCGTCAAATGGTCCATGAAATCCATGATTGATGGTACAGCTGCATGCAAAGGGGGTGTTAATTTATGCAGTTCCTGATAGTCCACCGCCATCTGCCAAGTTCCATCAGGCTTTCTAACTGGCCACACTGGAGAATTGTAGGGGCTGTGGGTGCCATGCACTATCTGCACCTCCTCCCGCATCTTAATTGTCTCAGTTATCTCTGTATGCCCACCCAGCAAATGGTATTGACGGGTGGAAGTAACCCATTGGGGTTGTGGTAGGACCTGAGGCTGGTGATGTGTATGTCCACGCAGCACTGGCTTCACCACATGCACTCAGAGTCTGAATTCCGCGGCCATACTTTGTAACACCAGGCCATGTAAAATGTCCACCCCCAGAATGTATTCAGATGTGGGAGAGATACACACAGTATGTAAACGGAGAGCCAAACGGCCAATGCCAAGGTGCAGAGATACAGGTTTCACTTTCACTGACCAGCCTCCATAACCATCAATGTAAAAAGGTTTGCCCAGAGACTTATTTGGGTTCCTATAAACAAGGCTGCCATTGGCGCCAGTATCCACCAGTGCTGGCACCCGCTGTCCGTTGGATCGCTAATTCCACATGTGGCCTCTGGTTGTTTAGTGTCCCCCCAGGCTGGGCACCTTGGCCAGTTCCCTAATCGAAGAGAAAAGCCTCTACATTTCTGCCTGGTTGCAGCAAGTAGTCTTTAAGCTGAAGCGCCTGGGCAGGACTGGGTCACACAGCAATGTCCTTCTCCCCCTTGGACATTTTCTGGAATTGCTGCTCCGGAGACAACTGTCTCCACAAAGTTAAGAGTCCTTCATTGGGCTGCTTATGGATTTTCCCTCAGTCAACCCTGGCCAAAATCAAATCTATCCACATCTGTGTGTGTCACTCATTGGGGCCCTTTTCTCCCATGGTGGGGCACCCTTCAGGTGGAGCATCTTCCCCTTCTTTATGGCACAGACCCCTCAGTCCTGCGGATGGTCTTCAGCTTGCCTGAGACCTGCCATAGCAGTGGTCACTTCATGTACGCTGCGCTCTATGTACCGAGTGAAGACAGCAGCTAGGAAGCCAAAGGCACTCAGTGGGGCAGAACTCTATAAGAGATCCCTCATGTGGGAGGTGAAACTTTCATCATCTGGCCCCTGGGTATTCAGGCCAAACATAGCCTGCTGCATACCCATCTCCCAGATGACTTGCACCAAATCGGTATACGACTGCCATTTACTCATGGTTTTGGGTATTTCACCGGCATCATTCCACACAGTCCATATGGCTGCCCTTAGCCACTCAGTCAGGGTGTGGTCACCTTGCCCTTGTGGTGTGGTCACCTATTTACTTGCAGCTGCTGATGGAGGGAGGGGTGAGTCATGATACAGACCAGCTTTTCCATCTCAGACGTGGAATAGGAGATACTACCTGCTCCCTCATTCCACAAACAAAGCATCCATGTGGGCAGAGTTTGCCCTGGATGCTGTGGCACTGCTTGCCTAATTCCTGCAGCTCAGTTGGGGTACAAGCAGTATATGAAGTATGTTGTGTTACGGTGGGGGGGTCCCTGAGCCTGCCCTTGGGGCCGCAATGGCTCTTCATGATCTACCTTCTGATGAACCACTGGGCAAGCCCACAACGGAGGTTCTTCCTCCTTGGTATCAGACTAAGTGGGGGGTCTCCAGCCGAGACAACAGACCAGGCCTGGATTCACAGCAGCCTTGAATTACTTTTCCAAGCTCTGTAGCCAGCCTTCAAATGCCCCGCCTGCACCTAGAAGTCCCCATTCACGGCAGCTTCTAACTCTTTTTCTGAGCTGTGTAGCCGGGTGTTAGGTGACCCACCTGTGCCTGGAGTGCCCTGACCTGTGCTGCATCCCTCAGGGACTGGGTGTGTACTTCTTGTAGCACAGTCAAAAATGCCCATCCAACTCTGCGGGCAAAAGCTTGCTCCTTCTTGGTGTTCTGTGCTTCCACTGCTTCAGCACCTTCTCCATGCTCGTGGCAGACCCATCTACTGCCACCCAGGTTTCCTTCCACTGGAGCCTGTCTGAGCAGCACAGCTGCCACCGGGTACCACAACCCATGTTGCGGCCACATGGCCGACCCAGAATCAGAGGGGACAAAAGGCTCACTCACCTCAGGATCCTGTTTGTGACGCCAATTATCAGGTTCTAATTGAAGTCCGAGGGGAGTTGGTGGGTGAGTGGCAGGTAGCTGGAAAAACACTCGAGGAATTTTAGAGTTTCGACATGGCTTTACTCTCTTTCTGGGCATGAGTGAGCTGTATGTACAGCGTTAGCAGTGTAGTTAGATATTTTACAGACAATAGCGGCTCTGAGCCAAGCACGAGCTCACATGGGTAATCACCTAATGCGCCTCACGTAGCATGGTTACATAACATGCGGGGCTGTGCACCAGTGCTCCAAACCTGCTGATTCATGCTGTACCAGAAGGCCACCTCAACCTACCCCTGACTAAAGCACAGCCATTTCCCTTCCACCTGGGTTTGCTACACAGCCTCTATTCACTCAGGGATTCAGCTGCCTGGGGGATCATATTATTGTTCCCAACTATTCACTTCCTTTCCTGCAAGAAGATTCTATATTCCTGCTTATGACTATGCAACTGTCTGTACCTCTCCGCAGGCGGAGATATGTCCATGTCCTGCAGTCAGGTTTGGCCTCAGAATTTGTGTTGACTGAGAGGATGTGACATCTGACTTGTCTGCACAGAAGTTTTTGAGTGCTTGTGTTTCAGTTCTGCTCTTGCTGTTTTCCTCTGTCATGAGAACACTTTGTCCTTCAGAGACCTGGAGACAGGGCCACTGCAGCAGACCAACTCTGCTGATAGACATGAGTGAGAAATAATCATTTGCTCTTGAAAGGCAAGCCACTGAGATTTTGGAGTTATTGCTGCAGCCAAGCTGACCAATACAATCAACATTGGCCAATTTGGAATTGATCTGTTTGAAATCGATCAGTTAAAGTCAATTCCAGTGAACTCTGGAATGAAAAATAAGTCCTAAACTGTCATTTTGTCTGAATATTAGTTTTAGTCTGATTAGACTGACTCTTGGTAAACTACCTAGGTTATGCCATTAGGGAGTTTCAGTCCCTTTTAAGTGATTTTAATGCATGTAGACCCAAAAGAAGCCTTTCAGGGAATTGTGTTAAAATAGGCCCAAATGATAACTAGACTAATTTTTTTCTAATGCCCAAGGATTGCAGTAGGTAAGGAGCACCTGCCATAGGATAAGGTCTGTCCTGGACCTATTTCTGATGCAAGGTCCGTATGCCCGTACGGTTGGGCAGAGCTTAAGCATTAATCTATGGCTTTGTGTAGGTAGTTCTGTTGTTTTGTGTGTGTTTGGATTTACAATTGGGAGCACAAGTCCATGAAGATTGACATTTAAAACTGCTTTCCTTCAAATTGAATATTCTCTGAATTATCTTTATTTCAGGATGTCAAGATACTGTCCTTTTTCAAAGTGTAAGTAACGTCCCATCTAATTTTAAAGAGGGGCCTTTCTCTTAAGCATTATTAGATAAGAATTCAGTTCAGTAACACACAGCATAATGACATTCCAGTCAACAACAGGCCACATTTAAAACGGTAGTCCCAAAAGATACTAATGGAGCTGAAAAATTCCTATCACCTAGTGATGTCATGGCCATCGTAACATTGTGAGTGCAATGCATTACTCACATTTGTGGTGATGCTGGTATAAACAAAAGTACTGTGCTGCCAGTCGCATAAAAGTATAGCACATACAATTATGTATAGTACATAATACTTGATAATAATAAACAAGTGTTAGTGGCTTATGTACTTGCTGTACTATACTTTTGATTGTTATTTTAGATTGTACTCCTTCTACTTATTAAAAACAAAAAGTTAACTGTAAACAGCCTCAGGCAGATCCCTCAGGAGGAATTCCGGAAGAAGGCACTGTTAAAGGAGATGACAGCTCCATGTGTACTATCGTCCTTGAAGATCTTCCAGTGGGACAAGATGTGGGGGTGGAAGACAGCGATACTGATGATCCTAATCCTGTGTAGGCCTAGGCTAGTGTCTGTTTGTATCTCAGTATTTTTTTTTTTTTTTTTTTTGAGACGGAGTCTCGCTCTTTTGCTCAGGCCAGAGTGCAGTGGCGCTATCTCGGCTCACTGCAAGCTCCGCCTCCCGGGTTCATGCCATTCTCCTGCCTCAGCCTCCCGAGTAGCTGGGACTACAGGCGTCCGCCACCACACCTGGCTAATTTTTTTGTATTTTTAGTAGAGACGGGGTTTCACCGTGTTAGCCAGGATGGTCTCAATCTCCTGACCTCATGATCCGCCGGCCTCGGCCTCCCAAAGTGCTGGGATTACAGGTGTGAGCCACTGCGCCTGGCCTTGTATCTCAGTTTTTAACAAAGAAGTTTAAAAAGTAAATTAAAAAAACTAAAAATAGAAAAAAGCTTATAAAGATATAAAAAATATTTTTGTGCAGCTGTACATGTTTGAAGCTAAGTGTTATTACAAGAGTCAAAAAGTTAAAATAAAAAGTTCATAAATCAAAAGGTTAATTTATGATTGAAGAATTTTTAAATAAATTTAGTGTAGTTTAAGTGTACAGTGTTTATAAAGTCTACAGTAGTGTACAATACCCACCACTCACTCACTGACTCACCCAGAGCAACTTCCAGTTTTACAAGCTCCATTCATGATAAGTGCTTAGATTCACAAATACTTGCCATTGTATTACAGTTGCCTACAGTATTCAGTACTGTAACATGCTGTACAGGTTTGTAGCTTGGGAGCAGTATGCCATACTCTATGTAGCCTAGGTTTGTAGCAGTCTGTACTGTGTGTGTAATTGTACACCATAATGTTTGCACCGTGACGAAATCACCTAAGGACATTTCTCAGAATGTATCCCCTTCGTTAAGTAATGCATGACTGTATTTACTAACATAGTCATTTGGTAAGGTATCTTGCCAATCCCGGTCAGCAAATGTTATGGTACTCATTTGTGAGTAAGCAATTCATACGTGCTTAAGATTCAACTAGTCATAAATATGTCAGCAGACCTTCTCCCTCTATATGTCTATATTTTTAAGCCTTCCCAGCCTAATTTCCCAGAGGATTACATTGACCTTGAGTGCTTTGATGGTTTGTAAGACTCTCCTTTTCTTGAGCTAACAGCGTCCTATTACCATTGGCATTTACGGTAACAAACTTCAATGCAGTCATATTTTGGCTGCAAAAACCCTTTCTTGTGTGTGCTCCCTTGTTCTTTCTCCGCTAATCTGGCACTTCCTCTTTAGCATTAGAGCTATTGGCTGAAAAAAATGCGTATAAATTAAGAAGAGTATGAACTGCACCCCAGAACCTCCCTTGGATCCCTCTTTCTGTCCTTCCTCAGAGCTTTCAGCCCTTTAAAGGCAGAGGAGAGCAAAGTCCGGGCAGAAGAGCACTCATGGCCAGCCAGGGACTGATGATGGATTCCAGCTGGCCAAGGAAAACAGCAGAACAAGCCACAGGTGTCTGCATCCAGCCAGCTGGGTCAGGGCATCACAGGAAGTGCAAGGGAGGGAGGGGAGCCCCTGCAGCAGCTTCCTGCTTGATGCTTACTAGGGCTGAGCCTATCCCTCCTCCCAAAGACCAGCCTATCCTTGACCTTATCTTTGTTAAGTTGCAACATAGAAGGGATTTTTGTTTTGTTTTGTTTTGTCAATCATCAGTTCATGGGTCAAAAAAACGCGTACTAAGAGACCAACTTCTTTGAGTTTGTCCATATGAAGGAAAAAGCATTTGGCCACTATCCAAGAATTTAGGTCTCAGGTGAACTGGATGAGGAATATCTTCTTGACAAAGACTACATGTTGTCAGTTTTCTATCCAAGGGAACAACTTCAAAAAATATAGCTAATTGTCAAATGGCTAACACAAACAGCTTTTAGTGCTGAATTTTACAGTAAAACTTGATTTTCTTTAAAGGGGAATAAAGGGGCTAAAATGTTATTAAATGCTTACGTGCACATTACTAAGAATGTAATGATCGGCCTGGCGCGGTGTCTCATGCCTGTAATCCCAGCACTTTGGGAGGCTGAGGCGGGCAGATCACAAGGTCAGGAGATCGAGACCATCATGGCTAACACGGTGAAACCCCATCTCTACTAAAAATATAAAAAATTAGCCGGGCGCGGTGGTGAGTGCCTATAGTCCCAGCTACTCGGGAGGCTGAGGCAGGAGAATGGCGTGAACCCGGGAGGCTGAGCTTGCAGTGAGCTGAGATGGCGCCAGTGGACTCCAGCCTGGGTGACAGAGTGAGACTCCATCTCAAACAAACAAACAAACAAACAAAAGAATGTAATGATCACCCACCCCCGTGCCTTTAAATTAAGTCAGTTCTTGATCTTTAGAGTATATCAGAATCATGTGAGGCTTGCTAAAACACAAATTTCTGGGTCTCATCCCCAGGATTTCCTCTTTAGCATTTGAGCTATTAGCTGAAAAAAAAAAAATGCTGTCTAAATTAAGAGGATGAACTTCACCCCTAGCATCTCCCGTGGATCCCTTGATTTAGTACTTCAAAGTAGGGCTTGATAATTTGCATTTCTAACCAGTTCCAGGGTGCCGCTGTTTCTTTGCTCTGGGAACCACACTTTGAGAAGTACTGGGATAGGTAATCATCTTAGAAGATGTGTGGATAAAAGAGCTCCTCTTTATTCAGTATTGTAGTAGGCATTATGGGAAGGTGATGCTAGGAGTTTGCAGATGTTGGTGATTAGGGAATTAAGGGAATCTCAGAGTTGAAGGGATTGGGGATGGCAGGAGGGTCAAGAGCTGGGAGATAAAAGAAGGAAATGGGGGTAAAAGGCAGGCTGAGGAATTCAAGTGAGAGGGAGAAACCCAGCCTGACACGGATCTCACTGCCATGTGAAGGGATTGCTTTATTGAGTTTGATTGTTGAGGTGGTGACAAGAGCTGTACCTAAAACAGATGGATAAGGCCCTAAAGGTTTTATTGTATTCCTTTCTGTGTTAAATAGCAGATATGGACAACTTCTTTGAACTTTCATTATGGTACTCATTTTCCTTGACCATGTGTATTAATTGCCAGATGAGGAACTCTTTCTTTTGGGCAAATAAGGTCATAAAGATAAGTTGTGACAATTAAATGGCCCCATTTATTTTATCAGTATGTTTGGAAGCTAAGTTGGGCATGATAAGATGTACACAGCCTCTTCTTCTTTAGAGTCCAAAGAGGTGACTTTTGATATCTAAGATTATATGGAAATATTAAGGCAGAAAATGATGCAACTATATTCTTAAAATCAAATATTTTTTATATTCCATTGGTTGTAACTATTCAATATATTATTTTGATTTTAAAAATTCAAAGCTTGCCATATATAGGTGGATAGTATTCAGTTATGAAATCATTAGGATTCCCCTCTCCACCTATGGTTGCTAGCAAAATAATGCCCAAGTCTGTTTTAAAAGCCTACTGAAAAAAAAAAATTTAATGAAATAACAGCAAATAGGAATTGTGATTCCTCTTTCTATAAAATGTAAATGTTAAAATCCCCAAATACCTCTATGACAGCAATATTCAGGAAATAATATTTTATAGTAAACATTTTTAATAAACAGCAGCATAAAATAATCAGTGTTTAATATCATCTCTGGTGTGTGAAATACAAATGCATATATCCTTAATATAAAATAGCCTTTTTGTCATTACAATTCAATGCTTGCCTATTTGAAATGCCCATAATAACAAATCAAACATTAAGTAATACAGTGATTAAATGCATGCAGTGAAAATAAGGAAAGATATGGTAAGGTGAGATATCTGAAAATTGCCATTATATATTTGAAGAAAATCTATATCAAGTTAAAAACAAAGGAAACAAGAAAAACAGACCAGATATAAAAATGCAAAGATATATTTTCACTTCTGTGACACAAACCATAAGCATAGTTTTGTGCAAAAAAGGAGAAAAAGATCTGAAAATAAAGTCATCTTACAAAACATTGTCAACAAAGGAAAAGATATTTTTCAGCTTGTGAAAAAAATACTATTTTAATACAAAAGAGACTGTGTTATATAGTATCACAGTGCGATTATAAAATACATTATTACAAGTGGTTTTGAAATTTCATTTGCTCACTTTAATGTTTTCAGTTATTATAAAATGTTTAAAATAAATGTTATAGTTCTTTATAAAAAACTAACTTGAATTTACTTTTTAACCATAATAATGTTTTACCAGAGTAGGTATTTTACTGGCTCATGGAATGCTAATTTCCCTTTAAGGGACTCCTAGAAAAACTCAAGATTCACTGAAATTGTGTACTTAAAATAATAAATATTCTTGGAAAACAATTGATTGTCATATGATATACAAAATTGTGGTTTGAAGCTTCATCATTAAACAGTTGCATAGCAACAAAAGGATACAAATATTCTCCTCTACCTAAAGTTAAGAAATGTAACTTCTGAATCAGCTTATTTATGCCACAAAAATATGTTTTAATTTATCTCCCAGAAATCTGGATATAACCAATTCTTCTAGTTCACAGTACCTATAAGTTCATGTTTGTTATTTGAAGACTCAGGTTTGGGAAAATTGCAATGCATTTTGGTAAACATATTTTCTTGATTTCTCATGCTAGTTGTATTTTTTAAAAATGAAAACATCAATGTGTTTTTCATTCTCTTACATTCTCCTCATCAAATATCATTTCCAGGAATTACTTTTATATCCCGTAAGTCTCTTTAGAAGTCTCTTATACCTTTAAAGTAAAAATGAGACTTTGAGACATTGTTCTTAGAATAAAGGAGTTTTTTTTTAACAAGAGAAAAATCAAAAGTAAAATTACTTTCTATATAGAACTTGAAACGCATAAGAATTCTAAACTTGGCAAAAGATGGTCGGCAGGTAAATGCCATGAGCTGCACATTTGAAACCTCCCACTAAGGCAAAAATGGTCATGTTACTTCGGTTTGCTAGTTTAAAGAATTCAGTTCTTGGTAACTTTTGAAATGAGAACTCAGTACTTGTTTTTTAGGAAGACCATCATATTTTGCAAAATAGAATTAATTGCCTTTGGATTCCAACTGACTGTATGAATACATTGTTGTAATTCTTGGGGCGGGAATCAAATCTGTGAACATTTCCAGCACAGAAAAAAAGGGAAAGAAACTTTAAAATTACTAGACATTTGTATCATGATGGAGTTTCCTACTTCCCTAGAGCCCATTGACCATAAGCACTCCAATGCCTCGGACAACTTGTAAACAGGGAGTTGCAAGGGGTGGGCGTGCTCATCTGTAGCCACACACTTATTTTTCAGTGTTACTGGTTCCAGAAAACTCCTATGGGGGCTGTCCCCATGGGAACCCTTTTTCCTTTCCCACAGATGCTGATCTAGGCTGTGGGGCCATTTTCCTGGCTGTGCTTCCTTTGGCGCCTCATTCCTAATCCAGCAAAGAGAACTATCAACCAACAATCAATTCTAGCATCCACATCTAGCCTTCTTATGGTCTGATGCGCTGTGTTATTCCAAGGGCAGTGTAAACACACTGTGAGAAACTGTGGGAAAGACCCTCATGATCAGAGGAGGATTCACAAAAAGGCACACTCTACACCTTCCCAAAGAAGCACAACGACATAAAAGGCTTCAGGGCTTGTTATACTTCCCTTATGGCTCATTTCCCTCCAGGGTTTCAAATTTGGCCTGAAGTTTCTTCATGGATTCTGAACATCATTTCCATAAGAACATGCACAGAGTCTAAATTCAATCAATATAATTCCTGAACATCTGTCCTGAAGAAAAGACAGCAGGTAGACAAATGCTATGGTATATATACATCTGGGGGAGAGACCAGTCATGGTGACTGAAGGCTAAAACACAAAGCACCATTTGACTTTTGGTTTTATATTTAATCACAAGGTTCTTTTCCTCTTCACTGGTTTGCAGCTTTCAGTGCTCGAAACCACATGTTCCAATCCCAATGCCATGTCATGCACTCCAATGGAGTGCACATCCCACAATGTTTTTGTTTGCTTGTTTTTTTTTTTTTTTTTTTTTTCTGGCCGAGTGTCTGTCCTGCTTGGTAAGACACAGTGAAACTTCACAGAAGGTACTTGTTGCGATGTCTGCTAAATGAGAACCTTACTTTAATAAAAACATTTGAATATAAATCTTTTCTACGGCCGTCTAGTTTGTCCTGTATACCACATTTACAAAAGTTGTGCATTTTACAGTTCTGCAGAAATCATAGATTCGGTGTGTCCATGAATATTGGCGTCTCCTAGTAAAGATGCTTGCTTTGAGTCAATTTTGTAGGGTTTTTGAGATTTGTTGCCAAAAACGGTGATACCCATTCCACCAGGATGATTTGGAATTGACATGTGTGGTAGTAAAGGAATATTTGCTTCCTGATTGGATCCTGATGAGGGCAAGCTAGTCACATGGCCAGTGCTAGTCGACCCACTGGCACTGCTTGGGGACCGACTCTTGGGAGGTGGGCAGTGCTGAATCACTCTGGGAGGACCTGTTGGCTGGTAGTGGGCAGCTGGAAACGCTGCATATCCAGGAGGTATTGGGTATCCATTGATGGGAATGAATCGCTGGTTCTGAGGTATTGGCGGGCCAATGAAACCAGCAATCTGGCCCTGTGGTGTAATACCCTGGCTCGGGAACATGTAATTAGGATATCTGGGGTTACTGAGATTACTCACTGGGCTGGCACTGAGGGAGGTTGTCTGTGTGGTGGCATTTCCCCCTGAAGGAGTAGTAGAGCTTGTGTGACTTGAGAGTCCCTCCCAGGACCGAAGCCGGACGTGAATATCTTTAAATCTTGGTCTCCTAGAAGGAATCTCATTCCAGCACTCTGTCATGAGGCTGTACATTCTGGGTGGGCAGTCTTCAGAGCATGGTAAGAGCTGCCGTTTTCTCACCATCTCAATCACTTCCTGGTTACTGAATCCATAATATGGCTGGAGTCCAAAACTGAAAATCTCCCACAAGACAACCCCAAAGGACCAGATATCTGAATCAGAAGAGAATTTGCCATACATGATGGCTTCAGGGGGCATCCAGCGAATGGGCAGCAAGGACTTACTCTGGACCCTGTAGTAATCAGCGGAGTAAATTTCTCTGGAAAGCCCCAAGTCTGAAATCTTTACATGAAGTTGCTCTCCGATTAAAATATTGCGAGCTGCAAGGTCCTTGTGGACAAAGAAGTGACTAGACAGGTATTCCATGCCAGCTGCAATCTGAATTGCAATGTGCAGAAAATCTCCGTGGTCCAGGCTGGATTTCACAGTCCCATCTTCATCACTGCTGCAGCCAACATCAGAGTGTGGGGATCTCATGATGAGGAACTCATGGAGATCCCCCTGATTAATATACTCAAAAAGCATGCACACAGGTTGTTCCTGAGTGACGGCACCTAGAAGGCAGACAATATTGGGGTGGTGCAGTTCTGCCATTAGGGAGGCTTCTTGTTGAAATTCCGTCCATTGCTGGGGGTTGTTATAGTCTTTCAAGGTCTTGATAGCAACCAGCTGAGCATGGTCCATGCCTGGGAGATAGAGATGGCCTTTATAGATTTTTCCAAAGGCACACTCACCCAATTCTTCCATAAAGCGTACAGCAGAAAGAGGTAGCTCTTTAGCCTTGCTCTGTATGAAAGAGAGGAAAAACGTGGTTTAAAACATATCTTCAGGCAAGACAGCTTTGCATCCGAAAGGAGGGACGGGGCATATAGAAAAAGGTTCTATAAACAAATTCAATAAAATATTGTAGGTCTATATATCTTTCAAATCGTTGGCTGCAACTCAGGGGAGGTGCCATAGACAACTTTCCATCACTACCCTATCCCTTTCCCTCAACCCAGCCACAAAATGGTTTTTTGCTGTTGTCTAGAGTCTTGGTACTCAAACTGTGGTCTGGGGACCAGCAACATCAGCATCACCCAAACTTACTGCAAATGCAGACTCTTGGGCCCACCTCAGACCTACTGAATCTGCATGTGCATTTAACAAGACCCCAGTGGTTTCTGTGAAGATTAGGGTGTCAGAAGCACTACCACAGAGGCTACAGCCTGGTACTCAGAGCATTTGTAATCTGGTCCTAACTCACTTTCCTGACATGATCCCTTGCTACTTCTCTGTGTGATGGCATCACTTTAGTTAAATAGGTTTTCTCAATGTCCACTCCTGAAACCATTTACATTCTTGCCTAATACTTTTGTTCCTCCAATGTTCTGCCATTCTTCGAATATTTATTGTGCTAAAAGAGAAACCAAAACAAAAGATTGTCCTTCTGAAGTACTCACAATAGAGATGGGAAGGTCTGAAATGCGGTCTTCTCCATTGATTAAATCCTTTGTTTTCTAAAAAGCCTGTTTCAGGCCCCACTTCCCGCAAAACCTTCCCTGACCACTATGGTCATTTCTTTGCTAGACTCTTTTGCCTTTACTGTGAATGCCACCACATACACAAAGCAGTGTGGTGGCTGGTTACACAAGTGGCCTCCATAGCCAGTCTGAGTTGGAATCCTGCCTTCTCCACTTACCAGCTGTGTGACCCCAGATACAACATTTAACTTTTGCCTCAATTCCTTCATCTATAAAATGGGATGATAATAATTGTACTTACCATGTTATTGCAAACTTTTAATGAGTTAATGTTTGTAAAGCACTCAGACCTATGAGTTAAAGTTTGTAAAGCACTCAGACCTATGTCTGGCCCATGGTAAGTACTATTTAACTTTTTGTTATTATTATCAACTTGATGTTTCTGTTCTTTTTATGCATGTATTTTGTCCTCACAACGAGATTTCAAGGGAAATCTTATTGGAAGCACTGCCCTTCATACCAACGTATATCCCTAGGTCTTCGCAAGTGGGTTGTTTATTAATTGACCTTAAGACAGACAGGTGAAGGCATTAGCTCACAATGAAAATAAGTATTGAATCATGACATTTGATCTTGGCAAGTAAATGTCTATAATGTTATATGTTTTTACTATTTTAAAATGTACCTCAAATTTAGTCTGATGTTTCATTTAATTTGTTAGAAAAGAAAGTAATAAAAACAATGCATTTTACATACAACTGATTTTTCAAATAATCCCCATCCTTCAAATCCTTATTTTTTAAAAAAGAATACTACCCTGAAAATTCTAACTGAAACTGACAATGTTGAAATACATATGAAATCCAGAGCTCTCTGTACAGAGTTTAAAACAACAGTTTAGATAATTTGGTAAAAAAGTTCTCTTATCCAAACTCTACTAATTTAGAATTCATGATGATTAGATTTGTTCTAGGCTGATATTTTCCAGGGCAAAATGCCCACTAACCTAATTGTAAGTGTAAATAAACTTGCAGCAAAATACTCACTTAAAAGGACAAATTGGGATTGGGGATTTTGGAACATTAATTATTCTATGCAAATAAACTGTCTCATTATAAATTGGTCTTATTTGTTCATCAAAGCAGATTTTGTGAGGTTTATATTTGGAAATGAGTTTTAGAAAGTTTACTTGTGCTGAAAGTAATGGTAATTTGTTGCTTTAAACTTTCAGTAAATTAAATCTTATTGATCTAGTTCTATTCAATATAGTATTGTTTGTAATAGCAAAATATTATCAATGACCTCCATGTCCCTATAGAGAATATATTAAATCAATTACAGTGGAGCTAGTAAATAGAATATTCCACATTTGAAAAAAAAGAATGAGGACGTTTCGTATGTACTGGTATGGGAAGGTCTGCAAAATCCTTTGCTCAGCTAAAAATAAAAAGCAACAGAACAGTTAATGCTGGATGCTGCTTTTGTGTAAGAGAGAAGGAGAAAAAGAACACATGAAACATATTTCTTTGTATAAGAATAAAGAAACTACGAAAGGATACTTGGGAAATAGATAGCAGTGATTATTGGGGGTATGGAAGTAGAAACTAGAAAAAGGGGGGCAGAGGTTCTGCTTTTCTATGCTTTAAAATTTTTCAACCAGGTGAATATATTAAATTAAATAACTATTTAATTTATTAAATTACTATTTTTTTAAATTAAATAACTATTTTTTTAAAAAAAAAAAAACAATAGGCGAATCTTCCCATCTTACTGAACTAGGAAATATCTTTTGCAATTGTAAGTCCATCCACCATTTTTCCTTTTGCTTTTAGGGTCTGTATTCTTGTGGGAGCTTGTAGAATTCCTTTGAGAGAGCAAGGTGTGGGTGATGAGAAAGGTAACCAGTTGAGCCAACCCTACTTTTTTTGTCTTGTAGCACTCAGATGATTTTACTTTTGCTGGCAAGAGTAACTCAAGGTGAATTTTTCCTGCATGACATTAAGATTGGAGATTTCCATGAGAACTTTTCCTAATGATGTAAATAAATCCAGTTTAGGTGAAGGTCCCTTGAATGGCAAAGTAGACATCACTTACTTTTTGACAAAAATAAGATCTCTACGCTTTTGGAGACAGAGAACTTTAAGGGACTGAGTACTAAAACTTCTTTGTGGAAAATGGGAATTAGGAAGTAAACTCATGGAATATTAGGCTGGTATAATGAGGAGTTAGAAACCCAATACCCTCTCCTCCTTCACTGCTTGAAAAGTATCCATAGGCAGTATGGCATAATTCAAACTAAGTGAGCTTTGGACTCCTATAAATCTGGGTTTGCATCTTGAATCTGCTGCTTTTTATGAATAATAGTTAATACTTACATAGCACTTACTTTGTGCCAGATAATGTTCTAAGCACTTAGCAAATATTAACTTATTTAACACCATGATCCTGTGGCATAGGTCTTATAATATTAATCACTGACCTTGGGTGAATTTCTTAACTTTTCTGAACCTCTGTTTCCATATCTATGAACTAATGTACTATCTAGCTTGAGCTGTTGCAGTAGGAATTAAATACAACGATGTATGAACGTAATTCCCACCTAATAAGTGCCCTTTAAATCATTCTTATTATCCTTATTAGGAAAGTCATCCAGGAAGTAAAGTAATGCAAATGATTTAGATCCATTTAAGCCTTAAGTAGTTGCAGAGTGTTTAACTTTCTTCCTGTTAATCTTTCTCTGTTCTCCTGTAGTTGCTAGTTAAAAAAAAAAAATCCTTTAAAAATGACAGGGAATTTGTTTTGGAGCTTGAGGGTGGGTGAGAAGTTGAGTGGCCTGTAGCTGGCTCCTCTGAGATGTGAATGAAGGTGAAGGCAACAAGAACTCGTGTGGAAGAGTGGATGGTAGCAGATGGGTAAAGGAAGCAAGCCAGCCAAACTTCTGGAGGTGGGAAAAGAGGAAGAGGTGGACAGGACCTTGGCATCAGCCCTACACATGGCCTTGGGGCTTCGTGGCTAAGAAGGCCAGCTGCATTCCCCTCCACTGAGGTAAGCAAATTTGTTCTCATATACTTGCCTTTGGAAACAGAACGCCTAATTTTGCTATTTTACAGATGGAGAAAGGGGCTAAAGAAAGTATCAAGAATTTTCAGGAGAGCCGAAAGAGCCACACTTGCAACTCCAAGGCTCTCTGTTTTTCGGCCCCAGCATTCTGTTTGAAACCAGAGAAGCCTGCTGGCCAGCAATCCCAGATTGAAGCCGAATGTCTCTGGAGGCTCAGCCTGAGAGGCCTGCCACCTCACAGAGCTAGGTTAGCCTTCAGTATGTGGTCACTCTATGGAATTATAATTGTTCTTCCTCCCTGTTCAGACACATGAAAGAAAGTAGATTTTACCCCAAAGTGTATCTTGTCCTATCTCACCAATATCCAGTGGGCCATATAGCATATAATCCCAAGTCTTCTCCAAGGAGTCATTTACTAGAGCTACTGAAAACTAAATTTGGGGGGTTTGCTTTGCAAAGAGGCATGGAAAGCATCTAAAATGGCAGAGTCCACAAAATCTTCCCTTCGAACACCTGTGCAGCTGCCAGCAAAGAAGTGCCCAGAAAAAAAATGCTCCTAGCTTGGTTTCAGGGGAACAATTTCCACAGTGATTTGCATTTTTAAGGTGCTCAAGTTACTTGGTACAAATGAATCCTAACTATAGACTCATTTTCAAATTTTACATAAATCCTGAACTAGTTAAAAAATCATAAAAACCCTTAAAGAAGCAGTCAGTAGACTGTACGGTGATGGCAGGAAATTAGCTGTATTGTTGAGGAACAGATGGTTTACATTATACAAACCCTTTAGGCTAAACTTGTTTAGGTCTGGCATATTGTAAATTATATTTTAGTAATGAAAGTGAAATGACCTCTGCTTGACCTCAAGTGGAGTTTGTCTGTTTGAACCAATGTGGTGGAAAACTATGAAAGAAAATGAAGTCATAAAGTTTTGGCAGTTCAATTTTGGCTCATTTCAAGTTAAGGGGTTATAAATCTGTTTAGTTTTTGTTTGACAAGTATTTGTCATACAGGGATGTACAAAATGTAAAGAAGTGTAAAATACACATGAGGCATGGTGCCAAAGTAAACCAAGTACAAAGGAAAACTGGAATGAATAGGGTCCCGGGCTCCTATCTCTTTATCACTCCCTCCATTAGTTGAAGGACAAGATGGCCTCGGTTTATTATATGCTGTAAGGCAATTAAGTACCTTAAAACTGAAACAGGCTTTCAGTTTCAATGTTAACATTTTTACTTCTCAAAGTAAACACACATCTGCCTTTAAAAAATTATATAAAATTATTATATGAAATAAAAGTTGATGCAGAAGTTAATACATTGTTCCAAGATGCTTCTTTCTTTAGAAATTTTTGAAAAGCAACAGTATTAGAGTTTAAATGAACTCTTTACGGAAGGAAAATTAAGGAAAAACATTTTAGATGCGAGTCATTTAGATGTGAGTCAGATGGGAAAATTGTAGTACTTTCTAAACTGCTGATAAGAGAGACCAGGCTGATACTGGTGGCTTTTTTCACCTTAGTCATGACTGCTAAGTGGGGATGTGGGGGAACTTTTAGATCTCTTAACTTTAGATATGAAAGCAATGAACTATGAGTAGCGTTTTTAAAAACTGTAATTACCTTGGTGGCTGTAGATGGATAAAGAGGGCAGACTCAGTGGCTTTATCTCTTTCCATCTTTGGGAAGTTATACCTTAGGTGACAATACATTTGAAATGACTCCTGGTGAAGCAGCCTACTACTAACCTATTTCCTGCTTACTTTAAGGAAGTGATTACCATAGGATATGCGGTGAGGATTTTGCAATAGCTGCCAACATTTGTATGCAACATGAAGCCTGCTCTGTCACTTTTTGCCTTGAACATAATGTCATATAATTGCTCTACTTTTGAGTCTAACTTGAAGTAGACACACAGATGAAAAACAGAGCTACATTAGGGTGCAGGGAATCGAGCCCAGGGTGGTTCTCTGGGACAGAAACGGGGCTTTAACAACAGTAGGTGCTGAAACAGGATCCATATTCATAAGTCAGCTCCAAACCTCCCCCTGTGGTCCCTTTCACTCAAGGCCAGTTAATTCCCCATGTTCTAATGTCCCAAGACTGACTGCTGCCCTTTTTCAAATCTATGCTATTCTTTTGAAGCTGATTCTGGCTGGACACAAGTGTCTACAGAAGAATAGCAGGTTTCACATGGCATTTGTGCTTGCCTCATGATATGGTTTGGCTGTGTCCCCACTCACATCTCATCTTGAATTCCCACATGTTGTGGGAGGGACCTGGTGGGAGGTAATTGAGTCAGGGGGCAGATCTTTCCCATGCTGTTCTTGTGATAGTGACTAAGTCTCATGAGATCTGATGGTTCTATAAGGGGGAGTTTCCCTGCATAAGCTCTCTCTGTGCCTGCTGCCATCCACGTAAGATGTGACTTGCTCCTCCTTGCCTTCCGTCATGATTGTGAGGCGCTCCCAGCCATGTGGAACTGTAAGTCCATTAAGCCTCTTTTTCTTCCCAGTCTCAGGTGTGTCTTTATCAGCAGTGTGAAAATGGACTAATATTGTAAATTGGTACCAGTAGAGTGGGGTGCTGCTGAAAAGATACCCGAAAATGTGGAAGTGACTTTGGAACTGGGTAACAGGCAGAGGTTGGAACAGTTTGGAGGGCTTAGAAGAAGACAGGAAAATGTGGGAAAGTTTGGAACTCCCTGGAGACTTGTTGAATGGCTTTGACCAAAATGCTGATAATGATAAGGACAATGAAATCCAGACTTAGGTGGTCTCAGATGGAGATGAGGAACTTGTTGGGAACTGAAGCAGAGGTGACTCTTGTTATGTTTTAGCAAAGAGACTGGCGGCATTTTTCCCCTGCCCTAGAGATTTGTGGAACTTTGAACTTGAGAGAGATGATTTAGGGTATTTGGCGGAAGAAATTTCTAAGCAGCAAAGCATTCAAGAGGTGATTTGGGTGCTGTTAAAGGCATTCAGTTTTAAAAGGAAAACAGAACAAAAGCTTGGAATATTTGCAGCCTGACAATGCAATAGAAAATAAAATCCCATTTTTTGAGGAGAAATTCAAGCTGGCTGCAGAAATTTGCATAAGTAATGAGAAGCCAAATGTTAATCACCAAGATAATGGGGAAAATGTCTCCAAGGCATGTCAGAGGTCTTCACGGCAGCCCCTCCCATCACCCAGAGGTTTAGGAGGAGAAAATGGTTTTGTGGGCTGGGACCAGGGTCCCTCTGCTGTGTGCAGTCTAGGTACTTAGTGCCCTGTGTCCCAGCCACTCCAGCTATGACTAAAAGGGGTCAAGGTACAGCTCGTGCTGTGGCTTCAGAGGTTGGAGGTCCCAAGGCTTGGCAGCTTCCATGTGGTGTTGAGCCTGCAGGTGCACAGAAGTCAAGAATTGAGGTTTGGGAATCTCCACCTAGATTTCAGAGGATGTATGGAAATGCCTGGATGCCCAGGCAGAAGTTTGCTGCAGGGGTGAGGCCCTCATGGAGAACCTCTGCTAGGGCAGTGTAGAAGGGAAATGTGGGGTTGGAGCCTCCATAACAAGTCCCTAATGGGGCACTGCCTAGTGGACCTGTGAGAAGAGAGCCACTGTCCTCCAGACCCCAGAATGGTAGACCCACCAACAGCTTGCACTGTGAGTCTGGAAAAGTCCCAGACACTCAATGCCAGCCCATGAAAGCAGCCAGGAGGGGTACTCTACCCTGCAAAGGTGCAGAGGTGTCTGATGCACTGCTTGCATCAGAGTCACCTGGATGTGAGACATGGAGTCAAAGGAGATCATTTTGGAGCCTTAAGATTTGACTGCCCTGCTGGATTTTGGACTTGCATGGGGCCTGTAGCCCCTTTGTTTTTTGGCCAATTTCTCCCATTTGGAATGGCTGTATTTACCCAATGCCTGTACCCCCACTGTATCTGGGAAGTAACTAACTTGCTTTTGATTTTACAGGCTCATAGGCAGAAGGGACTTGCGTTGTCTTGGATGAGACTTTGGACTGTGGACTTCTGAGTTAATGCCGAAATGAGTTGAGACTTTGGGGGACTTTTGGGAGGGGATGATTGGTTTTAAAATGTAAGGAAATGAGATTTGAAAGGGACCAGGGGTCAAATGATATGGTTTGGCAGTGTCCCCACCCAAATCTCATCTTGAATTCCCATATGGTGTGGGAGGGACCCAGTGGGAGGTTATTGAATCATGGGGGCAGGTCTTTCCCATGCTGTTCTCGTGATAGTGAATAAGTCTCATGAGAGCTGATGGTTCTATAAGGGGGAGTTTCCCCGCACAAGCTCTCTCTTTGTCTGCTGCCATCCACATAAGATGTGACTTGGTCCTCCTTGCCTTCTGCCATGATTGTGAGGCCTCCCCAGCCATGTGGAACTGTAAGTCCATTAAACCTCTTTTTCTTTCCATTCTCAGGTATGTCTTTATCAGCAGTGTTCAAACAGACTAATACACCCCATCAGAGGAATGATGAGCAGACCCTGGCCCTACTAAAATTAGAGGAGTATTTTTGGTAATAGGAGGGCTATCCCAGGTCCTTTTTCTCTTTGGAAGCACAGTTTTCTCTGAGATTGGTATTCCCTATGGGCTGACTTGCTTCCTGAATCTCAAGTACTGACCAGCATAGTCTACATCAGAGCAGGCATCAGTGCCACTTGTTAAAGCACAGATTGCTGGGATTGCTGGGCTCCACCTCAAGAGTTCCTATGTGGGTCTGAGATTGTCCATTTCTGACAGTTCTCAGTTGAGGAGACTCCTGCTGGCCTAGAGGCCTCACTTTGAGAGCCCCTGGAATAAATGGATGTAGTTTTCTGGATCAGTCAATTCCTTAGTGATCTGGGTCCCTTCTCTCTGCATGATGAATGACCACAATGTGTCTGATGAACCTAGTTGGGCAATTTAAACTTATCCAACTGAGAGAAAACAATACTCTTGCTTGAAAAGATGCTTTGGAAATATCAGGTAGAGAAAAATATAAGAACCATTAACCAGCATTTATTAGGTTTATATACTACATGACTACTTGTAGTCATAGCTTGGGCCATATCACCAGTTTCCTTTAGTTTCAATTAGAGCCAATCATTTAGGATATATTTTAATAGCTAGTTGCATCAGTCAGTCAACTGATACTGTATATACAATATACTGAAGAATATACATACAGACTACTATATGAGGGGCCATGAAAGAACCATGAAGAGAGAAGACATGGCTCCTATCCTAGATATCTGTAATCTGAATTTAACAATACCTACCATTTATTAAATATCTGCCATGTGCCAGACACTGAGATCCTAATAATGGCTATGATTTTTTGAATGCTTATATGTTAGGCTGTAAGTACTTTACACATATTAGCTCCTTTCATCCTCACACTAACCCCATGAGATTGGTAACTATGACTCACACCTATTTTACAAATGGAAAAACCAAAGAACAGGTCAGTTAAGTGGTCTCACAGCTGGTAGGTGGTCAATTCAGACACCAGAGCCTGCCTTGCTAATGACCACACTATACTCCTTGTCTGCTCTCGGACATAAAGTGCTTAATGCATCAACCCATTTAATCCTTATCACAATTCTGTGAGATTCATATTACGACTGCCCCCATTTTATGGATAAGGACATAAGGCATTCAGTGGTTAAGTAGCCTGCCTAAAGAAGCACAACTATTAAGTGGTGATGCCAAGATTCAAATCCAAGAATGTCTGACACCAAAGTTGCAGAGCTTTCTGGGAAGAGGAGGCAGACTTTCCATCTGATCCTCAAAGGACTCTACATTTTAAAAGCATGAGGACCATTGATGCAAAAGTGAAATGCTCAAGGTATAAGAGCTCTCTGGTTTTTGAGTTAGACCTCACTCCGTTGATGCTCTGTTGTCTCTGCTAGCTAGTTGACTGGGATAGATGAACAAAACCTGTCCATGGCAACCTTCACCTGAATTGAGCATGAGAGCCCTGGAGAGTATATAGATGTAAGATTTCTTAGTACCTAGACTTGGCTGTTGACATGGATCTGCTTGACTCCAAAACCTATTTTCCTTTCTTGTGCATTTTACTGGTTCTTAGGTAAACAGTGTTAGAATTATGAAACAATTGACTCTACTCATAAATGGAAATGATTACATTTTAAAAGCTTAGAGGCCACAGCCATTTTGTTTTGGGAGGTTATGGACATTTTCAAAGACTACAGCTGGATTAAGTGCCTTCTGGCTTATGCAATCAAGTTCTAGAGGGAGTTTCAACCAATATTTTGCCACACTTGCTTGGAGTTCAGCTGCATTTCTCTGGAAGTGATTTAACTTCAGAAGCATTTCTTTTCTCTATAACGTAACTTTCTGATAGTTAGCTTGAATGTTTGGTGGTGAGCAGGGTTGATTCTGTGGTTGAGTTACTTTATAATGCCAATGGGAGAGGTTCTATTCTGCCTGGAAATAGACAGAACAGATGCCAGTAATTTTAATGTCAGCTTGAGCCATCACGTGCTCATAACTTGGGCTCATATATTTCAGTCAGCCTGAAAATAAAGGCAGTAGAGGCAAATAGAAAAGCACTGGGCTCTGCACCTGAGCAGACCTGGGTTCAAGTTTGGCTCTGTCACTTAATAATTTGTGACTTTGGGCCAATTCTGAATCTGAAGCCTCAGTTTTCTCATCCTAAAAATCAGACTTAAATTAGTACCTACTTCATAGGGTTATTACAAAGATTCTATTGAGATATTGAAGTACTTTAGTCCGTTTATGATGCCAATTTATAATATAGTCATTTATAGGACTTGTTTTTCCCAGAAGTAGAGTTTCTATAGACATTGGTTTAAGCTGAGGTTATGTACCGGGCAGCCTCCCAGCCCTCACTGTCAGACCTTCTCCACCCTGATGGATTTTATCCAGGATGTGAGCAGGGTGTGGGGCAGGAGAATGTATGCTAACAGGATGGACACAAGGAATACGAGAGCTGTCCAAAGAGCTACCTCTATAATCTTTGCTGGGATTCTCTTGCCTGTGTCCTCACCCCAGTTAATGCTGTGCATTGCTGGATCCTATAGCTTCCTCCCCAGCCCACAGTATCCTATGTTTGCACAGCATTTGCTTCATTAATCTATGTTTGCACAGCATTTGCTTCATTAAAAGAGCTGTAGTCAAAACACTGCTCAAAGAAATCAGAGATGACACAAACAAATGAAAAAACATTCCATGCTCATAGATTGGAAGAATCAATATCATTAAAATGGCCATACTGCCCAAAGCAATTTACAGATTAAATGCTATTCCTACTCAACTACCATTGATATTCTTCACAGAACTAGAGAAAACTATTTAAAAATTCACATGGAACTAAAAAAGAGCCCAAATAGCCAAGAAAAAAGAACAAAGCTGGAGGCATCATGCTAGCTGACTTCAAACTATACTACAGGGCTACAGTAACCAAAAGAGCATGGTACTGGTGCAGAAACAGACACATAGAACAATGGAACAGAATAGAGAACTCGGAAATTAGATTGCACACCTACAACTACCTGATCTTTAACAAACCTGACAAAAGCAAGCAGTGGGGAAAGAATTCCCTAGTAAAATAAATGGTTCTGGGATAACTGGCTAGCTATATGCAGAAGATTGAAACTGGACCCTTTCCTTATACTATGTACAAAAATTAATTCAAGATGGATGAAAGACTTAAATGTAAAACCCTAGTGGCTCATGCCTGTAATCCCAGCACTTTGGGAGGCCAAGGCAGGTGAATCACTTGAGGCCAGGAGTTTGAGACCAGCCTGGGAAATATGGCAAAACCTCATCTCTATGAAGAAAGACAAAAATTAGCCACGTGTGGTGGTACATGCCTGTAGTCCCAGCTACTCAGGAGGCTGAGGCATGATAATTGCTTAAACCCAGGAGGTGGAGGTTGCAGTGAGCTGAGATCACACCACTGCACTTCAGCCTGGGTGACAAAGCGAGATTCCATCTCAAAAAAAAAAAAAAAAAAAAAGTAAAACCCGAAATTATAAAAATCCTGGAAGACAACATAGGCAATACCATTCAGGATATAGGCACAGGCAAAGATTTCATGACGAAGACACCAAAAGCAATCAAAACCAGAGCAAAAATTGACAAATGGGATCTTATTAAACTAAAGAGTTTCTGCACAGCAAAAGAAACTATCAACAGAGTAACACAACCTACAGAATGGGAGAAAAATTTTGCAAACTATGCATCCGGTGAAAGTCTTATATCCAGCATTTCTAAGGAATTTAAAGAAAAACAACCCCATAAAAAGGACATGAACAGACACTTTTCAAAAGAAGACATACGTGTGGCCAACAAACATATGAAAAAAAGCTCAACATCACTGATTATTAGAGAAATGCAAATCAAAACCACAATGAGACACCATCTCACACCAGTCAGAATGGCCATTATTAAAAGGTCAAAAAACAACAGATTCTGGCGAGGTTGCAGAGAAAAAGGAACGCTTATACACTGTTGATGGGAGTGTAAATTAGTTCAGCCATTGTGGAAACCTAAAATATCTAAAGACAGAAATAGCATTTGACCTAGCAATTTAAATCCTGGGTATATACCCAAAGGAATATAACTGATTTTATTATAAGGACACATGCACATATACGTTCACTGCAGCACTATTCACAACAGCAAAGACATGGAATCAACCTAAAGGCCCATCAGTGATAGACTGGATAAAGAAAATGTGGTACATACAATATACTCCATGGAATACTATGTGGACATAAAAAAGAATAAGATCACATCCTTTGCAGGGACATGGATGGAGCTGGAGACCATTATCCTTAGCAAAGTAACACAGGAACAGAAAACTAAGTACCGCATGTTCTCACTTTTAAGTGAGAGCTAAATGTTGTTCTCATAGACACACAGAGGGGAACAACACACCCTGGGGCCTTTCAGAGGGTGGAGCTTGGGAGGAGGGAGAGGATCAGGAAAAATAACTAATGAGTACTGGGCTTAATACCTGGGTGATCAAATAATCTGTACAACAAACTCCCATGACACAAGTTTACCTACATAACAAACCTGCCCTTGTACACCTTAACTTAAAATAAAAGTTAAAAAAAAGATCTGTACTCATCAGTTATAACAATAATAGTAATTTCTGGTTATTAAGTACCTGTGAGGTGCCAGACATGCTATCTCAAAGTGTAAAAAATATCCCTTTTAAGTACTATTCTTATCCTTGCCTTATGGATGAGAAAATAAAAGGTTCAGAGAAGTTAGTTATTTGCTTAAGATCTTGTGGCCAGTTGACAGCAGAGCCAAGATTTGTAATCATATCTCTTTGTCTCTACACTCTTGCTCTTTGAAGTGTATCAGACTACTTTCCAGAAATAAACTAAGAGAAAAGTGTGGCTGGAAAGGTAAGCTAGGCCCCGATAGTATGGACTTTTGGGTGGCAGGATTTTGGTGGCAAGAATTTTATAACTTGAAACTGGGCCTTCCAGGTTGGGAAATCATTACACTCAAGGGGGAGCTAGAGCAATGCCAGAGGATGAAATCAGCTCAAGAGAATGAGAGAGGAAAAGAATGTCAGAGGATGCTCCCATTAAGGGAATTAAAAGAACTAGTGAAGGAAGTGTGGGAAGCAGATAGGAGGAAAGTCAAGGGGAAAAAAAAATATATTTCAGGATGGTGGTTAAGAATATCAAAGGCTCCAGAGAAATTAAAGGGGAGGAAGACTTGGCAAAGGTCACTGGATTAAATAACATCACTGGTGCTTCCCAAGAGGCCCATGTTAATAGAATGGTGAGCTCAGAAGTGTTGGGAGACAATAGCTTTAAGGAGTGAGTGGAAAAATTATCGAGGATATTTTAGCATGAAGTGTGGTGACATTTGGTAAGAACAGCAAATTAAAAAGGGTAGCCAGACTCCAGCAGGGCTTTTAGATGGAAGCATGTTGCTGGCAAAAGGGACAGGGCCAGAGAATGTAATCAAATTTCAGTATATTCAGCAACTACTTTGGCTGGAAAGGAAAACGGAGAGATGAATTGTCTGGAAGTGAAAAAGGAGAGAAGCTGGCAAGAGATGAGGGTAAATTGAGAAGTAAAACACAGCCATCAGCTTTGGAAAGCTGGGCCAGTCTTGCTTTCTTTCCCCTGCGATGTTCCTTACATCAGCCAGGAGCTGCAGGAGTTCGACTCATGGGGGCTGTCCAGGCTTTGGCTGCATCTCACACCCCTGGCCTGCCTTGACTCTTCCTCGCCCCCATTCTCAGACTCCTCCATCTTTTTTTCTTTTTTTGAGATGAGTCTCACTCTGTTGCCTAGGCTGGAGTGCAGTGGCATGATCTTAGCTCACTGCAGCCTCAAATTCCCAGGCTCAAGTAATCCTCCCACCTCAGCCTCCCGAGTAGCTCTGAGTATAGAGATGCACCACCATGCCTGGCGAATTGTGTGTGTGTGTGTGTGTGTGTGTGTGTGTGTGTGTGTGTGTGTTTGTAGAGATGGGGTTTCCCCATGTTGCCCAGGCTGGTCTTGAACTCCTGGGCTCAAGCGATCTGTCCAGCTTGGTTTCCTCAAATGCTGAGATTACAGGTGTGAGCAACCATGCCCCTCAGACTCCTCCATCTTTTAACCTCTCTGTCTGCCTAACCTCCAGGCAGGTGAGGAGCCAGGAGGCCTGGGCTGAATGGGACCCATCCTGTTCTTGAAGGGGAGACTCTGCCCCCTCCCTGCTCCCACAGTAGCACATACCACAGCTTCTCTCCCTTACCCAAGCAAGCTTACAGAATGCTGTTTTCCAGAGTCATACCTGGCAGGGGATGTAGGGGCAAGGGAAGGAGAAGCAAAGGAAAAGAAACAGAGAAGGGAATTTAGAGTTTCCAGGCTCCTCTGAGAAGGTTCAATTTCTGCTGTACTAAAAGAAGAAAAAACAACCTCACTCAGATTGTAAAATTTGTAATGCAATATAGAAAATCCTGCTTAGTTTAGGCAACACTACAGTACTCGTTAGAGGATTGAATGGCTTCAAATCTTTGGCTAAACAAAATAACAGGAAAATAAACAGTCTTATACTTGAATGCAGTCTACTTCTTCTCCTGAACAGCTGAGAAAATTGAACTGCAAAAAGCTAGATGGCTTCTCAGAGTCACAGAGCAGTTGGCATGGGAGCCAGGACATCTCCATCTTCCTGATTGTTCGGCGTTAAGGTGCCTCTCTGGTCCACTGGCTTCCTTTGCCCACAGATCAGAAGGAAACTCATGGCTCATCAAAAGCTTTTACTTCCAACTGCACTGTCCTACCTCTCTGGGGACCCAAGCCGGGCCTCGTCAGCCAGTCTGTCGGCAGCTCCCTATTGTCCTCTCTCAAGGGTATCAGTTTCTAATCTCCCACAGGAGCCTCTTCTTCTCAATCCAAACACTCAGGAGAATTTTAGCGGCTCAGCAAGTGAAGAGAGATGGAAGCAGAGAGTTTAAACCCTGAAGGGCACATTCATTTGGATAAATAAGAACCCTAGAGTCTCTGACTTTTGAATTGGCCAAGGGGAAAAAAGAATAAGGCTAGGGCAGACTGGCTTCTATCCTTCATTCCTTTTTCATCCTCGCCTCCAAATATTCTTTTGATTTTGCTCTGGTGGAGTGTTTGTTTTCAGGACTTTTCTTTGTTTCTTTCTTATGTGTGTCCTTTCCTTTTAGATTTTATAGGTACATGTAATATTTATGTGTCAGTGACCTTCCAAAGCAGTTTTAGAGATTTTCTGTTTACATTTAGGAATTTTCTTTAAGGTCTACAGAGTCCTTTGTGCTTTTTCCAGGAAAGGCACTCAGTAAGAACCAAAACAAACAATTGAATAACTCAAATTTGATCGGAGCCAAGTCCCTTAGAAGTGTAAGAAAAAAAAAAGTTAGCATTTGTTTTTGTTGTTTCCTTTCCCCTCCCCAACCCATTCAAATATTTAAGCCATTTCTACTTCTCTGGTTCAGGAGTTTAAGGCTAAGCTCTAAGCCTCATAGTGGACAAATCTTGACACTGGGAGATTTAGCAAGGCACACCTCAGAAATGATCCAGAAACTATGAAAACAATGTTTACTTCACCCAGTCTCTGGGAAAACTCATGCCAGTATATTTCACATTTGTCTCTGACCATGAAGGATGGGGAACTATTATTGCTCTAGCCAAATTGTACATGTCCCTGGCAGGGCTAGGGCTACATCATTCAGAGACTGCCATGCAGGCCCCTTAAATATTTGTCAGAAGCCAGGAGAATGCCTGTGGTTACTCTGAAGCACAAACTGACCAAATGGGATCACACTCAGTTGCTTGCCTAACCCTCCCTCCTCCTTCCCAACTTGATCTGTTCTGTGAAAAAGTTATCACGGATTCTGCAAGAGCAAGGGCCAGCTCTATTTAGAAAAGGTGAAAGATCCTGTATTCACATTTTATTGCTTCTAATAACTAGCTCTTGGACCTTGGGGAAGTTACTTAGTCTGTTTGTGTCTCAATTACCCTGGTTGTACAATAGTAATAATAATACCTGCCTTATATAATAGCTGTGAGGATTAAGTGTGATAATGGATGTAAAAGCTCCTGGTATTGTTCTTGACAGTTTGTATTCATCGATATATATATTAGCCTTTTTTCTATTTATGCCACAAAGCTCTCTGGAATTTCTGTTGGAGATCATGTGATATAAAACAAACCTCCACTAAAAATGTAATTCAATTGCAGATTAAGGCTAACCCACAAAATTGATAATTTCTAAAAATGGAAATGATTCTTCCATGGTTCCTGCCCTGGCAATGAGGAGTACATCTTTCCAGGATGGTGGCTACTGCACCAAACTGCCGTCTGCTGTAACCAAAATGATCTAGGTCTCTCCCCCGCCCAGAGTTCTGGTGTTTCTAAGACTTCTCAACATTTACCAACAGAAATGAAAGGGAAAGAGTCTCATGGAACAATGACTCTTACACTAGAAGCTTGAAGTCATGAGCTAGGTAAAAGTATCTGCCAGGTCAACTAGGTGAATGTGTAGCAATATTAACCCCCATCCATTTGCTTTCACTACTTTTATAGTAGCACTAAGTAGTAAGGATTAAATGTGATATTATATAAAATGCTATAATATATGTAAATCAGCTAGCTAGAAGCTGGGATGTCAAAAGAGTTGAATCCCTACCCTGCCCATCCTCCAGGCTACTGTGTGAACTCTATGGTCTTCAGGATTTGTAGGGTTTTTTTTTTGTTGTTTGCTTGTTTTTAATGATAAAAATTCACACTCAGCAAGAGATCAGTGGTTTTGCTGAATACAGAATATATACACTGAATTTTTAGCATTTAAGGAATTCCAAATCCTATTAATAAATATGACTTTATAATAGCAAAAATCTTTTCAAGATTTTTTAGATAAAAAAAATTTAAACAGTAAAGCAGAAAAAAAAATGAGGGCTCTGTGTCAGCCCAATTACGCTACTCCATTTATTAGATAAGAGGATTAGTTAATTTGAGTGTGAAGACTTTTTTTTCCTAAAATTTTATTAAAAGTGATGCTTCTCCTCTTTATGAGGATCAAAAGAATAATACAGTTACTAGTCCACAGGGAAGATAAATATTTGTTGAATGAATGAATGTTCTTATGGAATTGGAATAATTAGAAAAAAAAACAGGCTGTTAGATGCAAGAGTCTTAAATTATTTAAATGAAATCTTTTTGCTGAGAGGCCTGGGATTGTGGTGCTGGCTTTCCTGAAAGAAAGACTCTGTTGTATTTTAGTTCCAAGATGCAGTGCAGGGGCTCCATTTAAGGTAAGGGCCAGTGACCCTGGGTTCCTTGCCAGGACCTCGAGCAACTCAAACGTTGAAAGATGTGGATGAAAAGCAAAAGGGAAGGGGTTGATTTAGCTCAAAGTGGGGAAGGCTAAGGTTGGTTATCATAAAACAGCATTCGAAGACTATTGGAAGGACAACACTTCCTTAAAATATACTTAAGCCAAAGAAAAAGGGATGTAAGTTAGGCATACAAAGGATTTTTTTTAAATCGTGGTAAAAAAACACAACAAAATTTACTATCTTAATCATTTTTAAGTATATAGTACAGTGGTTTTAACTATTTGCATATTATGCAACGAAAAGGTTCTTGACAGTGAAGTTTGTGAACAATGATGGATCTTGTTCTCTCTTGCAATTTGGATGGAAAAGTATGAAATTTCCTCTTTGAAATTTTGAAAAATTGCTCACGTTCTGAGTCCTGACGGGCTGGTCAGGATGATTTCTTAGGGATCACTTCTAGCCCAATGACTCTATGGCAAGGCAGTGATATGGCTGGCTCAACACTGAAGTAGACATACTGATGAAAGTGTCTTGGTTTAGATAGAGGTAGGTAGTTCGTCTTTGCATTTGGTTAAAATGAACCTTAGCACTTATAAAACTCTGATTCCATATCATTCGATTTCCAAGCTTGGGAGGGTTATAACATGGTGCTTTAACTTGAAGCCCACGGAACAAATGTAGCTCTGTACTGCTAACATTACCTTGGGTTTATATGCATTCAGCATTGACATCTCTACATTTTGACCTCTGACGTGTTTTGGTTGCCTCTGGACTGGTGCCGACGATGACTTCTGGTTATTCCGACAGACGCAAATGAAGAAGAAGAGTAAAGCAATGGCCAGGGGAATGGCCACACTTGGCACTAGTATGTACAGGATTTCCATTTTATTCTTCTCCTTGGAATCCTTTGAATCTGGGTGCAGAAATGAAAAAGAGCAAAAGTTATACTCTTTAAAGTAACATGCATAATATTACATTGCATAGTTTAAAATGAACCACCTCTTCTATTCTTTTATACACACAAATCCACTGTGAGAAGAAAGGAATCCACTGCTTATTACCATTTGTTTCCATCAAACCTTCAACATAATTTATTGAAGTTTAAAAGTTTAAAGTTCAAATGTTTAAAAACTGCAGAGGGACATTATGAAGACTTTGTACGTGTGTGGGTCCTCCTCTGATGTTGCCTCTCTTTAGTGGCAGACCTACATTTCTCTAACACCTTAAAAGTTAAACGCCACGTGAATGGACTGTATACATCCAAGAGCCTTAATGTGGACCACAGGGCTCTTCTTCCATTGGCTGCCAGCCCAGATCAGCCCCCACAAGATGGTGTTCTAGAAATCATGACCTTGTCTTGGCTGGTTTGGACTTATGGGGCCAAGCCTGCATCTTCCAGAATCAACATTACTAAGGAATCCTGGTCCCAGTGTCCAAAAAGCCACTGGCCTGAGAATATGGGGGCCTGAAGTCAGGGTCAGTTTGATCTTTGATCAGCTGTGTGACCTTGAACAAATATTCACGTCTCTGGGCCTCATTTTTTACCTCTGCAAAAGTGAAGTGTCTGTTTTGGATGGTGTCTATAATTCCTTCCAGCATGGCAGCACTGTATAATCTGACACTTTATTGAAACCCCAGAATTCTTAAATGGTTTCATATGAGCCCAATAATTATGAGTGCTAACACTTTGAAGTATATTTTTGAAATCTTATATCCCATTGCTTGGAAAAGAATATAATATGTGTAGAACACGAGACATACTTGTCTTTTTATCAGTTTGAGCCTAACCATTGAAACCAAATACTTAGGCATATATTGTCATTAATGAATTATTTGACTGGTAAAACAAACACAGAATTATGGGATAGTAATTAGAGGGGTTACATAATGACATGCCCTGATAACGAAGATCAGCTATCTTTAAGAAAACTCAAAGTGTGAAAACTCAAATTGACACAAAATTCAGAGATGATTATTTACCTTACAAAAGAATTAACCATGCATTCATTCAATTACCCTTCCACTCATTCAGTAAGTCAATAAACAAAAGCTACTGCATGTCAGGCACTATTGTAGGTACTGGGAATACAAAATTAGGTATGACATGTCCTCTGCCCTTAAGGAGCTCATCGTCTGGTAAGGAAAATAGAAGAAAGATAATGACATGTCCTGTAAATGCTAAACTGGAAGTATAAAGATAGTGATGAAAAGACCCAAAAGGTCCTTTAAATGATGAGTTACCCTAGTACATGTAAATGAGAATAAACCATATGTAGTTTTTACTTGTACACACCTTGTTTGGGAACTGTTTGGCAGGTGAGATATGGCATATCAGTTATTCAAAAGGAATACCAAAACCTGGTTTTGGGACTGTGCCCTGTGAGTTAGCCCTCAGAAGAGCCTGGAGAGGGGTTAAATCTGGTTACAGAGTAGAATAAAAATAATACGAATTTTAGGCTGGGTGCAGTGGGTCATGTCTGTAATCCCAGCACTTTGGGAGGCTGAGGCAGGCAGGTTGCTTGAGCCTAGGAATTTGAGACCAGCCTAGGCAACATGGCGAAACCCCATCTCTACAAAAAATTAAAAAAATTAGCCAGGCATGGTGGTGCATGTCTGTAGTCCTGGCTACTTGAGAGGCTGAGGCGGAAGGATTACCTGAGCCCAGAAGGTTGAGGCTGCAGTGAGCTGTGATTGCGCCACTGCACTCCAGCCTGGGTGACAGAGTGAGACCTTGTCTCAAAAAAACAAAACAAAACGCAATTTTAATATTTATCAAATATTTTCTACTGGTGCAAAATCATGTTAGCTATTATTACTATGGACCAGGTGCTTTTCATAAACTCATTTTATGTCACAACCAACTCTATAAGGTAGATGACATCCTTATCCTAATTTTTATAGGTGAAGATGCTGGAAGACAGAGTGGTTAAGTAAGTTGCCCAAGGACATGCTGCTAGTAAGTCAAAAGCTGGGATTCCATCGTCGGTCTTGCTTTTTGCCCACCATTCTAGCTACTACACTTCACTGCCAATAATTGGAGAATTTTGCCCCTATTTTCTCATAGTAGGGTTCCTCTTGTTTCATGGAGGTAGGAAGGATGAGGGTGATCTGAAAGGAAGGGAATAACACTGAAGTTTTGCCAAATGTGATGCTTTTGAAATCCCTGCTTTTTTTTTTTTTTTTTTTTTGAGACGGAGTCTCGCTCTGTCACCAGGCTGGAGTGCAATGGTGCGATCTCGGCTCACTGCAACGTCCGCCTCCCGGGTTCAAGCGATTCACCTGCCTCAGCCCCCTGAGTAGCTGGGACTACAGGCACGTGCCACCACGCCCAGCTAATTTTTGTATTTTTAGTAGAGACAGGGTTTCACCATGTTGGCCAGGATGGTCTCGATCTCTTGACCTCGTGATCCGCCTGCCTCGGCCTCCCAAAGTGCTGGGATTACAGAAAATCCCTGCTTTATACACTGTTACAGGTAAATATATAACCCAGGCATCACTGGAGGCCGTCGTAGTCAGTGCTGGTTGCACCAGTAATGATTGTGTCTACATGCCTATAGATAGACAGAAAGGAATCACCTGAGTAGAAGACGGTCTGCCACAGGGCACCAAGTCAGAAACCTCTGAATAATGCCTTTTCATTATCTACGTGACCTTCAGTAGGCCCTTTGCCACTCCAAGCAAACTCATCTGTAAAATGGGAGTAATACCTACTTCACAGAATTGCTGTAAGCAACAAATCTATTCTAGTACCAGTTACCACTCAATGTTTACCCTTTACCCTTAGACTAGAGGGGGATTCACAGGTAAAAGTTTTGGGCTAGATAATCTTAAGCAAGAAACAATCTCTCTGATCTCCATTTCCTCATTTATTCAATGGAATAAATACGATTGGTAGAGCAGGAATAATAGTCCCTGCTCTACCAATCTTATTTGGTTCACCTGAGAATCAAATGAGATAATGTTCATGAAAGAACCTTGGATAATTGAAAATTGCCATACAGTTGTTGGATGTTATGGTTATTATTAACATTATAAACCATTTTCATATTTCTCAGTACCCTAGGGGGGTAAAGTCTCTGTTGTTATTCTTGGTTTTTCAGTGAAATCATTTTGAGGGTAATGATTACAAAAGCGATGAGGCTAATTTAGTACTAACGCAATGCTAGTCATTTTTCCAGGCCAGATTTTTAGCAACAAGAGAAAGTAGGGCCTCACCTGCCTGGCAAACAAAGGAGTCTATTCTGTATTCATGCCCTATCAGATTATTCATGGAAGGTCTTCTATTGTAAACGAGGGTCTGGGACAAATCCCCCTGTAGGTCTGCAGGAGAACAAACTTCAAGAAGCTGAATCCTTTAAACAGTCAAGCTTGGCTCCTTCTGATTACACTGAGGATATGCTAACAAGCACAAGGGGCCCAGTGTCTTTTTGCCAAGTGAAATAATCAAGGAGAACAATACATGGTCATGTTGGAAGTGACAGAAACACATTCAGGCCCATTGTAAGTCTTCCATACAAAGTGCTTCCTTCCCTACACAGCTCTCTGCATTTGGCCAGAAGGGGATTCAGTCTCTGCTGGCTCTGAAAATCTTCTATAAAAATATTCCATAGAACAATGAGCCTTCCAAATGAAAAATTAGAAAACTAATATCTGCCTAGGTTCTTTTTGAAGTCCGAGCATTTGTATTCCTCATTTTAACCCGGAAGGCACATTGGTGTTATCTTGACTTTACACACAGAGAAATTAAGACCGAGAAAGGAAAAATAACTTGTCAAAGCTACAAAGTAGCAAAGTCTGGGTTGGAATGCAAGCCTGTCTACCTTCAGTGCTTCTAGTAAATTATATTACTAATCAAAATTACCCTAAAACATTATATATATAATTGTTTTTCATCATTCTCCTTAAGAGTCCGAAGTTCTCTTTCAATGAAGACTAATATCTGGTGGGAATCATACTATTTTAAGAAAATCACTTTGGAACAATGGACATTATTCTTACTAGTCATTTTAAAGGGTAATGGACACCTCCAATGCATTACAGAGAAAATCGGCTGGAAATTAGAATGTTGAAGATTTTTAATACTTTGGAATAACTGTTTAAAAGTGAAATGCACATATTAGTTACATCAAGTTAAATACTTGAGATTTTTGAAACCAACCACTTAGTCCAGATCACATGATTAATTTCCTTTTAAAAATCAAACAATTTGGTATCACAGTTCACATCTGACATTCCTATTTTATTTTTACAATGATATTCAATACTTTGATTAGTAATTAAATATAATGGAGAAAATACTCCTTTCTTTCCCTGAAGCTTAAAGCAAAGTAATCATGATTTCTTATTAAAGAGGTACTTTTAATAAAGTGAAACATCATCTGGGATATTACTTTGAGTTAAAACAAGAAAAGGCTCTGGTTTTAAATATGGCAAAGGTGGGAAGAAATCTTACAGAACCTTAGAATTCAAGGGAAATTAAACAAGTTTAAATTATAACCTTGACTGAAAAAAATTTAAAAACCATAGAAAACAAACAGGAATCACTACCAATTTATTACTTGAAAACTATAAAATAAGCAGGTTGGTAGCACATAGGGGCCTGCACCAGTGATTTAGGCATATGCCTGGAAGGCGAGAGAGAGAGGTAATTAGGCCTTCAGTTGGCAGGCTGGGCCCAGGCATTCACTCTCTTGACTTGATGATGGAAATACTAAGTAGATGATCTATTGCCTTATGTATTCTCAAATGAATTCTTTAAAAAAAAATGCTGAATAGGCCATATACATTGATTAAAATTTTCCCTGCAGAAAAGGTTTTAACTACAATAAGTTAGGGAGAGCAACTCATTTGTGAGCATTTGGGAAAAATCTTAGTAACTGGAATCCACACAAGTTCACTAAAAGTTTCTGTAAACTCTCAGGGCCTCAGTTTCCTCCTCTATAAAAGAATTGGGCTAATCTTTTTTAATAATTAAAAAATGTTTAATTGTAAAAAATACCGTAAAATTTACCATCTTAACCATTTTTAATTTTACATTTCAATAATGTTACATATATTTATTCTTGTTGTGCAACCAATCTCCAGAACTTTTTCATGCTGCAAAACTAAAACTCTATGCCCATTGAATAACTCCCCATTTCCCCCCTTCCCCCAGCCCTGACAACCACCATGGTACTTTCTGTTTCTGATTTTGACTATTTTAGGTACTGCATATAAGTGGATCATTCAGTATCTATCTTTCTGTGACTGGTGTATTTTACTTAGTCTAATGTCCTCTAGGTTCATGATGCTGTACCATGTGACAGGATTTCCTTCTTTTTATGACTGAATAATATTCCATTGTTTGCATATACCATGTTTTCTTTATCCATTCATCCACTGATGGACATTTGGGTTGCTTCTGCCTTAAACGGCTATCATGAATAATGCTGCAGTGAACATGGGTGTACAAATATTTTGAGACCCCGACTTCAATTCTTTTGGATTAAATACTCAGAAATGGGATTGCTGCATCAGATGGTAATTCTATTTTTAATTTTTTTTAGGAACTTCCATTCTGTTTTCCATAGCAGCTGCACCATTTTACATTCCTATCAACAGATCACAATGGTTCCAATTTCTTCACACTTGCTATTTTTTTAATAGTGCATTCTAATGGGTGTGAAATGGTATCTCACTGGAGTTTTGATTTGCATTTCTCTAATTATTAGTGATATTGAACATCTTTTCATATGCTTTTGGCCATTTGTATATCTTCTTTGGAGGAATGTCTATTCAAGTCCTTTGCCCACTTTTTAATCGGGCCAATCTTTAACTGACAAAATTCTATAGGTTGTATAAAATTAAATCTCTTTCATTTTGATGAGATTATTAGTGACAGACTAAGCACATTTAAACTTTAGCAAAACATTTGATCAAATGACTCAAGTGACTTATGACATTCTTATGGACAAGATGAAAGGTTGAATAATAATATCATCAGATGTATTTGTAATTCATCATCTGCCTTTATTTAATAGTGTTAATCAGTCAATCAACATCAAATTGTAAAGGGCTATGCTTGAGGAATCCTGCCTGCTCAACATTATCATTGATGATATGTTTATCAAACTTGAAATGGCCAGAATCTAGGAAAGATACCTAACTGTTTAATTATGGAATAAAATTTTAGAGGATCGTACTCGACAGGCTAATATAATGAATCCAAACCAGAAGCTGAAATTTTAAAAATAAATATTATAAGTTGCTTTAAGGTTAAAGATCTTGTTTATAAAATCCATGATTAGACAAATCTACTAAATAATTGTTGATGTAACCAAACCCTAAAAACAAACAAAAGATTACTAATAAGTTTTACTGAAGATTTAAAGGCTCAGATGAACCCAGCAACAGCATGATGCAATTGCTCAAAAAATTTTACATATGGCACTTATAGCAACATAGTAGTATTCATTGGCAATACTGGGTAATGATCAAGAACATCGTGGTCCTCTTCTACCTGCTCTGGTTAAAAAGCACTGAAAGGTGTCTTCTAAGAGCCACATTTTTAAGGAGGGCTCTAAAGGACTAGGAAACACCTAGAGGAGAAGAATGGGGAAGGAAATGTAGGAGGACCCATGTGATCTTTAGGCCAAAGAGAAAATCAAATGAAGGATGTGACATATGTCTTCAAATTTGTGTAAGAAATTATCCAGAAGTTAAAATTTGGATCCAGTCCATAGACTTGTTCTTTATTAGGTTTTTTAAAAAATTGGAATCAGTGGCCAACATTTAAAAAAAATCAGATTTTGCATACGAGTTTTGGTTTCTAGCTTACAAAGGCAGAACTTTTGAGCAGTTGGAATCATTCCATAATCACTTTGAAGTGGAAGGATTTCTCTGTCTCTGGAGATGTCTGGCAATGTTCAAGTAGAGGCTGGATGATTTCTATGGTTGCTCCCAAGGTTCTCTGATTTTATAAATTCAGTTGAAATAACTTATTTAGGCCCTTACTGAACTTTTTTTTTTTTTTGAGACGGAGTGTCGCTCTGTCACCGAGGCTGGAGTGCAGTGGTGCAATCTCAGCTCGCTGTAACCTCCCCTCTGGGGTTCAAGCAATTCTCCTGCCTCAGCCTCCTGAGTAGCTGGGATTACAGGCACCCTCCACCACACCCGGCTAATTTTTTTTTTTTTTTTGTATTTTTAGTAGAGATGGGGTTTCACCATGTTGGCCAGGCTGGTTTTGAACTCCTGACCTTAAATGATCTGCCCGCCTCGGCCTCCCAAAGTGCTAGGATTACAGGCATAAGCCACCGAGCCCAGCCCATTTCTTTCTTGAAACAATTTATTTAAAGCTGACTCTTATGAAGCGATTTAAAGTCAGTGATGACATTTCCCCTGAGTATCCTCAGCCCACCAGATCCAGTCTCAGTCCTTTCTGACCAGCTCCTTGCTGAGGCCAACCTCTACTGATAGTGTCAATGGATACCTTTGACCTGTGGCTTCCAGTTAGGTTGAACCTATGGGAGTCATTTGCCAGAGATGAAAGGCAGGAGAAGAGTATGGGTTGAAACCCTTGTTCCTCTGGCTTCCTCCTTGCTGGGTTGCTGAGGGTTGACTATATCCCTCTACCAAAGGCCACAGCATGTGCTGGACAGCCCTCTCTTCAGTCTCAGCTATATTCTGCAAGGTAAGGTAACTGATCTAGGATGGTAATACCTCCCATTCATGTTAGCCCCAGGTCTCGCACCTTTCCTTAATGGTTTCTCCTAATTCTGCCAATGCCTCCCTAAATAATTACATTATAACATTTCCCTTAGTCTATCGGCTTGTGCCATGTGTTTCCTGCCAGAAGCTTAACCAAAAAACAGTTTGTTACAAAGCCAGTGGCAACAATCATTGTGGTATTATATCAGATTTCTGTCAGCAAAGGTTAAGACACCAACAAGCACTTCTTACTGGCATGGTGGTGAGCCCAAAAAGTTCAGAGGTTTCAGAAGCTTATTGCTAGAGCAGCTTACACACTGGGTAAATGACTCAATATATACTAGGAACAACAACAAAAAAACCTTTGAGAGAAATTATTTTATGGTTAAAAATGTTCATGGAACATGACTTAGCTATAAGTTTTGGGTCACTATTGTTCTTTACTTTGTTGTTGAAAATGTATAGAGACTGGAAATGAAAGCACATCTTGAAAATCTCTGCAGTATAAAAATAACTCTTCCAGAAAGCTTCAAACTATATAAAACAGTGCTATACTTCTTCCTCCTTTACCCCCTCCACCATCCAATTCACTGTAACGTTCAATTTTATTTTGAAGAAATGGCTGAAAGACAAATTGCCTTACAACAGGTCTTCTATGAAATATGGGAGAAGGCTGCTGACAGAGCAAGTTAAAAATGGCAGTGTTCACAATCTGGAAAACATCTGCCTTGCCCCGAACTGTAAACCACCACGTTGCAGAATATGGTTTGTGACAAACTGGAGCCCAGGGTGGGTGTTTGTAAGATTATAGGACAAGTCAAGGCTATTCAGGCACAAAACTGGGCAATGCGCCCTTTGGCAAATTGTTGCAAGCCAGTGACTTAAAAGGAAATACAAAAGCAATAGGCCAGGTATGAAAACTCCAAATGGAGCCAAATGGTTCACCACTTTTCTTATCATGGATACTCTTTGGTGAAGCTGGTTTAGGAGTAAAAACAATACTGCTGCTTGGAACTTTTATTTGGTAGAGGGAGAAACCTTTACTTAGAGGAGAAACAGACATGCTGGCATGGCTAGGAGAAGAAATGTGACCTCAGGATTTGATCAAGGGTAAAACAAAGGCCCATGGTTTAAATATAAAAATACCAATACGATTGAGATTCTGCCTTCCCATACAAATCAAGAAAGAAACAAATAGGGGATCTAAATGAGAGACAGAGAGAAAGAGAGAGAGAGAACATAAGTCTTGTGGTATTAATAAAATACAACCAAAGTAAAATGGACAGATTGTTGCAAAAGGAGTTCTCAGAGGTATTGACAGTTTCCACAGCTACACCCCCAGAGCTGCATAGAAAAGCAATGATAAAGGGCTACAGTGAAATGGTGAACCTAGGCAGTGTGCCTAGATGCCAGTTAGAAAGAACTTAGGCAAAATGCTTCTTTCTCAATTTAGTTTACACCCAACCCAAGATATTTGACTTGGAAGGTGACCACAACAAAAGGTGAAAGCATAGTGAATGAAGCTTTGCAGGCAGAGAAGATGGCCAACTTTGAGGACTGGAGGAGACATGGGGCTTCCAGAAAGAGAGGAGATGGGACTTAATGGGAGAAGGGCACACCCTGTGAGATGTGGGTGGAGCTGCTGGGGAGCTAATCTATATCAGGGCTGCATCTAAGAGGAGCACAGTAGGGTCTCTCAGAGTAGATATCTTTGTGGCTGGGGGCTTCATTCCTATATCCCTGGAGCTGCAAATAAGAATATCAATGGGCAGCATCCCAAAGACCCAGAGAGATCATAATGATCAAAGGGAAAGGGAAAATAATAAAGGAATGTGTGTTCCTCTGAAATAATCAGGACTCTATTGTTTAAGCAGTTATGGCATGGTAGATGGAGGAATGGATATGAAATTCTATGGAATTGGTTTGAATCTCGGCTTCAGTAAAAACAACATTGCCTGTTTTTCCTTTAGGAAAATGGAGATGACACCTTTATCTTGTGTTTACCGTGTGGATTAAACCAATTAATTCAACACATTTTATTGAGCACCAACTAAGTCCTAGGCTAGATGCCGGCACAGATATCTTAGCACAGTATTCAACAAGCAGTAGTCATCATTAAAATGCCACGCACATAAGAGCAGACATAAAACTGGGAACTATATGACAATACTTAATGTGATTCATATTTTTTTTTCCATCTGATTCCTTCATTAGATTGTAGGCTACACAAGGGCATGGTCTGATTTAGCTTGTTCACAGGGTCTGAGACACAGTAGAAGCTCAACATATATTGGTTTCTGTGAGTGAATGAATAAATAATTAGTAATTCTAATTGTTAGATGCCTGTGACATGAAAGAAAAGACATGGAGGATGAGAAGCCAGGTCTTGCCCAAACCAACTTTTGTCTTTTTTTTCACTTTCTCTAAGCACTGTCTGGGCATATGCATATAATCCTAGCCAAGCCAATTCCCAGAATTTACAACAGCCATATTTGATTGTACTTAATTTTATATTCTGCTCTGGAGTGAAGGTTCACAGATAAAACAATCTGCAGCAGACTGTTCTCAAGCGCCTTTATTAGAGAAAGTACAACAAACGTTCACATTTTCTATTTAATTAGGCCTATGCTTCTTTTAGCTCTACTTAGTTGAAACTAAAACAAAAGTTATCAGTAGGAAAATGAGAAACCCCATGGAGATTCTGAAATCTCCTTAACTTTGAGTTAGCTAAAGAATGCAGGAATTTTCCTATGAGACTCTGTCTCATTCAGGATGGAGGAGAAAAAGGGCTCATTTCAAATCTGCCCCACTAGCTTACAACTCACTGTAAAATGAAGTTATTCTCAAGTTTTATCTGTTTACACACACAAAAACACATACACAACATACATGCATAAACCACAGTTTAAAAGGCTGAGTACAGATGTGAGTCCTGGGTCCACTTCTTATTAACCATGTGACCTCGGACACATGTTACTTAACCTCTCCAAGTCTCAGTTTTCTTTCTTGGGTATAATAAAACCTACTCCTAGGGGGATAGAACTATTTAAACATGAGATAATGCCTAAAAGTGTCAGCAGAGTTTTCAGCTCATTGTAAGCATACAATAAATGATAATTACTATTGAATATTATTGTTATTCTATAGTTTACAATTGTACAGTGTAGAAAAGAGTTCCTCAACCCCAACATTCGACATTTTGGGCTAGATGATTCATTGTGTGGGCTGTTCTGGGTACTGCAGTGTATTTAGCAACATCCCTGACCTCTACACAACAGTTGCCAGTAGCATCCCCCAACCCCACCCACTTGTGATAACCAAAATCTCTCCAGAAATTGCCAAATGTTCCCTGGAAGATGAAATTGCCCCTGGTTGAGAATCACTGGTGTAGAACAAAGAGCAGTGGTCCTAGAGATAGGAGACCTGGTTTCCATGAATTCATTTGTGATCTTAGGTAAGCCTTCTCACTTCTCTGGGCCTTGATTTTCTCATATGGTAAAACAGGGCTGGAAATTCCTACTTGATCTTTCATGGTTTTGTGACAATGAAATGAGAAAAAAAAATCAAATGCCCCAAAGGAGTTATAAAAATAGGATTCCATGATGATCAGTTTGTTAGAGGTGGGCTGAGGGCGACTGGGAGAAGACACGCATACCCCTGAGCACAGCTGATGCTGACCTACTGTCTTCTCAGGAATCCCACCTGGGAGCTACTGGCCCTCCAGCAGCTTATTGATCATATGTCAAGGCTTCCCTGTTCCTTTAATGGATATATTCGTGGCTTGGCTTGAAGAATTCAAGAGGAACTGCTTTGTTTTAAAATAAAATGAAAATGTTCTTTAAAAAAAAATCTAAGTGGTGAAAACTGCCTTGTCATCTCTATATTTAACTTTCATCTAAATTCATCTCTCATGTGACTAGTATTAACCAGTCCTCAGGATTTTCACTGTGTCCTCTGCACATATATTCAGAAAAGAAATATTCCAAGGGTTTTCAACATTGCTATACTGATTAATACTAAGATAATAACACACTGAGTAATACTATGATAGAGTTCTTCATCAGCACGGGAAGATTTTGATGTCATATCATATAATGGAAATCGGCATGATGTAATCCAGAGGTGGAACCAATCATCATGCTTGTATTTATTTCAGAAAAATCTTCAAATGAGAGATAGCAGAGTGTCTGGTAAAAGAACATGAGCTTTGAGTTTGGTCAGAGCTCTATGCAGACAGTGGTTGGCTGTGTGATTTAGACAAGTCCTGTAGCCCCTTTGAACCTCAGTGAAATATGTTAATCATACCTACCCCACAGCATGGTTGTGAATTTTAAATGGAGATGAATATGTAAAGCACCAGGCACCATGCAGGCACATAGTAGGTATCCTGTAGATGTAAGTGATCTCCCTCTTTCTACTCAGTCTGAAAGACCTTTCGAAGGTTTCTTTCATCCCTCCTAGCATGGGTTTGATCTGGATGCTGCAGGAAGGGCATCGAAATGAAAACGAGTACTTTAGGTATAATTTGTAATCCTTGCTTAAACTAATCGTAATAGAGCTTGAGTCCTTGAATCAGAGTATCAATATGTCTTCCAGCTTCTGGACAAATTACTTCCCTACTTCTGATAGGCATTGGTTGGAAATTAAGGGTCAGAAGTCACCCAAAGAACAATAGTGTTTACCTAGGGTGGAACAAATAATGCTTTTCTTTTCTTTCTTTCTTTTTTCTTCTTGAGACTGAGTCTCGCTCTATCGCCCAGGCTGGAGTGCAGTGGTGCGATCTCGGCTCACTGCAACCTCCGCCTCCCAAGTTCAAGCGATTCTCATGCCTCAGCCTCCCAACTAGCTGGGATTACAGGTGCATGCCACCACACCTGGCTAATTTTTGTATTTTTGGTAGAGACGGGGTTTCACCATGTTGGCCAGGCTGGTCTTGAACTCCTGACCTCAAGTGATCTGCCTGCCACGGCCTCCCAAAGTGCTGAGATTACAGGCGTGAGCCACCAAGCCCAGCCCATTTCTTTCTTAAAACAATTCATTTAAAGCTGGGCATGGTGGTGCATGCCTGTAGTCCCAGGTACTCAGGAGGCCAAGGCAGAAAGATTTATTGGGCCCAGGAGTTAGAGACCAGCCTGGGCAACGTAGCAAGATCCTGTCTCAAAAAACAAAGAAACAAAACAAACCAGTTCATTTGGTTTCCTCTGTACATCAACCAATAACCCGAAGTAGCACAGAAGAGTAGCAAGAAGATGAGCTTGGAATCAGACAGACCTTCCATTTACTAGCTGGATGACCCTGGGGCTTTCTCAGCCTCAGCTTCTGTATCAGCAAAAATAGGGTTAATAATACCTGTCAGAGTATGAGGATGAGGATAAAGAAAGCATGTGAAAACCCTAGCACTGTGCCTGGTGCGTGGAAGGTGCTTAGTAAGTACTGCTTTTATCCTGGACTCTCTTGCAGACTCTCATACCTTACCTGGTTTAGGAGAAGGAATGGGGCAACTAAGTAAATCTATGTTTTGTTTTTATTCCTTTCTTATCACTGTTGAAAATAACACGGAAAATGTCATAAATGAAGTGCAAACCATTACAAAATACAGAATAATTTTCCTTGAAATGATCAACAATGGCTCTGCAAGAGGTTACTTTGTAATACGTATGAAAGTATATTAAAGCCCATATGAAGGTGTATGAAACCCGGCAACACAAAGGGGGTGTGGTGATCTTTCTAAAATTTGTTGTGTTCAACTTTCCGTAAAACCATTTTGCAAGTAAAGTCACTATAATAACAAGTAACAGGTAGGAACAAAATTATAGAATAAGGGTCTCTCAAATTTTCATCACTAGGGTTCTTTTCAATATTTTTAAAACTTTTTCTTATGGATTTCTTTAGTAATTTTTTAAGCCCTTCCCCTTCTTTGTTCCATAACATTTGTGCTAACTTCTATTGTATCATACATACTGCATTGTAACTGACATACCTCAAAAGCATGAATCATTTTATTCCTCTTATAACCTCCCTACTCCATGGTGGGCTCTCAAACAATATTTGCTGAGCTGAGAGCAAGCATTTATTTACATATGTTGACTATGTGATAATTCGAATCGATTTATCTTTATATATTGACTATATAATAATAGATAATGTGTACTGAACATTTACTATGTTCGGACATCATAGGGTTTTTCAGTTAACAACTAATTTATTCTCACAATAAATCCTAAGTGTATATCATTATTTTCTCATTTTACTGATAAGAAAAATGAGATTAGAAGGGGCTAAGAGCACACAGCTATTTCATTGAAGACCTGGGATTCAAACCCAGGCACTTAAACATGAGAACCCATGTCCTTACCTATTACAATAAACTGCTTTTACTACAAACTATATATTTATTGTTTACCTGTTATTGTTGCCATTAAGCAGATTCATTTTGCTCTCTAGAGAGAGAGTATGCTTAGTGGAAAGAGCCAACAGGTTTGGGAATCCGGCTGACCTGAGTTAAAATCATGATTCAGTCACTGATAGCTGAGTGTCTTTGAGCAAACCTCTTAATTCTTACTGAGTGTCAGTTTTCTTATCCATAACATGAGGATGATAGAAGCTGGATATGAAGATTGAATGAGGTGACAGAGGTAAGGTGTCTCACATAGGATCTGGCACATGGTAGCCACTCAGTTAGATCATTATTACATTAGGAACTGAGGCTACTGCCCCTGACCCAGAGTCTAAAGCTAGCTTTCATTGTCTTGCACTGACATTTCCTTCTCTTTTGTTAAGTAGATATGCTCCTCTTTCCTTCAGGTGTCATGGCCTTACATGCCATCTGTATGCCAACATTTCCTTCGTATCCATCTCATCCCAGACCCTGACTTGAACTTCAGTCTGTGATATAAAACTGCCTCCTCAGTATCTCTTTTTGGATTTCTAAAAGGCATCTCAAACTCAGCATGAACAAAAACTCTTGATTCCAGCTCCCACTAAATTTATTCCTCCTATAGTTTTCTCCGTCTCAGCAAAAGGCAATTCCATGGAGAAGCTCCGGAGTCACTCTTGATTCCTTCCATCATTTATATCCCACATCTGATCCATCAGTGACTCCTCTTGTCTCCAATTTCAACACATATCCAGAATCTGCCCACGTGTCCCTCCGTCTTCCACTCCTCCTCCTGTCAAGGCCACTTTATCTCTCCCCTGCATTCCTGCAGTAGCTTCCCAACTGATCTCCTTGCTTTTGCTCTTGCATCCTTCCCACAGGCTAGTCTCAACCCAGCAGCCCAGGTGAGCCTTCAAACATATAAGTCAGGTCATGTCACCCTTCTGCTCAAAACCCTCTCATGCTTTCCCAACTCATTCAGCGTCAAAGCTTAAGTCCTCCAATGGCCTACACAGCTTTACATGATTGGGTCCTGTTACTTTCCCGACCTAATCTTCTGCTACTCTCCCTTTTGCTTGTTCCGCCTCCATGACTCCTTGCTTCTTTGTGGATGTGCTATGCCTACTCCCTCCTTAGGGTCCCTGGCGTCTCCCCATGCTCGGATGAGTAAGTACTTGGCACTTAGTAGGTACTCAACAAATATTCTGAATGAATGGCTTGAATAATCATCTGGTTAAACACCGAGCTCACTTTGTATTGTGGGTCCCATGACTATTGCTCTTGTTTGCCCACCCTCCTACCCTGTAGCTTTTGCTTTTCCAGCAGTGACATCCTGACTCTCCCACTATGCCTGGGAAACTTGGCATTATCTATGATATCTATGAGAACTAGGATCAGGAAGATGAATTAGTTCCAAAATAGTTCCTAACTCCAGGTTTCACCAACATTTTCTTTTTTTTTTTTTCTTTTTTTTGGTAGAGATGGAGTCTCACTATGTTGCCTGGGCTGGTCTTGAACCCCTGGGCTCAAATGATCCTCCTGCCTCGGCCTTCCTAGAGTGTTGGGATTACAGGTATAAGCCACCATGCTTGGCCCATTTTCATTATTTTCTCCAAACATTTTCTAGAAAAAGGAACAGTTAACTGACTCAGGAATTCCATTTTCTTACTAGATACCTATATGCTTCTTCTGCAGTATTAACAGACATAACGAAGGACACAGTTTACCCACAGATTGTCCTGGATGACCGAGTAATGGTTGTAGATTCATCCTGCCTTGTGGTGTTCTTAAGGCATACAGAAAACAATTTCTTCCTGCTTCCAATATTCCTTTTTTTGCTGAAAAGGTCCACTTGGACGCAGACCATTCTGGGTAACATCTTTTTCTATAAAAATCAATGTGATAAACTGTCTCAACTGTGCCTCTGAAGGGCTGGGTCCCTGTTACATCCATGAGTGCAATGGCTGCAGGTATAAAGGCAGTTGACTTCTTGAGAACGTGTTTTGGTACCTTACGAGGTGTTTTATGTAGAAACGGCAAGGTTTACCCTAAAACCAGATTGAGATCAAGCAAATACTGTCCATTTTCTTTGCCCCCCTTATAGGATTCTCCTAAATAAGAGGGGTAGGATAGGGATCTTTAAAGATGATTGAATACATTAGGGGCAATGACTTCTATTTACCGCACGCTGGGATGTCACACAGATCAGACTTAAAGTTTTCATCCAAGGTGAAGCACCAGGGAGCTTCCTTTTGATTCCCTGGGTTGCGGCAGTAGGAATGGCCTCCATTCAGCTCTGGGAAACGAAGGGCGGTGAAAGTGTGTGTGTGGGGATACTGGGAATTCCATGGCTGGCACTGGCGCCCTGATTTGGTCACACTGACGGTCCCCCGGTAGTCCACACCTGTGCTGTTATAACACTTGTGATCTGAAAAACACACAAAAACCCAAACAATTAGAAAGAAACATAGGAGATGCTGGAGCTCTCCTCTAGCCAGCAGTTTCTGGAGGGGAGGGCAGGTAATTAACCTCGTGGCCACAGCTTCCCTGCTGGTCAGGGGCCATGCAGGACAGTCTCCCTGCTTTGCTGGGCTTGGACCCAGGGCCTGCCTTGCAGTTACATTCCTGGGAGGATTTAAAGCTTTTGCTTCAGGAATAAAATCAGTCTTCCAAAAGTATTTCTAACATTGAACACAGAAGAAATCGGAACTGGGGTGGGACCTGGGGGCACAGAAGTAATTTCCTAGTGAATGGTTCAAGGAAGGTTCAAGCCAAACTTTTCCTTCCATTCTGACTGACAGCCTTAGACATGAAATCATGTAATAAGGAATCTAGTTGGTATTGTAATTCACAGAACATGCTTATCAGAGGCTGTGCATTCTGGGTTTCTAACAAAAGTGGGGGCTATCTCTGTGCTGATGGGGTCGGCACCCTTGAGAAGCAGATCCCATTAAGAAGACCTCGCACGTGGCCAGAGGGGCTTAAAAGCACTGCAGAATCTACACAGTCGAACTGAACTGGAGTTTGGAGGAGTAATGACAATAATAATAATGTTGCTACTGAGCCCTTACCATGTGTTAAGCATTTTAGATGCACTCATTTACTTAACTCACAAAATAGTATTAACGATCAAAAGGAAACTGAAAAATTGCCGGTGAGATTAATTCTAGATGAAAGGGAAATGTACACTGAAATAGTCTTTTGCGTGGTGCTGCTGATGGGGTAGGGGATGGAGGCAAACCCATCTATATCTTTAAAATGGCGGTATGATATGGTTTGGGTCTGTGTCCCCACCAAATCTCATGTTGAATTGCAATCCCCAGGGTTGGAGGTGGGGCCTGGTGGGAGGTGACTGGATCACGGAAGCAGGGTTCTTGTGAATGGTTTAGCACAAACCCCCCGTGGTACTGTCCTTGGGATAGTAAGTTCTCATTCTCATGGCCGTTTAAAAGCATGTGGCACTTCCCCACTCACTCTCTTGCTCCTGCCATGTAAGAAGCTTGCTCTCCGTTCACCTTCTGCAGAAGCTGCTATACTCCCTGTACAGCCTGCAGAACCACACGTGAGCCAATTGAACTTCCTTTTTTTATCAATTACCCTGTCTCAGGTATTTCTTTATAGCAATGTGAGAATGTACTGATACATGCTATAATACACTTACCATTACATGTACCATTAGTGCATTTATTTAGTTCTTTCACAATATTGTACAACCTTCACCACTATAGGTTCTAGAACACTTATATTACCCTAAGAGGAAACCCCATATCTATTAAACAATCACTCTCCACTACCCCTAGCCTGGCCCCTGGTAACCGCTAATCTGAATTCTGTCTATATGGATTTATCTATTCTGGAAATTTCATATAAATGGATCATACAATGGTGTCTGGCTTCTTTTACTTAGTATAATGTTTTCCAGGTTCATCCAGGTTTGTAGCACGTATCTGTATTTCATTCCTTTTTATGGATAAATAATGTTTCACTGTCTGGATATACCACAATTTGTTTAACCGCTCCTCTACTGATGGCATTTGGGTCATTTCCACCTTTTGGCTATTGTAAATAGTGTTGTTATAAACATTCTCATATGAGTTTTTGTTTGAACATCTGTTTTCAGTTCTTTTGATTACATACTCAGGAGTAGAATTGCTAGGTCATATAGTAATTCTATGTTTAAGTTATTGAGAAACCAGCTCCAATATTTTAAAATTATTGTCTTCATGAAGCTTCTTGAAGATAACTATGTCTAATCCACCACTGAATGCTCAGGCACAGTACTCAGCCCATTGGAAAATAATTTGATTAACAGTATGAAAATCACTATGGGTCAAGGTCCAGTTTTCCCTGTGCCAACAGGTTGCTGACCCTTAGAAGAGCACAGAAGGTCAGGGGCTACCACTTACTTTTATTTATAGGATCTGCCATGGGAATTCCAATCCGGATACAGTTCGCAGCTTCTGGGCTCTCTGGCTGGGGGAGATCTTCACAGTTTGGCAGTTTCAGCCTCATCAGAATCATGGGATTTGATCTTGCAAAAATGTACTCTGTTTGACACAGGACATTCTCCAGGATTTCACATTCATCGCGACACAAGTCACGGGGCTTTGGGACGGATGAAGTTTCATCGCAGTACGGGAAGGCATAGTGGCACAGGGAAGGAATGGCGAACTGAGAACACTTATCAGATAAGTGACTGGAAGTGCCAATCATAGTGAAGGCAGCTGGAAAACAAACACAATTATTAACTCCCAGAGGCCAGGGTTTATCTTCTTTGGTTATCTAGTCAACGGATATCAGATATAAACACACATTGCAAGGAATCCGCCGTGCTGAAACAGACAAGGCCCAGAGAAGGAGATTCATTTCAGATGTCTAAGCAGCTTACTTTCACTGGCTTGAAAAAAACCATTTTGACTACAAAGTTAATAAAACAGGATTAAATTACATATGTACCATTTCCTAATAAAAAAATTAATTAAGTTAAAGTACAATATATTTTTCATTTTTTACTACAAAGCAATCGAACTTTGTGTTTCATCTGGTGCTTTTTATTAGTTTTGTGAGGCTTCTAAAACATTTGACAGCTGTAGGGACAGAACTTGTTTCCGCAGTGGCTGAGCCTGAGCACAGGATCCAGTTCTGTGTCTTGCTGGACGGCAAGAGTTGCTGGATGACTTAGGGTAACTTGCTTAATTTCTTTGTGGCTGGAATACTTTCTACTCCATCTTCTGAAAATGAGGCAACTCACTTGGAAGTTCTCAAAGAGCACAGTACAATTGTTCCAATGTGTATCATCGAATATTAGTGGTTCCTTAGCTTAATCTCTTACTAGTAGGGTAAGATGCACAAAAAGCGCACCAGCCTACCTTTGAATACCGCTATTGACAAGGAGCTTACACCTCACAAGGAAACCTAGGAGGTTGCTGATACATTATTTCCCCAAGTATGTTGCTCAGAACATTAATCATGTGAAATAGAATAGTGCTTGAGAAACAAGCCAACAAGTTTGGGAAACGCTGGGATAAACAAAGGTAAATGAATTTAAAAAAAAACTTTCCACCAGGCTGATACCCATTAGAAATCTCCAAGAGAGGATTTTTATAAATAGGTTACCAATTATTTACATCAAAACTTCCACTTTTTTTTTTTTTTTTTTTTTTTTTTTGAGACAGTCTCACTCTGTCGCCCAGGCTGGAGTGCAGGGTTACGCTCTCAGCTCAGTGCAACTTCTGCCTTCCAGTTTCAAGGGATTCTCATGCCTCAGCCTCCCACATAGCTGGGACTACAGGCATGTGCCACCACACCCAGCTGATATTTGTATTGTTTTTTAGTAGAGATGTGGTTTTGCTATGTAGGCCGGGCTGGTCTCGAACTCCTGGCCTCAAGTGATCTGCCCACCTCAGCTTCCCAAAGTGCTGGGATTACAGGAGTGAGCCACTGTGCCTGGCCCAAAATGTCTACTTGCTTTTGTGGATATTCAGTTAAAAGTACATTAAGGCATTCTTACATTAGGTTGAAATGGGTGTTTAACAGCTCCTCCCTGTCAGTCTTACTGCTCTTTGAAATTTCAGAATTCTCTTCCTGTTGAAATGAGGGCTTCAGAAAATGGCAACTACCTATTCCTACAGTTGCTTCTTTTGGTTGGTTAAAAAGTCCTCCAGGAGGCTGATGCAGGAGAATGGCATGAACCTAGGAAGCAGAGCTTGCAGTGAGCCGAGATCGCGCCACTGCATTCCAGCCTGGGTGACAGAGCGAGACTCCATCTCAAAAAAAAAAAAAAAAAGTCCTCCTCCCTCTTCCCCCCAGCCTCCTCTCAGTTCCTTCACATTCCTCATAGCACATAGCTTCCACATAGCTTCTGGGCCTTTTGCTGTTCTATGTTTCTGCCTTGGGTTTGTTCTTACCTCTCCTAGACCCTAGGGTTGCCAGATAAAGAAAAAGACAACGGTTACATTTTAATTTCAGATAAATATTTATGACATACTTATACTAAAAAATTATTCGTTGTTTATCTGAAATTCAAATGTTACTGGGTATCCTGAATTTTTATTTGCTAGATATGGCAACCTCATTAGAATGTCATGAAGACAATGTGAATGGATTGCAAAGGATACGTGACACAGAGGCATCATAACTACACTAATGGAAGGGGACAAAGCTGCTGTAACCACCAGAACGATGCGTGCAAAATCCTATGAGGCAGCCTATGCTACTTTAACTCATGTGTGCTAGTAAGTGCTTCGCTATTAGATTTCTATCAAAAGGATACTTTCAATTAAGAAAAATGAAGAGTGAAATATTGAAAGCTAGAGCAAGAAGAGACCAATGGTCATCTTGCTTCATCACTCATTTCACAGATGAAGAAGGGGACTTTTTGGGAAAGTAAGCGATTTCCCCAAAGTTCACTGTCATAATAGTTCTGGGATGAGTGTCCAGAACTCTAAACTCTAAATTCATCCCCTCTCAGTCGACATCATGTTGCTTCTAAACAGTAAGCTCTGTGAGGGCAGAGACGTACCTGGCTTATTTACACACCATCACCTCTCCCATTCAGATTCAGTTCCTGGTACGGTGAAAGCACTTAATAATATTTATTGAGTGTTTGAATGAATGTGAGATTTCACAAAGCTTCCTTTTCCTCTAAGAGCAACCTTCAATAAATTACTTTAATGTAAATTCCAGAGCACAGAGATCATGTCTCATGCTTTTTTATGGTCCTGCTCCCAACCTCCATGCTGAGCTTAATCCTTTGTCAAGAGAGGAGCTCAATAAAACTTTTGGCGAGAAAAATAGTTATTCAAGGGACAAATATAATTTCATTGGTGCTACCTACCTGTGATCTGATTTTCTATTTCCCCTTGCATGTGCAAAGACTCCATATAGACGGTGCGGTTGCCAATAAATCTTGCACATGCAATCCCTCTGTATGGCTGACAGAATCCATCTTCTTCATACTCATCTCTGAAAGAAAGCATAGACAGACATTAGCTGATGCACCACATACATACAGGGCACAGCAAGCTCTGACTGCGCGATACCCTAAATAGTCACTAGGGGGCACAGTTGGGCACAATATACAAAAGACTGGGCTAAGGAATTGGGCTTTTGCTCAGTTCTTAAAACATCTGTTGGTCACATTGGTCAAGTTTCCTACACCCCCAGAAAGTCATCCTGAAGCACAAAATCATCCTTAAATATGGGAGAAAATGCTTTTATTTTCGCAGCTGGTGGTGGGCTGGAAGATGATGTAGTTATAGGAGTAAAGAGGAAATGAGTTGGAAATCTGGGCACATGTTCTACAGTTTTTTGTTTTTTAAGCACAGATTATTTCTGCTTCATTTGCTACAAAGGCGTGGGCGAACAGATCCACTCCAACTGACACGTCAATTAGGGGGATCCATGGGGTGAGAAGCTGGGTGCAGCTGGAAAGAAACCCGAGGGTAGCCCAGTTAGGTGACTCTTCACTGCTGAACCTCCATTATCTCTACCCTGCCCAAAGAGGACCAGGGCAAACCATAGTCTGGAGAGTTTGAATTGAGTCACTAAATCCAAGGAAATCTAGAGAAAATGTCCATGGAAAGTTTGCTTTCATGCTTCTCTACAATTTAAAAAAATAGTCTTATTAAAATTTTGCGGCCTCAAAATTATAAGACTTTTTTTATAAGGAGGGGTAATAGATTTCATCTTGAAGACAGAGGGACACCAGAAATGACATGATTCATGTGCCAGGTAAAAGGACTGGAGATCTAAGGCTGGAGATGAAGACCCAAGATGGCAGGCTCAACCTGAAAGGGCAGAGGCTACCATCTCCCACGAGGGCCTACGATGAGCACAAGATCCCTCGAGTGCAGAACATCCAGCTGTTTCTCAAAGGCAGACCATAGCCAAACCAAAGTCTGCCTGCCACGTGTATAAGTTGACTTCAACCCTGGATGCTCCTCCTCAATATATCATCTCAAAAAAAAAAAAAAAAATACACCGTTTTTCCCCTTTGGTTTCTTCTAAGTAAAAATCCCTCAGAGCAAAGTCAGGAGAACAAAATTCTCTTCCTGAGTTTAACATTTGGGCATCCTTAGGCAAGCTGTCTGAGCCCTCTGAGCCACAATTTTCTCATCTACAAGTTGGACACAGTAACTGACTTCTCTGCCCTACATGGGAAAGTCATTATGATCCCATCAGATAATGTAAAAGCTTTTTTAAATTGTAGAGATAATATATGGCTATTCTTAAAGTATTTACAATGACCAAAGGGACATTTATTTAAAAGACAGTTATTTACTAAGCTCCCACATCGTAAGAGGCACTGCGGTTAGTGCTGTGGTGCTCACTTCCCAGCTTGAAGGTCTAGCGTAGGAGTCTAGAAAGTCAAAGTATAGGAGCAAACCAAGTGGAAAAATCACCTGATAGGACACTAATTTTCTGCTTCTCTCTACTCCCATTCATTAAAAGAATCATTTTAAAGGTGAAAGTGGGGGAAGTATCTTCAGTTTAGTACTGAAAATAGTTTGTGTTGCAAAGCTCTTAAAAACTTAACCTTTAAATACACATACAAATGAATATATCATATACCTGACATAAAGACATTGAAATTTTACTGTTGCACAATCCTGCAAGCACTCCACATGTTTACTTTCATAAATCCTAGAGTAATGCTGAAGCCTTTTTGGCTTAAATTTTACTTGGGTTGTAAAATTAACCCAACTTTTATTGGGTAACTAATACCATAAACCTATGGGGAGAAAGAAGGTTCTTGATGACCCACACTTGGATCTTGGAAACCTAAGTACAGAGACCAGAATACACCCCCATGCCACCCCCCTGCTATTACAGATGATGCTTTTCTATCCCTAGGCATTAGCAGAGCCCTGGATTTTTAAGGTGTCATTATGAGAACACTTCTTTCTCCCCCACATTAAACTCTCAAGGCTTCAATTTATATCTCTTGGGAGGACAAAACCCTGGAATTACCCCCAGATATAAATCCCCAACCTACTGGGAGTTCCCATATTTTATGTGTGAGGCTTAGGCTAAACTTCTTACCACCTTTCCAGTTCAAGACTCTTAAAAAGACTCTTTGAATACTTTTTTTCAGAATAAAATGGAATGCAATTCCTTGGCTGCACATTTCTTATCAAAGGCTTAGAACTGCAGGTGTATTAAATTTTTGACTATTCCCAGAATTCCTACTATCCTGTTCAGTCTCCTGGGAGACAGATTTTTTAAAAAAGAACACAAAAAAACCCCAAAACCAGTATGTACTGTTATCTGCTGGGGAGTGGTTCTGTCTTGGCTCCTTATGAGAATCGCCTTGGCAGCACACTGGGAGGCCGAGACGGGTGGATCATCTGAGGTCAGGAGTTCAAGACCAGCCTAGTCAACATGGTGAAACCCCATCTCTACTAAAAATACAAAAATTAGTTGGGTGTGGTGGCAGGTGCCTGTAATCCCAGCTAGTCAGGGGGCTGAGGTAGGAGAATCACTTGAACCCAGGAGGTGGAGGTTGCAGTGAGCCAAGATCATGCCACTTCACTCCAGCCTGGGTGACAGAGTGAGACTCCATCTCAAAAAAAAAAAAAAAAAAGAATGAAAGAATCTCCTTGAGAAGCTTTAGGAAATACGAATGCCCAGGCCCCACCTTAGACCTATTAAATCATAGTCTCTGGGGATGAGGCTTAGGTATCTATGCTTAAAGAAACCTATCAGGTGATTTGAATGTGGTTGAGAACCACAACACTGAAAAAAACCAAACATGTATTAAGTGTCTGCTGCTCTGGGCTGGGTACTGTGTTAGGTGCTTTCTTCAAAGCAGCCCCTGATGAGCTATTATCCTTATTTTACGAGAGAGAAACTCAAATTCAGAGAAGTTAAGTAACTTGCTCAAATTCACAAAGTCAGTCTGTGGTGGAGCTAGGATTTAAACTGAAACTCAAGATGAGGCCACTATCCCATGTTGTTAGATCTGTAACTATGTTCTGCGTTTCAATACTACTCTTAGTTAAATCAGCCTACTCGAGAAAGAGACCTTATAACGAGTCTTGATTCTGTATCAGATACTGCTAAGTTTTATATACTTACAAAACAGATACTAAGTCATTTTATCCCAACAACAATCTTATAAAAAAAGGTAAAGATGTAATTATTCCTGTTCTACAGATGAGAAAAGTGAGACTCAGAAAGCATAGAGAACTTATCCAAAGTTACGCAGCAAGTAGAAGAGCTAGATTTGCTCTAAATAGTGTTTCTAACCACACTCTATAACTTCTTTCCAAGTGGCTTGGCAATGGAGTTTTTGCACTGCTTAGAGGGGCTTTCTGCTGTGGAGAAGCTTTGGTGCATTCTGGGTGGTAAAAGGTTTTCTTTTAAACATAAAGTCAAAAACACATTTCTTTCTTTTCCATTTTTCCCCACTGGCTTTGGCTGGAGGGGAACAAATGCTCCTCCAGCATTAATCAGCTTTATGCTTTTTTCCAGCTCACACTTCTTTCATCATTGATGTCTTCCTGCCTTACTCCATGCTCAGCAAATTAAAAACATGAAGCAAGTGGCAAGGTAGCAAAAGTGCAAGGGCACTTGCAGTGAGCGTGCCCAAGGCTGCATTCAATGGAGAAGAAAAGTGCATTGTGAAAGGGCAAATGGAATTTGGCCATTCATCACAGTGGCTGGCACCAGCGTGCGCCGCTGCCTCACCATGATGTCAAGGTGCAGGGGTGCTTTGTGATGGGAGCTCATGTTTCTCATAAAGGTAATTGAGTTACCATGTTGCCAGCCTCTACAACCTGCCATATTCTCTGCCATGGGATTGGGAAACGCAAATGTGGTCTGTAATCCACCTCCAGGGTCTCCTCCTTCTCCAGGGCAAGGAGCTTATGAAGGATATTTGAAGAGTGCTAAGAGGGATCGTGGAACAGTGCGGCAGCAAAAGGAGTGCCCATCTAGGAACCACTGCAGAGCAAGGAAAGGAAATGCTGTTCTGCAGAGACTTCATAATCTAGTTCTTGCCAGTTTTTCCAGCTTCCTTCCCTGCCAGACAAGCCTACAAGCCTGATGGTATTAGTCATGTGGATGATCTTGCTAGTCTCAAACCACAGGATGCACTTCGATGCGGACATGGCTTGACCCATGCTCATCCTTAGGGCTGGCATGCCCTCCACCCCCTCGTTCTCCTTGTGAATGTTCTCATCTTTCAGACCCAAATGCCCCTACCTTCCCTGGAAAGTTAGTCACTCACTAACCCCACCCATTCCCAGTACTTTCATCAAACCATTCCACAGATTTCCAGTTTCATATACTATTTTATCTGTTTAGCGCCCACCTTACCACTGACAGGCCAATAGAACTAGAAGAGATGAGGAGACTATCCCAGGGTAGCCCACCAAAGTGGACCCTTCTCCATACCAGGAGTATCCTCTAATTGGAAGCGATTTTCTTCCTCATCAGAATATACAGGGCATGGGCAGACATAGCTGAACCGATCGGTACTGACAAATTTGGTCCTAAAATATTCTTTTTGGGGATAATTTCAGTTAAAATGCCTATCTCTCTCTCTTTTTTTTTTTTTTTTTTTTTTTTGAGATGGAGTCTCGCTCCCATTGCGCAGGCTGGAGTGCAGTGGCGCGATCTCAGCTCACTGAAACCTCCACCTCCTGGGTTCAAGCGATTCTCCTTCCTCAGCCTCCTGAGTAGCTGGGATTAGAGGCGTGTGCTACCATGCCTGGCTAATTTTTGTATTTTTAGTAGAGACAGGGTTTCACCATGTTGGCCAGGCTGGTCTTGAACTCCTGACCTCAGATGATCCACCTGCCTTGGCTTCCCAAAGTGCTAGGATTACAGGTGTGAGCCACCACGCCGGGTCTCCTACCTCTTCTTAATGAGAAGAGAATGGATGCAGAGGGACTTTCCTGACTGTAAAATCTCACTTAAACCAAAGAATTGAAAACAGGTACTCAAACACACACTTGTACACAAATGTGCAGAGCAGCACTATTCACAATAGTCCAAAGGTGGGAACAACTCAGGTGTTCATCAACAGATGAATGGATAGACAAAAGGTGGTAGATACATACAATAGACTATATTATTCAGCCATGAAAAATGAATGAGGTACTGAAACAGGTTACGATGTGGGAGAGCCTCAAAAACATGCTAAGTGAAATAAGCTGAACAAAAAGGGCACATATTGTATGATCCCATTTATATGAAATATTTAAAATAGGTAAGTCTTTAGAGAAAAGCAGATCGGTGGTTGCTAGGGGCTGGGGACAGGGAGGAATAAGAAGTAACTGCTTAGCGGGCAAGGAATTTTATTTTGGGATGATGAAAATGTTTTGGAAGTAGACAGATGTGGCGGTTATACAACATTATGAATATACTAACTACTATTGACTTATTCATTTTAATATGGTTAATTCTGGCTGGGTGCAGTGGCTCATGCCTATAATCCCCGCACTTTAGGAGATCAAGGTTGGGAGGATTGCTTGAGGCCTGGAGTTCAAGACCAGCCCGGACAACATAGTGAGACTCTGTGTCTACAAAATTAAAAATGAAAAAATTAGCAGGGCATGGTGGCACACACATGTAGTCCTATCTATTCAGGGGGCTGAGGCAGGAGGATTGCTTGAGTCCAGGAGTTTGAGGCTGTAGTTAGCCATGATCACATCACTGCACTCCAGCCTGGGTGACAGAGCAAGACCATCTCTTTAAAACATAACGATAACAAAATAAATAATAAAATAAAATGGTGAACTCTATGTTATGTGAATTCCACCTTAATTAAAAAAAAAATATCATTTACACAAGGGCCAAGGTAGAGGGACCTTGGGAGAGGGCCAATGGTTGCAAATTCAGGCCTCAAGGTGGGGGAGGTCGTGGGGGTAGCTTTGTAAGTCACTTCCAAGCAGACTAAACTGATATAAGCATGAGCAGTTTACTCAGTATCAGCAGGTTCTTTTGTTCTGATTCTCATGGCTCTTCAAATGGAATGCCGGGGACAGTGACTTGGCAATCCCACAGCATGGCAGCCTCATAGGGACAGAGAGCAGTGAAATAAATAGCCCAACACCTCTGACCTCTGAATTTATCCCCCCAGCCCCTTTCATACACCCTGTTTTGAGCCATGGAGAGGAAATCACATCAAGATGGCTGCCCCTAAAACCCTTGAAGGAAAGTCATCACACAGCTCAAAGAGATGGACGGTCCATAGGTTTGCTCAGTGAGCAGTTTATTAAAGTGGGAGTTATTTTCTGTCATATGGATAGCAATTTCTCTTTACCCAAGCAAACACAACTTACTAATGCTTTCCCAAAAGACCATCATGGCCATGAATAAATGGAAAACATCCCTTTTTAAAACTTGTGAATCGGGCCACCTATTAGCAGATCTGGTTAAAAGCATGGCCACATAATGGCTCTAGTAACCTCGAGCTGAGTGTGAAGCTTCCCACTTCAGAGGCAGCGTTCTTCTCCCTTGGGAGGGGCAAACAGATCTCTCAAGGTAAAATTAGCCCTGGCTTTTAATAAAAATGGGGCTACATTATAAAATTAAGGATCCAAGTAAAAGATGCAGAATTATTCCAATGTAGACAGAAGATCAGAGACATAGAAACTTTAAGAACAGATTATAATTGGAGGTGGTCTGAAAAGTTACCTCCTATTCCAACCTACCTCCTTCCTCTTCTGGAGGAGACTTCAAGCCTGGAAGCAACCTTAGTTAACTGCTAACCAGGAGGAGGGGGCATCACTTAAATCTTATCAGCCCTAGCTGCACACACCTTGAAATGATGGCCCTGGGAGAGGGAGCATCTCTGGACAGGTATAGGCAGAGACAAGGAAAGGGATGGCTGGGGAGGGTGAGGATCCAGGAAGGGGAGCTGTCGGGAGCACCAAAAGCAGACTTCACCTCAGGCTGGCTGTGGTCAAGAGATTACAGGTTAAATATGTGATCCTGAAGTTATCTCACAAACTCTGCTTTCTAAAGACCGGTCTGAAAGTGAGCATCAAAAAGTACATGTTAACATACTTGACCTTTAAGGTCAGTTTTGAAAGGGAGCCAATCAAGGCATGTCAACCCAGAGGGCCAACGACTCACAGAGAAGCCTTAAATCTATAGGGTTGAGAATTCAGCTAACCCTTACATCCCTTTTTCTTTTATTGGAATGCCTTTGTAAGCATAAGCAATTTTGAGGTGACTGTGTCGAATATCACATGCTGGTTCCCACATCTGGTCAGTGACAATTTGGTTAACATTTATTCGCTTAGCTAAAGAGTCCCTCGACCTGTTTCATACCACCTTTTTTTCTTTAAAAAATTAAATCAAAATTTTGAAGTTTTTTTCCCTTGGCTATTAAAACAAACAGATGAATAACGTTCTGTCATAGTTTCCAGAGCAGCACGGAAGAGTTACTTGTGTCCAACTCAGAAAAGGGAAGGTATTGGCTTTGCTTCATAGTGATGTTTGGAAACACAAGGGTTTGCATTTCACTTGGAACAGGAGCAGAATTACCCAGGCTTGTATCTCACAAACGTAATTTGAGGGAAAATTATGTGTGTAATATATTTTATTCCTATTTAAACACACATTTGAAATGATAGGACTGCACTAGTACAGTATTTGCAAGAATACAGAAGACTGCTAATCAAAAGAATGAGTGATTTTTTACTGTCTTCAATTTACTGAGGTTTTCATGATAGGGCGGCCTTGCACCTCTAAGAATGCTTTGGTTGTTTTTACTTTTCCTCTGTTAAGGGCCTGCTTTGCCCCCAAGGTTAGGCTGAAGCTGGAAATGCATAGGTGACACTTGGAGTCCCCGAGTTCAGCGCCCCCAAGTTCTTATTAGAGACCCCTTGGATGTGCTTTGAAAGTTCTCCAAATATCAGGCATTCAAACCACCCCCTAAAATTGCCTATTAAGAATAATGGGACTTTAGAATAATATGAAATTCACACATACCAATCTAGGCAGATTTTCTACCACAAGTGTTACTGGAATTGCTTTGATTTTTTTTTTCTTTCCTTTTATGCCTTTGGGCATGGATTGAAAAAGAGAAGGTTTGTGGAAAGAGTGGTAAATGGAATTCAGGGACATCTTAGAAGGGTTTTAATTTCATCTTACTACTCAGAAGTGGGGTGAAACCCAATCCCCAATTCTTGCTTTTCTGTCTCATCTCAGCTTTGTTTCCCATTCCTTCTGCTGATGGTGGTTAAAAAAAGACTACTGGCCTCCGTAAAAAGCAATGGTGAGTTTAATGCCTCTCTGTACCCTCAACTCCAGCACCCACCCAAAGGCAATACAGAGATGCCCATGTCACAGGTAGAATCTTACAAATTTTTATAATGGCAGAAGCAGCAATTCACATTAAAATAATGATTAATTTGTAATGCACAGATTTGTCCTGTTCCTCCTCTGTTTCAATCTTCCTAAAGGCTTCCCTTGTCATGCTAAGTAAAACTGGCATCTTTACAATATCCTTACATCATCTTCTCCTGCCTCACCTTGCCTCTCTGACCTCATGCCCTGCCACTTCCCCCCGACACTTACTTGATTATTACCTCTTGTGTTAATATTTAGTCTCATCAGGCATACTCTGTATTGATATATTCAATTGTTTATTGTTTATAAACAAACTTCATGGGACTAGGAACTTTGCTTTGGTCACTACTATGTCCCTAATGGCCAGAATAGTGCCTATTCAGTGTCAAGTTGTTGATACTTAATAAATAAACGTTCAATAAGTGAATTAAATCTCTCCCACTTTTTATTTTAATTTCTGTGTGGTGGCATCCTCTAGCAATCTGAAATGTGTAGTCAATCTCTCTACTTCCCCACCCCAGCCACCCAACCTCTCCATGCATTTTTCTTTATTTTTTGAGACAGGATCTCACTCTGTCACCTAGGCTGGAGTGCGGTGGTGAGACCACAGCTCACTGCAGCCTCAAACTTCCAGGCTTAAGTGATTCTCCTGCCTTAGCCTCCTGAGTAGCTGTAACTACAGGCTTGTGCCACCATGCTTGGCTAGTTTTTTTACTTTTTTTTTTTTTTTTTTTGTAGAGACAGGGTCTTGCTATGTTGCCCAGGCTGGTCTTGAACTCCTGGACTCAAGCAATCCTCCCACCTTGATCTCCCTAAGTGCTGAGATTACAGGCATGAGCCACCATACCTGGCCTCCCCATGCATTTAGTTTTGCTAAATGGAAGAAATAATGAGAAGAGGAAGAGGGGCAGCTTCTAAGAGTAGCAACCTTGAAAACTAAATTTGCTTCCAAAGGAATTCTTGAATTTGACCACTTTCTTCCCTCATGGCTCAGGTCCCACCACCTGTCAGCTGCCCCTCACTGAGAGCCCTGCCTCCAACCTTCCACTCTTCCAATCCATCCTCCAAAGGCTGCAAAAGGCCATCTAAGGTGGAAATCTGTGTGATTGCTGAGGCTGATGTTCTTCACAAGCCATCTGGCCGTTCTTGGGTCCACAGTAAGTGAATACTTGTTATTAGAATGCCTGTATGAGATTGGAAGCTCACGAGCATCTCAGCTAATTTGGTTTTCAAGTTAAGATGGTTTATTCTTTTTCTCCTCTTCATTTCTTCTTCCTACCATTATGCCCTATTGAGATTTTATTCTATGCTCAACAGTATTCTAGGCCTCGAGGTAGACATCAAAAAAATTACCTTTGAATTTCAGCATGGATATAATTTGTGATCATACATGTTTATGAAAATACTACATTGCCCCAAACCAGAAGCAACCAAGAGAGAGGAGACAGAGAAAGAGACAGACACACACAGCGGAAAGACAAAGAGAGAAAGAGGAGAGAGAGACAGAGAGAGAGAGAGACAGAGAGAGAGAGAGACAGAGAGAGGAGACAGAGAAAGAGACAGACACACACAGAGGAAAGAGAAAGAGGAGAGAGACAGAGAGAGACAGAGAAAGAGAGAGAGATGAAAGCTTACTATACGCCTACCTTGTACCAGGAACCCCTCAAGGTAGGTAGCATTATCTCCATTTTATAGTTGAAGAATTAGGTCCAGAGATTAAGTCTCTTTCCCAAAAGCTTAGGTCTTGCTCCAAATTTCTTGCAGTGTCCATTATAAGAAATATATAATAAAGCCAAGAGCTTTGAAATGTGTACATATATGATTTAGTGAAAAAGAGACAACACAAAACAGTATTTGCACAAATAACACCGCCATGTAAAGTGTGGAAGGAGTTTAGATGGAAACAGTTCGATTTTATTGGATTATTCATCCTCAAAATTGCCCAAGTGCTTAACAGTGATACAATAGTTAGGTTAAAATATTGAGGAAACAAACTTGAAAAAAGGTGCTAGGTTTTGTTCTACACTGCCTAGACTCAGCAGAAGGGAGAGAATTTGTAAGCAATGGCTGAAGAAGGATTTTTAGAGGAGAAGAAGAGGGTGGAAGATGTGGGAGGTACCTAAAGCCAGAAAGATAATGAACAGAAAAAGATCCCTCCCAGGCAGCCTGGCTGGATTCAAGGTCCCTCCATCCAACAAGGACTGTTCTCACTTCCTAGATATGGCCAGGAAAAATGCCAGCCAAGTACATTTCAAGTTTCTCTAGGGCATTCCCTAACTGAAGCATGATGCTGGGACTGAACTTGGCATTGCTGAGTGGAAAAGTCACCGGACTGGAAATGAGAAGACCAGGGTCTTGGTCCCACTTTGGCTGCCAACAAGGTTATTTCCATACAACCTTGGATAGGTCACTTACCTTCTTTGTCCTCACTTACTCCATTTGTATAATATGGAAGTTGAACTGTATAATATGTTCTTTCCAATTCTAACCTTTTATGGTTACTCTAGTGTAAGCTCTCAAAATATCCCACCAAGATGGCTGCAGGAGTCTCCTAACTGGTCTCTCTACCTCCATTCTTGGCCTGTAAATTGATCTTTCCTGTTGCCATAGAATGATGAGCTAATAGGTAGATTGCATTATCTCTTTCTCACAAATGTTCAGTGACTCTCTATTGTATAAAGTCCACTGGCAACAGTCCTAGCACATTAACAGCAATCACAAGGTCCCTATATAACTGCCCCATGGACATCTTCAGCCCAGTCTCCTGCATTGCCCCTCTTGGTTCTCAGGTCCTGGTATTAAAGAACAGCTTATAGTTTCTGAACATATCACACTGGCACTGATGTTTGTGCCTTGGCTATTTCCCTTCCAGGAAATCCATTCTCATTTTTCTTCACCTGGCTCTCTGTCCCTCATCCTTCCAGTTTCGGTTCAGTCTTATCTCCTTTAAGATGCTTTCCTGAAACTTTCAGATTAGTTCATGAGAAAATATGTTCTCTCTAGCATCCTTCACTGTATAATTATTATTTGTTGAGAAGTCTGTTCCTCTACCAGGCAGAATGTTCCAGAAATACAGCAACTGTTCTTACTTTTCCATGTAGTAGTAATGCAACCCCAGTCTCACTCCCAGCAGAGTCTAGTACATATAACTTGGTTTGTAGAAGGCACCAAATAAATGTTTATAAAAGCGCACTCTATGTTTCTCTGCTATGGCTACACAGACCTCCTACAGATTCCAACACCTTCAGCCTTTAGCAAGCCCTCATTTGAATACAATCCCAAAGGTGGAACAAGGCAAGTTCCATCCCTATTTCTTAAGTGCACTAGGCGAACTCCCCATAAGCCCTGCAACTTTAGTCTTTTAGTTTCGGGGCTGGCGGGTCCAAGGCAGGCTCATGGCTCCCCACCTCTCCCACTGATTAACCAGAAATGAAAAGGCTTCACAATCCCTGGGCCCAGGTTGCTGTTATGTGGGGCTCGTAGTACGGAATCGTATCTGACTCCATGAGAGTATTTGAAGCTTTACTAAACACCCCTAACCTATCAACTCCCAGCTTTGTAGTCATTTCCAGTTGGAATGTTTTTAGACTGCAAAAAGACAGGTTTGTGAAAAGACATAAACATCTTTGGTGAGAGGTGACATACGTTTTCTCCTAGTGAAAGCAAGACACTCCTGTAGATTCTGCAGTTTTTGGATACTGCACAAAATACATCTCTTAGGCAATTAATCTCCTGGCAGGCTTTGAGTGAAGCAATTACCCCATGTTTTTCTTTGTCATTGTTCGAAAGTTTAACAGTGCATCTATCTACTTTATTTGAGTCTGGAAAGCCAAAGCCCGCCTTAAAACCTCTACAGCAAACATACGTAAAAACGTTTAGTGTTCACACATTTGATTAATATATTGACAAATTTTTTCATTAGAACATTAAACCCTTCACTTTATTCATCTTAAATGCTTTCCAGGAGAGTGACTTCCCCCATTAGAATGACTCCTAGTAACTCAATACAAACTTTGCAAGCAAGAGACCATGGAACATGGTAGTCTATTGTGCTCACATTCTGTGGTGAGGCAGCTGTAACTGGTTATGAACCAGTGCTGGAAATAGTATTTGGAGCTTTCTTGGCAGATTTCTTACATCGTTATTCAATATGAACTGCAAATCATATGCTCATAGTTATGAAAATGTCAGAAACTCCTAGTGTTCATGCTTTGTTTGACAAAGCTATTTTCGAGTAGTGTTGGAAGGCAGAGGCATCCAGCACTTGGGATGCAGAAGGAAAGAACCCCTTCCCACCCCTGGCAGTTTTTGAGAAGTTGGTAATTTGCTCCTATATGACAAGAGCTCAACTCTGAACTGATGGACGTACGTTTCACATAGTCTTGATTAGTCCAGGATGTGTGTCAGGGCTACTAGAGGTCTGGAAGGAAATGCAAGAAACTTGTGCACTTCTTGCTCAGTTTGGTCAAATGAGCTTCAGACCAGGGTCAGCAAACTATTTGACTCTGAATCCTAGGGGCAGCTGAGCAATGCTCCCCATGGAAGGAGCAGGAAAAAACCGGGCCTAGAAGGAAAGGAGAGAATAGACAGTGAAGAAAAGAAAAAGGGGCAGATGGAGACAGAGAGGGAAGGAGAAAGGGAAGAAGGGAGAAAAAGAAAGGCAAAGCTTGAGATCAGTCTAATATCTAACAATAATACAATAAATGTGCATGATTTAATTTATAATTTAAATTTAGACTTTCATCACATTCTTATAAGATACCCCAGGGCATTCTCATTCCACCCTTTTAAAAATAATACTTGTTGTGGTAATTTTGAAGAATAGAAGCACAAAGAAGGGAATTAAAATCATCTACATCCACAAACCACAGATAATTAAGGTTAATATGTAGCATATATTCTGTACACATACATATAAACACACAAATTATTTTTGCAAATTGGAATTATACTAGACATAGTTTTTTCTTTTTAATGTAATATGTATTTTCCACATTATGAAGTATTCTTCTAAAATATTACTTTTAGTGACCACAATTACACAGTTACCATTATATTCAACTTATCATTATTTATAAAAATGTTGAGATAAACATCCTTGTAGATAGATCCTTATATACTGCTATGATTATTTTTCTAGGCTCAAAACAATAAGTGGAATTATTTTGGGGTAAAAGGTATGCACATTTTCAGGGTTTTTACATGAATTTATAAATATCTTTTAAGAAAACTGTTATGACTTATATTTCTACCATCAATGGGGAAGAGTATCTATTTTTCTGCACTCAATGCCTACAAGTGCCTGTTAAAGTACCTGCTAGGTAAAATCACTTTAAGATCATACCTCGTTTTTTATCCTTAGTAAAGTTAAACATCTTTTTCATATGTTCACCTTTGTAAAACTTTTGTACTAGTTATTACATGAACTGTTTGTACATTTTTAGCACTTTTTCTGTCCATTCTATGTTTATATTAGTATTCTTTATTAGATGAAAACACTGAGGTTTTATGAGATTAACCAACTTTCCCAAGATCACACAGCTAGTTAAGTGGCAAAAATGGGATTCAAATTTGGGTTTTCTAAGTTGGCTTCATGTCATGCCAGGCACAGTGTTCTTTTCTAAATTCCAAGAATAATGATGTCCTTAAATCCAACATGTCAAAGACAAATCCACTAAATGCCAAAATGAATAAAACCCCGGGAACTTACAATAGTATAACAAGACATAGTGTCCCTCCATGAGGATCAAACATTGTTTTGGTCTTTGATTATACTCACCAAACTATGCTTGGAATATTTGCAGAGACATAGAGGTAGCCTATTAACCAGTTCTATAATGTGTTTTATTTAAATGATCTCTGGTGTCCCTTCCAGAGTGGCAGGCTTAAAGCAAATCTGGATGGGAGACCATGTGAGGAGAGATACTGAGGAAGGAAGGGGAGGCTTGCTGTTGTTAATCAAGATGGTGCATCAGTTGGTAGTGTATTCTACTGGATCAGTGAGGGAATGTAGCTATCAAAAACCTGAGTGACATTAGGGGCACTTGTGACTAGGATGTATTCTCTGAAATGAGGGAGGAGCCATTCTTTCTTCCCTCTTACTGGTCAAACTTCAACTTCACCCGGAGCATCAGGCACCACTGTGGACACCAGATGTCATCAGGGCTATACATCAGTGATCATTCATTAAAAGCAAAAAGACTAGGTTGGGGAAGAGAACTAAAATGATGTCGCAAGAGGAATCATTGAAGGAGCTAGAGATGTGAGCCTGGAGAGGAGAAGATTCCAGGGAAATGAGAACATCGTTCAAATGCTTGAAGGACAGCTCTGTGTCCTCTACCAGACAGATGTGCTCTTTAAGCACCTTCTCCAGTTCCTCATCTCCAGTATCCTAGCATATGGGGGTCAGCCAGAACACAGATATTTATTGGTGGCCTACTGACAGCCCACTCCTCCCACTCTTGGGGCCACAGCAGTGGACAAGGCAGAACGCCCTGTCTTACAGAGCATGCATCCTAAGGGTTTCCAGTACATGACTGCTGAAGGATCGATGAATACATAAGTGGATGCCTCAAAGATTAAACATCAAAATGGGGAACCACAGAGGAACATTTGGATTGAGAGGGTAAACCAATGATACCCTCAGAAATGATGGAAGAACAGTGGAAATGCCAGTCCCCAGAAAGCTGAAGTCAAGAGGTCTGAAGAGAAAGGGCCAATTAGTTCCTTCTTCCCCATCCTCACATCACATAGTTACATTTTAATGAAAGTTCCACCTGGTTAAATTGCATTGATGACTCCTACTGTTTTTAGGATACAGTGTAAATTCCTTAACCTGACTCATAAGCTAGCTCACAAATTGGATCTTGACTGTATTTCCAGCCTCAACATCTCGGGTTCAGACAAAACAAAGAGAATCAGATAGAAAATTCCTGCTTGGAGTCAACTAAATGCAGGCTAAGTGAGGCTAAGGGGAGCAGCCTTCAATGAATTTTACTGGTTCCTTCAACTAGCACTAATTGAGCACCTGGTTGGTGGCCAGGTTGTGGCAGCTGGTGCAGGTTCTGGTGCTCAAAGAGCTCACAGTTTAAAGAGGAAGAAGTAGCTAACCATAATGAAATGCCATAAGGTCTACTACCTGGTGAGGGCTGCCTCTCCAAGGGTAGAAGTCAGGAAGAAATGGAAGGAAAAGAGGCAGAGGTAGATCTATTGGTTCATTCTGCAGATACTGAGTGCTTGCTATGAGTAGCCACTATTTTAGGTGCCAGGGCTCAGTGGTGTACCAAGGGCTGGGCAACAGAGCAGTCTGCTCTGGTGCAGCCAATATTGGATGCAGACTCTGTGGATAATATAAAAACAATAATGAGACCAATTATGTTAGTCCACTTTTATTACCGTTATGCACCGGCAATTCAAACAATGTTGTTTAAAATACTCTTCCCCGCCAGGGTGCATATTCCCACTGCCCAGCCCTTGGTACACCACTGCTGGGTCTACTACATTGAACAAAACATCCCAAAATCCCTGCCCTCATGGCAGTTTACATTCCGGGGGAGGGACAGTGGTGGAGACTTCTAGTTGTCCATCAAGATCTGCTCTTCTCTCCCAATTTTAATAGTAGAACTCCTTACATTAACTGACCACCAGCTGGAGACCACAGCTAGATATGGTCATGTGACTATGTTCTGATCAAGGAGGTGTTTACCTTCTGATCAAGGTGTACCACCTCTGGGTCAGGTCCTTACCAAAATAAAGAAACAGGAGGATGGAAGGAAGGAAGGAAGGAAGGAAGGAGGAAAGGAGGAAAGCAGGGGAGGAGGAGGGAGGGAGGAAGGAAGAAAGGAAGGAAGGGAGGGACAGGGAAAGAAAGAGAGGAGACAGGAAGGAAGGGAAGGGAAAGAAGAAAAGAAAGAAGATAGGGCTGAGCAAAAAAAAAAAAAAAAAAAAAAAAAAAAAAAAAAAAAAAGGGGTATCTCCCTGACTGGAGTGTGGCCATGAAGAGAAATGCTGAAGAAGTCATCCAGAACAAGGTAAACACTACAGGTTGAGGCTGGCAGAGGGATAAGATAGACTGAGGCTGGATGTTAATGTGAACACTGGGAACAGAGATACCCTTCCAGCTATGGAGAGCCTCCTCTAGACTGGAGGGAAATCCATTTCTACCTTGATTAAGCCATTCTCCATCCATCCATCCACCCATCCATCCATTTATTACACCAACTTAGACTGAACCCTAAATAATACTGGGAGGTAGACTATAAACAAATAAAGGAAATATATAGTCTGGCAGGTGTTAAGTGTATGCAGGAAAATGAAGTGGGGTGGAGGAGAGTGAGTGTTGCTGGGTCAAGGAGGCTGCAGTGCCATTGTTACCATTAGACCTACATGGTCCAGTATGGTAGCAACTAGCCACACGTGCCTGCTTTTGAGCATTTGAATGTGGTGGGCTCAAACTGAGATGTGTGGTAAGTGTAAAATACACTCTGGATTTCAAAGACTTAGTACCAAAGAAAAAAAAAAGAGTAAAATATCTCATTCATATTTTTATATTTATTACACATTAAAATGAAAATATTTTGGATCTTTGGGTTAAAAATAGCTTATTAAAATTACTTTCATTCATTTTTACTTTTTAAAATGTAGCTCTTAAAAACTGAAGATGACGTATGTGGTTCCACTGGACAATGCTGCTTTAGGCTCCCCGTAGCAATTCCTCACTGTGCCCCCACACAGCGCTCTCCATGAACCTACTGCCTCCTTTGTATTGTTGACTCCCTAGGCCTCCCCCAACTCCAGGCTTTCCATGGTCCTGTTCATGGGAAAGAATCCTGCTCTCTGGATATTAGACTTTATTAATAATAATCATCATCAGCCAGTAGGTTCCTTTAAAGACTCAGCAAAGGGAGTTCCCTACGTGGAGGCCCAGTGCACATTGCGTCTTTGGAGAACAGTCGAGAACCACCAAAAGGTTTTGCTTCTCAAAAATAACACACCATTTCCTGACTGGACTGCCACAATACACACATTTCCACCATTGAAAGTTCACCTTTTCTTAAAAGTTTTTATTTCTAGAAGACCCCTTTTTAAGAAAGTGGCATTTGAAAATCTCTAAGTCACAGCATCCAAGAGCAAGGGCTTTGGAATCAAATAAACCAGAGTTCAAATCCTAGCTCTGCCCTTTCTTACCCATGTGGCCTTAAATAATTACTTAGCCATTTAAGCATCCATTTCTTCATTTCCAAAGTCAGGATATTATCACCTACACCTTACATGGCTGTCCTGACCTACTATGGTTCCACCTTTAACACATGTGCCATGGATATAGGTCAGCTCAGATTATAGACTATAGGCCCCCAGCCATCACTTTTTTTTTTTTTTTTTTTTTTTGAGACGGAGCCTCGCTCTGTCACCCAGGCTGGAGTGCAATGGCGCAGTCTGGGCTCACTGCAACCTCCACCTCCTGGGTTCAAGTGATTCTCCTGCCTCAGCCTCCCAAGTAACTGGGATTACAGGCGCCTGCCACCACGCCTGGCTAATTTTCGTATTTTTAGTAGAGACGAGGTTTCACCATGTTGGCCAGGCCAGTCTGGAACTGCTGACCTCATGATCTTTCTGCCTCAGCCTCCCAAAGTGCTGGGATTACAGGCATGAGCCACTGTACCTGGCTGCCAGCCATCACTTTTAAAAAGCTGTTGAGAATCGTGAATAAGGATAAAAAAATACAACTATGGGGGTATATACTTTCCCTTCCACTGCCTCTCAGAAAAATTCAACTGGGGGGAGTGGGCTGAAAAAGGCAGTAAAAGGGGGACCACATTCCCCCAGAGGATAAACAATAAACGCCAAAATTCCTGTTGTGCACGTATAGCATTCTACTGGGAGGCCAAGGGGTCAGGATTATGTGTGAAAAAAATTAATTGAAATGGCTCTTTAAGAAGCAAGAAAAACAAGGCAACCCCATCATGTCCTCAGTGAAATGTCCTTTTCACATTGGCCCTTGGGTTACGCCAGCCAGAGATGACCTGTCAAGGTGAGGCTGGCTGACACACGATGAAGTGTTTCATTAATACTGTCAAACCATGACAACATTTATGGTCCACGTGCTGGACTTTCACGTGTCACCTAGACATGAAATCTTTTAAAATTTCCATAGCCCAGAACAGTTGAAATATCAACAGCTTTTATCTATGAGTCACATGGAGGAGAAAGTGCTATATATGCATTATCTCATTTCACTCTCACTGTGACACTGGGCTTGTTAACTGGGTGTTGTTAACTCTGATTTACCGAGGCCTAAAAAGCCTCCTCATTTTCCCCTTGATCTGAGCATCAGAACGAGCATTAGGATCAGGTCCATCTAATTCTTTTTTTTTTTTTTTTTTTTTTTTTTTTTGAGATGGAGTCTCGCTCTGTAGCTCAGGCTGGAGTGCAGTGGCGCAATCTTGGCTCACTGCTACCTCTGCCTCCCGAGTCCCGGTTCAAGCAATTCTCCTGACTCAGCCTCCGGAGTAGCTGGGATTACAGGCATGCACCACCATGCCCAGCTAATTTTTGTATTTTTAGTAGAGATGGGGTTTCACCGTGTTGGCCAGGCTGGTCTTGAACTCCTGACCTCATGATCTGCCTGCCTCGGCCTCCCAAAGTGCTGGGATTACAGGCGTGAGCCACAGCACCCGGCCAGGTCCATCTAATTCTTAACCATTTTGCTATACTGCTAAATACAGAAAGGCCAGGCTTACAATGTTTACATTTATTATGAATTATTAATGACTTATAAACTGAATGGGATCTTGCTTGAATGTTTTAATTATTATTATTATTTTGAGACAGGGTCTCATGCTGTCACCCAGGCAGGAGTGCTGTGGCACAATCACAGCTCACTGCAACCTTGACCTACTGGGCTTGGGTGATCCTCCCACCTTAGCCTCCCGGGTAGCTGGGACCATAAGTGCCACCACTAAACCCAGCAATTTTTGTGTGTTTTTTCTGTAGAGAAAAGGTTTCACCATGTTGCCCAGGCTGGTCTCAAATCCCTGGGCTCAAGTGATCTCCCCGCCTTGAACTCCCAAAGTGTTGGGATTACAGGCATGGGCCAAGGTACCCAGTCCCTGTTTTAATTATTTGTATGAAGACAAAATGCGTGAACTGATCTCCTTGACTAGGAAGTAGATGGTGATCATGTTTGTGACTGAGAATGTCTTGTGGGAGCTGCCTAATATTTGTACAGGAGAACCAGTGTGGTGTTGTGGAAAGAGGACAAGGCTGGAGGAAGGCAGGCACTGTCAGCCTGATAGGGTGATGTTGGGGCATTTTTAAAGCCTCTGTGAGTCTCAGTTTACTCATCAATGAAATGGGAATACTTACTTCCACAGTGCCTGTATCACAGGGTTTTTGTATGATAATGCATGTGAAAATGCTTTTGTGAGCTACAAAATCCTACATGAACACAACAGACAAATCAGGTGTGTGGCATGCAGCAGGTGATGTGAGAAAAAGGCAAATACTGGCAGATCAAACTTCTTACATAAGCTAGAGTAATTTCAGAAAATGTGATTTTTATCATTCTTCCCCCGCTCACTGGTTTGAGAGAAAAAAAAATACTTTTTTTCTTAACCCAAGCCAAATTGAAAATTGAAGCAATGAATAACATTACAAAGTGGGCTCCTGCATACAAAGAATTTTCCATATATTATCTCTATTTGATCCTCAAAATCATGCTAAGAGGAAGATATTTCAAAGATGAGGAAAATGAGGTCGAAGAGATCAAATAGGCTTTATTTGATAACTTGGTGATTAATTGGCCAGATGGGGACTCAATACCAGGTCTGTTATGTCTTTTCCTCTTTACTAAGTTTCCTCTGAGTTGAACTCCCATTCTCCCACACCCCTCTATCCCCTGCCCCAAAAATGTTTAGCAGAAGACAAAGTAACATCATTGACCAATCACTGGTTTTCTTAGTCAATCAGGACTTGGTTGAGGACATATTTATTTTATAGCACTACATAGAGGGTTCAAAAGGCAGGTTAGACTTGATTTCTTCCCTCAAGGAGCATGTAACGTTTCTGGAGAGACAAGATATAAAATGTTGAAATAACATTTCATATGTTATTTCATATGAGAGGCCATGTGTTAAATCATATACCATGGAATCTAAGTGTAACACATTCAGTGCAGGAAAATCCACCGTAGGCTGGGGTGGTCAGGGATAACTTCCTGGAGAAGGCGGAACTTGAGTTTCCTCTCAAAGTCATGGCAGAATGGAAGCCAGGGCCAGATCCCGAGTCCCAGCCAAGTGTTGTCTCACTACACGGATTGGTGCCAAAGGGAAGAGTAGATTATACATTTAAAACGCCCTTTTCCTTTCAATATACCCAGCTCTTCAAGCTGCTGGATGTAATTCCCAGCAAGCAGAGGCAATCTGTGAATGTTTGTTATCTAATAGATTCCTTCTTATGTTAGTTGAAATAACCATCACAATATCAGTAAAATCATCAAGGACAAGGCTTCAGAACAACATATTCCTTTCGTAAAAGAGCTATACTTTTTGAGGTAATACTCATTTAAAAAGGGGTATTCTTTTATGTGGCTTTCCCAAGAATGCAGCCTGGCAATTTAAAAGTCCAAGTAGTAAAGCTTCCCCTTTGGAAACCTCCTTTATATCTAACATGTGCACATTCGCCAGGCATAATGTTAAAAATATTGTGACACAAAATCACCGCCCCATCCTTTCAAGTTTGATGCAGCCAGTTTAATGTTCAATATCACTGTTCGCAGAAATGCTTTTTGATCTGAGGAGATATGAGACACAGCCATCCCACAGCTGGAATGTAAGGATTCTATAGAAGAGCATGGATTAACTTGAAAGTGCGGTGGAACGGGATGGTCTCATCTCATTAGTGACCAAGAGTTCACGAGAAACTTCCATTTGTTTCAACACATTGTAAATCTGGGTCCCCAGTGCCAAACTCTGTATCTGGCATAAAGCAAGTACTCAAGAGATAAATACTGAATCAATGAAGAGCTACGATCTTTCATGATCCGGCACTTTATAATGCTTTTAGAATCCTTATTCTAACCATAATCATGTTGACCATTTATTGGCAGGTGTGTATTAAGCACTTTATAAATATGATCTTATTTGTTCCATACAAGAATCATGCAGAGGCAGGTATTACTCCTCCCATTTAATAGATGAGGAAACTGAGGTTTAGAGAATGAAGCAATTTCCCCAAGTTCACATCCAGTTCCACACAATGCCTAAGCTCATGCTGCCACCCTCTGTTTACAATGCCGCTCAACCTTCAGGTGCATCAGGCAGGAATAGAGATAGAGCAAAAGCAGATGATAATAGCAGTATTAATAAAATAAATATATATTGAGTGCTTATTCTTTTTAAGTGATATATATATATACACATATATATACTTTATCTTATTTATTTATCGTTACAACCATAAGAGGTAAGTTCTATTTACCCTCTTATACAGATGAGTAAACTGAGGCATATATAAGAATTTAAGAAATGCACTTTGGGAGGCTAGGGTGGGAGAATTGCTTAAAGCCAGCAGTTCAAGACCAGCCTGGGCAATAAGACAAGACCTGTCTCTACAAAATAAATAAATAAATAAATAAAAATTAAAAATTAGCCAGGCATGGTGGCATGTGCCTGTAGCCCCAGCTCTTCGGGAGGCTGAGGCAAGAGGATCCCTTGAGCTCAGGAGTTCAAGGCTGCAGTGAGCTATGATTGCACCACTGCACTCCATCCTGGGCAACAGAGCAAGTTATAAAAATAAAAATAAAGAAATGTGTCCAGGGTCACCTAGTTAGTAAATGGTGGAGCAAGGTACCAGATGTGAAACTGTACATATTACTTAAAATCACTTCAATGAAAAAATCCCAACCTAACTGGGCACGTGCCTGTAGTCCCAGCTACTCGGGAGGCTGAGGTAGGGGGATTGCTTGAGTCCAAGAGGTAGACGCTGCAGTGAGCCATGATCGCACCACTGCAATCCAGCCTGGTGACAGAGTGAGACCTCGTCTCAAAAACAAGCAAACAAACAACCATCTTATTTTTACCTATTTTACCTCTACTTAACCAAAATTGGACTATAACAATATAAAAGGCAAACAAGTCTTGTTAACTGACTATTCCAGTTAATGGAGGATTTATCACATATCTGATGATGTCCTGAGCCTTGGCTTACCTCCCTGTGTAAAGAGGAGGTGGGACAAGATAAGGCTGATTCATGGTCCCTGCTAGGAATGCACTTGGATGGCCCTATGATTCCCTCATCGTTCACCACTTCTCAGTGGTACTGAAAGGCAGTTGATACCCGTTTGAATTGTGTCAATCAGAAAAGGCAATGTGCCGGGTTTGTTAATGCCAACCTAAACAACTTCTCAGTTGTTCTGTCAGCACTGTCAATACCCTGGGCCCTGTTGTGGAGCAGAAAAAAAAATGCTTAAGCATGTCTCCCTCACCCTTTCTTTAAAGGTGCTGCAGGGCTGTGGAGCCGGGGTTCTTTCAGTACTACCTGTATCAGGAAGCCAGCTTTGTTGTTCACACCTGCCCTGGGCACCTTTGCATAGTCAACTACTGAGTCTCTCTCCCATCAGTCACTCCTTTAGAAACTGCTCTCTCTCTTCTAAAATTAAGCCTTTGAGCTTTTGCTTCTCAACATTTCATACTGATAGTATCAAAAGGGCATTAACTTTCTAAGAAGCGACATATTAAGCTGAAGAATTCCGATGGTGTGATTTCAATGACCTAACTGCATGTCAGTCATGTTGCACGTTGAGATGGCCTCAAGCAGCTCTAAGAGGGCAGCAATTGTGCAAGAAGCTGACACTTCCAGCTTCAGTCATCAGCTTGGGCTTTCTACTCTCTACCCCTGGTAGGTGAGGCTCATCTTGGCCCCAAGTTCACCGGTCATGGTCCCACATATAGAAGGAGTTAAAGGCAGAGGCACAATTCAGGGGCAGAGGGAGAAAATGGACTGAGTTCCCATGCCAGGAGTCATGCCAAGCACTTTAAAATTTATCCTTTTAATCCACATATATCACCACGAGTAAGAGTGTTTTTATCTTCATTTTATAAATGGGGGCAGGGAGGCGATTGTTAAATGTTAAAGTTGGGCCTCCAACCCAGATCTGTCAGATTCCAAAAGAAAAATCCTTGGATCTGTTTAAACTTTATGCTTTCTTTTTTCTTTCTTTCTTTTTTTTTTTTTTAGGACGAAACACTGGAACTCTCCAGAATAAATTGGTACCTGGGTCTCTTCTGAAGTGAGCTGCTCTTAGGAGCTTCAAATGAGGGTCTTTGAAGCCACATGAAAATTGATGAGTGGTTGTAACATCCAAGCTACCAAATCAGACACACTTGTAATTGTTCCCAATGTGAGTTTTCACCCCAAAGTTCTCTTGTCTCTCTCCCTCATTTTTCCCGAGTACATGGGGGAGAAAGTCATGATGAGGGGATGATCTGCCTTCCAGTTTAAAATCATAAGAATGGCTTGGAAACTTAAGAGCAGTGAGATTCTGGACCATTAACGACCACACTAACTTGCAGCTTCCTCATCTGTACAATGGGGCTAATGACTCAACGGCTATCTCTTCGGCCTACTGCAGAATATAGGGATGGTACCTGTGAAGCCCTTTGTAAACTGCAGAGTGCTATGTCTACTTTCACTGATTCACTCTTTCCATAGATATGGTGTGCCTCTTTGTGAAATGCACGGTGTTAGGCTATTTAGTGAAAACCAATGAAGAAAATACAATCTCTTCCCTTAATGTATGCACATTCTTGAATAGAAAAGACATTTACAGAAATAACTATAAAAGAGTGTAGAAGAGAAGAAAACAGGCACCAGAACAAAGAGAAACAAAAGATGCAGGTTGAGGGGCACCTGAGAGCAGGGTTAAGTGAGGGGATTCAGAAAAACGGAAGAAAGTAGCTTAGGTAAGAGCAGTCTGGAAGATTAAATCTATGGAAGGTGGCAACTGTTTCATTAAATTATGCATTCTTTCATCTATTACCAATTTATCACATGCTTATTATGTACTGGCTACTGTGCAAATTAGTGCGGCAATGTGGAGAGGTGAAATAGGGAATGCTGGCAGGCTGTCCATAGGGAAATGTCCAATGGGAGGCTGGAAATGCAGGTCTTGCATTCGGGAAAAGAGTCAGGGTTGGCTGATAAATTTCAGTCATCCTTATAGAACTGCCAGTTGAACCTATAAGAATTGATGAGCACACTGGGTATGCAGGTGAGATTAGATGGTGAGGGAAGGAGGAAGGGCAGGGACAGAAACTTGTGGGGGAATCCACAAATATGAGGTTGAAAGAGGAAGAGAAGTCAACAAAGCACACTAAAAAGAGTCTCAAAGAGGTGGGAAAAAAGGGTGAAAGATGCTATGAAAGGGTAACCAGCTGCATCCTATTCTACAAAGTTCACTGGTGACTGAGAAGAAACCACTGGGCGTATCAATTAAGACACTGTTAGGGCTCTATGAGTCAGCATACAGATCTCCCAAGTCCAGGACAAGTTACTACAATCATCTGATTCGTGGCCACTAGTAATCATGATAGAATGCCTGGGTTGGAATTCTAGGCCTGCCACTTACTAGCTATGTGACTTGGACAAGTTAACTTTTTTTTTCTGTGCCCCAGTTGGAGATAATACCTTTACTGCTTCATGTGGTTATGATGAGGATCTGATAAACATCACAATAGCACTTACCCAATAGTACACACACAATAGCACATCACAATAGCACTCACCCACAATGGAACTTAGAACAATTATTGATATATGATCAGCTCTCAGTATGTGTAAACTATGACATGCAGGCCAATTCACCTAGAAAGGCCTATTTTCAAAAGCTCATGTCCTCTGAATTGAGGAACCACAGATCAGATCAGCCTCTTCAACCCCCCGCGAGGCTCCCATTCATGTAAGACACCCATGGCTTTGTAATGGCACCCAACGCTCTGGGCTGGCATGAAAATTGTGTGACTCACATCATGTGCCTCCCCAAGAAGGTGAGGCTGTTGCTGCAAAGCTGACTAGTTTGTGGAATGTAAGGACTTTTCATTGATTAGCTTTGGGGAAACCACTGTAAGCAAGTCTTAAACATCATCACATTTGATTGGTTTATAAGTTGTGGCAAGTGAACCCAGGTCTAACACTTAGGAACAAGGGAGAAAAAAAGGAAGATTTTGTTACTTGTAATCAGCTTTTTACTCCACAGATTTTCTGTGAGTTGGGTTCAAAACATTTAATTCCACTTTTTCCCTCTATGTGGCACCTCATTTGTTACCAGGATTTTACAGACGGAGACACAGAAATGTGAAATGAATAGCCCAAGGCTATCTTCTCCCACTACTCCCAGCCCTACCCTCCAGTGTGTAATTGTGGAGCCACGGACAATGTACCAAGGCAGCAAACATCACTGGCTTGAAGATGACTAGTAGCTGTGGTCAGCTTGCTGGGGACCCATGCTCCTGAGGGTTCTTAAGAAGTGTGGGAGGACTCCTAAAGCTGTTGTTGAAATCAGTTTAGATTATGGGACTAGGAACCCGAGGAAGCTAAATTTACTTTACAAGTCAACTGGATTAGCACTAAAGTAATTTTCCTTGTGTAAACCCAATTTTAGGTAATGGATGAGCTAAACTTGGAGCAGGGGGCTGAGACACAGATTTCCTGTGCTGTCGAGCTATTGCAGATCTCAGCAGATAACAAAGCTATTATCCTGGCAGAAATGGAAGCATCCTCAAATCCTGTCAGATGGCAGCATGGACAAAAATTACAAGCAAATGTATTTTTAAGCTGATGCACTTTCTTAAGTCTGGCTCCTAAAAGCAAAACATGCTCTTCTAGGAGAAGTTTTAGTAAAAACATAAGAATGCTGCTGGTAAGGAAATCTCTAGGTGATGCCAGGGACTGACAACAGAGGATTTCTGATAGAAGAAAGAGACAAGGATTTGGACCAAGTTTCTGAATGGAATCATTGTACTTTCTTTTTTTTTTTCTTCCTTCTCCCTCCCCGCTTCACCCCCGACCTCTAGAGTTTCTTAGCAGGCATTTTGGAGGAAAAGATTTGGATCAGAAATTCAGAAATTACCTGGGCTCACAAATATATGGTATGAAAGTATTTTTTAAATGGTTTCAAGTTAAAGGTCTTTACTCCACTGCTCCTAACAGAGTCCCTTAATTTCCTACCTACTCTCAGCCCCTCCAGCACCATCCTGCATTCTGCTTCCAAGATACATGAGCTTTCTGAAGAGCTGGTGAGAATGCTGAAACTTCCTGGCCTTGGTTTCCCATCTGGTAAAATGAGGAAGACCAAAGCTTAACTCTCACAAGGAATATGCAGGTAATGAACACTGTATGATTTAAGAGACCCTTGTGATATATTGAGTACTAACTTTGAAATTACAAACAGAAACAACCCTCCTTTGTTATCCTGTTTTTTAGGCAGGAAGCAAGCAGAAGAAAGATGAGGATGGGAATTAGATGGCTTGCGTTTTAATCTCAGCTGTGATACTTACCAGCTGCCTGTCCTCAGGGTTCAATGTTCAATTGACCTGAATGCAAAACCCAGCTCTATATCTGATAGGCTGTGTGACCTTAGAAAAGTTACTTGCTGCCTCTTACCTTCAGATTCCTCATCATCAAATGGAGAAGGAAGTACTTGCCTCTAGTGGTCTTCCTTCCCACTTTACAATACACTTATGCACATAAAATCTAGTTAAAACAGACAATATGAATAAAAGAATAATTTGATTTTAGAATAGGCATAGGAGAAAAGTGAGCTGCCTTCATTGCTTTGAATATTAGAAGGATTTATCCACTGATTCTAACTGCACTTGTTCATCAACTCCACGAATATTTGATTAAGAGTTATGTTCCTATTGTACATATGGACAATACCTGGCCTCATGGAACAGATAGTGCTATGTGATATGGACAAAGACAGGGAGACTGAGTGTGCAGAGGAGGTCATGTGACCTTTACTGGAGGGATATAGCAAAGGCTTCCTAGAGGAAGTGATGTCTAAATTGACAGGGTTAGCTCTGGTCTGAGTTGTGTCTGTTGGTAGGGCTAATTAATAAGACATTCGGACATCAGAAGCCCCCAAAAGACAACAAATTCCTGCCCATCCCACCCTACCATATAATAAAAGGAAGGCAGGAGGGCCTGAATGAGGTAACTCACACCTATAATCCCAGCACTTTGGAAGGCAGAGCGGAGGACTGCTTGAGCCCACGAGTTTGAGACCAGTCTAGGCAACAAAGTGAGACCCTGTTCTCTACAAAAAAATACAAAAATTAGCTGGGCATGCTGGTGTGTGTCTGTAGTCCAAGCTACTTGGGAGGCTGATGCACGAGGATTGGTTGAACCTGGGAGGTTGAGGTCGCAGTGAGCCGAGATTGTGATTTTTCAGAAAGGATAAGTAACTTTGCCTACAGGGCTCTTCTATAGCACAAGGAAGATTCTATGTGTGAAAGTGCTATCTAGGCACTGTGCACCACATCATAAGTGCAGGAATGGAGCTCAGGGCTTGAGTCAAAAAGATGTGATTTGAGCCCAAACTCTGCCACCTGCTCAGAGTGCTCAGAAAATACCCTGGAGAAGTTACTTATCCTTTCTGAACCTCATTTTCTTCACTTATAATTCCAGCTACAGCAGCCTCATAAGACTGTGAAGATTAAAATTAATAGGAAATGTGTAATTTTTAAGTAAACTTTAATGTAAGCTGTTTTCATGCCAATCTTGTGCATCGGAGCTGATCTATAAGGTCTAGAAGATTTGGCTACCTCTGCTCTGATAAAACTCAGAACAATAGTTGATGCCATGTCTCTCAAACTGGGGTGTCTGTAAGACACACCTAGAGGATGGACTAAAGATGCAGATTGCCAGGAACCACCCCCAGAGATCTAAGCCGGGGGTTTGTATCAGAAGTACCTGTGGAGCTTCTTTTGCATTCCGATTCCTGGCCCAAGCTCTAGAGACTGTGATTCAGTAGCTCTGGGGTGTGTCCAAGATACCTGTGGCCCTTTAAATAAATCATTTTCCCTGGGTTTTCTGGAGATTTGGATTTAGTAGGACTAGGACAGGGTCCTAAACATTATTTTTAACAATCCCCCAAGGGATGCTTACGACCCTGTAAGGGTGACCCATATAACAGAAGCTTGTTGAAACTTGTTGCCAAATGACTTTCTTCTGTATCTCTCTACACATAATCTCCAGAATACAGAATGTCCCTTTGAGACTTCATCTCTCTGACTTTTCCATTTTAGACTGTCATTGCTGAACACTCTTTTGCTAACTTTTTGTTGTAGAATGTTGTATTGGTGTGTGTGTGTGTTATGTGATGGGTGGAGTGGAGGCTCACTCAACCTGACTTGCCTAGGCACTGGGAGCCCCATAGTGATTCCCACGGCCAGCTCTGCCCTTGTCACTTAACTCTTTATCCCAGAAGTGGAGTGTTGAATACACCCAGCAATTTGAATGTTCTGGTTAATTGAGATTTTTAAAGACCACAGTGACTTCACATTTTGTGTCCTAGCACTTAAAGCTAAACAGTGATTTTTTTTTTTTTTTTTTTTTTTTTTTTTTTTTTTTTTAGATGGAGTCTCACTCTGTCGCCCATGCTGGAGTAAAGTGGTGTGATCTCGGCTCACTGCAACCTCTGCCTCCCAGGTTCAAGTGATTATCCTGGCTTAGCCTCCCTAGTAGCTGGGATTACAGGCATGTACCACCATGCCTGGCTAATTTTTGTATTTTTAGTAGAGATGGGGTTTCACCATGTTGGCTAGGCTGGTCTTGAACTCCTGACCTCAGGCCATCCACCCACCTTGGTCTCCCAAAGTGCTGAGATTACAGGCATGAGCCACCATGCCCAGCCTAAACAGTGATTTAAACACACACACACACACACACACACACACACACACACACAACAAGAAAACAAAAAAATCCAGATGTTAAAAATATGCTGCCCAGATCAAGACCAAAATTTATACATCCATATAAAATAATTAAACATGTCATTTATTCACCAGTAAAATGATTATGATTTAATGCAGAGCCAAACTCTGACCACCGATGCTGAATATTTATGGCTGGCTCCCTCAGAACACAGAGGTAGCTGCAGAAATATGCTCTTATTCTACCCTACCTTCACTTGATGAATGATTATTTTACTTAGAGTGAGTGAGACTGAATTTGAAAATACGTCAGAGGTGAGGCCCAGTAAAATTCTATTTATAAATAGGGGTTATTGTAATCAGCTCTAAGTGGGCTTAAAATAGAAATCTAAAAAGTGAATTGTTAAAAAAAAAAACCAATACAATCTTTACTAATCAGAAAAGCACTCAATTTCTGGCACTTTAATGTGCATTCTGAAAATCTATTAACAAAGCTTGACTTAAAAAAAAGACCCCTAGTTCCCTTATTTAAACTTGTGAAAAGAAAGAAAAAAACACAAAGGTGAAACATAATAGGTACTGCATAATGATCACAAGGATGGAACAGCAAAGACGATGAAAAAGGAATTTATGATGATTACCCTGTGAAAACTCTCTGAAGCACATAAAGCTTTTTAATCACCTAAACTAGCTATCATTGCTCATAATAATTCTCACATTTGTATAGCACTTGACAGAGAGCTTTGTGGTTAAGAGAGTCTGAGGCTTAGAGCCAGACATTCTAAGTTCAAATGCTGGCTCTGCTACTTACTGACCACCTGCACTCAAGTAAATTACACAACCTCTCAGTGCCTCACTTTTGTCGTCTGCAAAATGGGGGCAACAACTACTGAAAAGGTTATTCTAAAAATTAAATGAGATAATACGTGTAGAGCACTTAATATAACGCCCAGTACATAACACACATAATAAATTGTACCTCTGACTATTATTATTACTCTATGATCATTTCAACAATCATGTGAGGAAAGTGTTATCATCCTTGTTTTACAGATGAGGAAACCGAAGCTCTTGGGGTAACACGACTTGTGAAACTGCATGCTACTCCTCAGTGGCAGGGTGGGGACTCTGGACAGAGGAACTGGCAAGGTCTTCTAGACCTTTGACGTGCATAAACTGGCAGGTTTACAGAATAACGAGGAAAACAAAGTGAAACAAAAGACTGTACCCGTGTGCTAAGAATTTATTACCCGCACATCAAAAAACTTATCCATCACGATCAAGCTGGCTTCATCCCTGGGATGCAAAGCTGGCTCAGCATATGCAAATCAATAAACATAATCCGTCACATAAACAGAACCAAAGACAAAAACCACATGGTTATCTCAGTAGATGCAGAAAAGGCCTTTGATAAAATTCAACATCCCTTCATGTTAAAAACTCAATAAACTAGATATTGATGGAACATATCTCAAAATAAAAGAGCTGTTTATGACAAACCCACAGCCAATATCATATTGAATGGGCAAAAGCTGGAAGCATTCCCTTTGAATACTAGTACAAGGTAAGGATGCCCTCTTCTCACCACTCTATTCAACATAGTATTGAAGTTTTGGCCAGGGCAATCGGGCAAGAGAAAGACAAAAAGCATATTCTAATAGGAAGAGAGAGAGTCAAATTGTCTCTATTTGCAGACAACATGATTGTATATTTAGAAAACCCCATCATCTCACCCCAAAAACTCCTTAAGCTGGTGAGCAACTTCAGCAAAGTCTCAGGATACAAAATCAATGTGCTAAAATCACAAGCATTCCTTTACACCAACAATAGACAAGCAGGGAGCCAAATCATGAATGAAGTCCCATTCACAATTGCTACAAAGAGAATAAAATACCTAGGAATACAGCTAACAAGGGATGTGAAGGACCTTTTCAAGGAGAACTACAAACTACTGCTCAAGGAAATAAGAGAGGACACAAACAAATGGAAAAACATTCCATCCTCATGGATAGGAAGAATCAATATCATGAAAATGGCCATACTGTCCAACGTAATTTATAGATTCAATGCTATCCTCATCAAGCTACCATTGACGTTCTTCACAGAATTAGAAAAAAAACTACTTTAAATTTCATATGGAATCAAAGAAGACCCTGTATAGCTAAGACAAGCCTAAGCAAAAAGAACAAAGCTGGAGGCATCAAGCTACCTGACTTCAAACTATACTACAGGCTACAGTAACCAAAACAGCATGGTACTGGTACCAAAACAAACATATAGACCAATGGAACAGAACAGAGACCTCAGAAATAACACCACACATCTAAAACCATCTGATCTTTGACAAACCTGACAAAAACAAGCGATCGGGAAATGATCTCCTATTCATTAAATGTTTCTGGGAAAACTGTCTAGCCACGTGCAGAAAACTGAAACTGGATCACCCTTCCTTATACCTTATACAAAAATTAACTTAGGATGGATTAAAGACTTAAATGTAAAGCCCCAAACCATAAAAACCCTAGAAGAAAACCTAGGCAATACCATTCAGGACATAGGCATGGGCAAAGACTTCATAATGAAAACGCCAAAAGCAATTGCAGCAAAAGCCATAATTGACAAATGGGATGTAATTAAACTAAAGAGCTTCTGCACAGCAAAAGAAGCTATCATCAGAGTGAACAGGCAACCTACAGAATGGGAGAAAAATTTTGCGATCTATCCATCCAACAAAGGTCTAATATCCAGCATCTATAAGGAACTTAAACAAATTGACAAGAAAAAAATAACCCCATCAAAAAGTGGGTGAAAAATATGAACAGACACTTCTCAAAAGAAGACATTTACATGGCCAAGAAACATGAAAAAAGCTCAATATCACTGATCATTAGAGAAATGCAAATCAAAATCACAATGAGATACCATCTCACACCAGTCAGAATGGCGATTATTAAAAAGTCAAGAAACAATAGATGCTAGTGAGGTTGTGGAGAAATAGGAACACTTTTATACTGTTAATGGGAACGTAAATTAGTTCAACCATTGTGGAAGACAGTACAGCAATTCCTCAAGGACCTAGAACCAGAAATAACATTTGACCCAGCAGCCCCATTACTGGGTATATGCCCAAAGGAATATAAAATATTCTACTATAAAGACACATGCACACATATGTTTATTGCAGCACTATTTACAATAGCAAAGACATGGAACTAACCCAAATGCCCATCAATGATAGACTGGATAAAGAAAATGTGGTACATATACACCATGGAATACTATGCAGCCATAAAAAGGAATGAGATCATGCCCTTTGCAGGGTCATGGATGAAGCTGGAAGCCATCATTCTCAGCAAACTATCACAAGAACAGAAAACCAAACACCACATGTTCTCACTCATAAGTGGCAGCTGAACCATGATAACACATGGACACAGGGAGGGGAACAGCACACACCAGGGCCTATTGAAGGGTGGGGGTGAGGGGAGGGAACTTAGAGGACGGGTCAATAGGTGCAGCAAACCACCATGGCACATGTATGCCTGTGTAACAAATCTGCGTGTTCTATACATGTATCCCGGAACTTAAAGTAAAATAAAAAAAAAAAAGAATTTATTACCCATGAGGGGACAGGATGTATATGACTTCATGCTATATTGATTAGTAGAGGACTGGGCACACTTGTGATTTTCCTTTGGACTCATCAGCATCCTCCTTGCAAAGTCCTGTCACACATGGCTTTAAGTAAAAATAATAATGATAATAAATTAAAAACCACCTACAAGAGGACAGCTGAGTGTGGTAGAGACAGCTGCCCACAGCACCTAGGGTGTGGATAAGAACCCTGACTCTTCTATGTACTAGTTTTAGGATCTTGAACAAGTTGCTTCACCCCTCTAAGCCTGAGTTTCTTCATCTATAATAGGGGATAATAATAGTAAAGATGTTTTAAGAAATGTCCTAAGGGTAATATAAGATAACATAGATATATAGCCTAGTGCAGAGTTTCTCAATCTCAGCGCTATTGACGTTTGGGGCTGGAGAGTTGTTTGTTGGAGCGAGCTGGCCTGTGCACTGTACGATATTTAGCAGCATCTCTGGCCTTAACCTACTAGATGCTCATATAATACCTTTCCAGTTGTGATAACCAAAAATGTTTGTAGACATTGCAAAGTGTTCCCTGGAAGGCAAAATCCCCCTCACTAGAGAACTGCTGACCTTGCCCAAAGCCTGGCACAAATGGGTGGTCAATGAATGTTAATTCTTTCCCTCCTTTTAGATAGAAACCTTTTTTTTTTAAGGTGAAGTGAGACACAACTAACTTGGAGTCATGTTAATTCAGATAATGGGAGAACTGAAATCTATATTTTCAGTAATACAGAAAAATTAACAGTGTCCACAGTTATTTAGAGAACACTGTGTATTCACTTATGAAAACATACTACTTATAAGGACTCATTTGAAAGTCATTCACATTCAGTTAATATACTAAGTTCTCAAAGCCTCAGAAAACACCTTTAAATCACCAACCATTTCAGGCAAATTTTAATTGATAATTGCAGTTAAATATATTGAAATGGCAATTATATATTTTTTAAGAAACAAAGCAACTATTTCTGACTTTGTCCTCTACTGCAGATTAACTTTCCCTTTAAATAAGCAGCTTAATGAAGTTTTGTTTCACTCACATATCTAGAGGATATTTTATAAATGTTGCATTGAGATTTTCTAGTTCCTTACTTTTTTTTTTTTGCATTTGAACTTTTTTTTAAATTTTATTATTATTATACTTTAAGTTTTAGGGTACATGTGCACAACGTGCCATCCCCATCAAGCTACCAATGACTTTCTTCACAGAATTGGAAAATACTACTTTAAAGTTCATATGGAACCAAAAAAGAGCCCACATCGCCAAGTCAGTCCTTACTAACTTCTTAAGCAGGAAATTCTTTTCCATAGCGAACCTAACATCTTCCTGCTGCTTTTTTAGCCTGTTTCCTATTGTTCAAACTTCAGTGGAAAATGAGACCAGATGTTCATAAGAAGAGCCTCATTCTTGTGTACCTGGAGTTTGTAAGTAACACCAGGCCTGGCCTGGGACTTCCTCATCTGGACCAATGATTCTCAACAGGGGGGTGATTGTCATCCCAGGGGACAGCTGGCGCTGTCTGGAGACACTTTTGGTTGTCGAAATTGGGGAGAAAGGGGTTGCTGGCATCCAGTGCGTGGAGGCCAGGGATGCTGCTAAGCAGCCTGTAATACACAGGGCAGCCCCTACAACAAGGAATTATTATCCAGGTTCAAGTGTCAAGGTTAAAAAAATCCTGCCCTAGACCATGGCTCGGAGATGAATTGAGCAGATTAACAATGAAGGAACTGTTTTAAAAAAGCGAAGGCGATCAAACCCTACTTGTCTGGCTTTGAGATAGATACCTGTTGCATTCTTCAGGAAGATTTTTCTAAGCCCACCTTTGTGCATATTCCCATCACAGCACTTGTATCACCAGCACAATGCTGGCATACAGTGGACATTTATAAAAGACAGGTGAATAAAAGCACAGCTATGAGGCCCAACAATGAATCTCCAGGGTTCCTTAACCTCCCTCTCTGGACACATCAATGTAAGCTCTGAGGGACTGAGAGGGACTTCTCTTTGTGAGAAGAAAGGAAGTGGGTGTGAAGGAGCTGGGTTTGCTTGTCTCACCCTTCCACTGTCTACACCAGGAGTTGAAGTTTATTTTCCCTCTTTGCCTCACACTGACAGGGATAGAGGCAATAGATTTGGTTTCATTTACCATTTCACTTAATCGCCTGAAATGTAAAAACCGCACAAACAGATCTGATTCCATACTTTCCACGCTCCTTCTTGTGGTGCTGCTAAGCGGAGCTGTTAAAACAAACAGGAGAAATGTGGAGGTCAGGGTTCTGCTACCTACTTCTAGTCTACTTAGCTATTGGTGCCTCTGTCTCTCATTCTCTCCAGACCTCTCCCCAGCCCTATTTGCACCTCTTGAGAGCAGGACCTTCTTTTTCTCATCACCTGAATACAGGAAGTGTTATAGTTATTAATGGGGACCAGCTCTTAATGTTTGACCAATAACTATATAGCATACACCTAAAAGCAGGAGTCTGTAACAAGTTGAAAGGAGATGACAATTGATCTTAAAGCATTACCCAAGCAATTTCTAAGATGCCTTTTTATTCCTTGATTCTGCCAAACATGATTCTGTCACAAAGCTTTTAGGTTAGCTGTCCCGTTTGCCTGGAATTATCTGCCTCTCTCTCAGATAAACGTATGGCTCACTCTCTCACTTCATTCAAGCCTTTGCCCAAATGCCACCTTATCGGAGAGGCCTCCTCTAATCAACCCATGTAAAGTAGCAACCTCTACCACATCACTCTCTTTCTACTCATTGTGATTTCTGTCTCTTCTTAAGCATCCTTGGGTTCCCCCTCAAGAATGTAAGCTCCACAAGCAATAGAGCAGAATTTGTGCCTGTTTCACTGTCATATCCTTCGTTCTTAGAACAGGAGCTGGCTCACAGTAGGTGCTCAGTAAATATCTGTGGGCTGAAGGAAAATCTCAGGGCCCTTCTTCGTCAGGAGCTTGTACCATTATGTCTCTACCTCCTCCCCAACCCACCACGCATGATGGGTTATTTAGTGCATTAGTTAATCCCTCCTCTCTTAATCAATTCCACATGTCCATATCTGGTTATTACTTAGTGTTTATCAAAACAGCTTAACTATGGGCTCCCAAAGACTCCTTAGGAATGAGACAGGACCATGGTGAACAGAGACTCCCCTGTTCCCTACCCCGTGGCACTATTAGCCTCTCCACGGCCTCAGGCATGGAGTCCCTTGATGTCCCAGTTTAAGGTTTTTACTCTACTGTGGGCATAAAACTCTTCCCTGTTTACTTTCTGCACAGAGCAGCTCAACGGCTTTTTTAGAACCATTGTAGAAGGTAAAAGTAAAAATTTCTACCCATAAAACCATGTAAAATACCCTCATGATTTCATCTGTGACCCTGAACCTTTCTTTTTCTCCAAATCCCTTTTATTTTTGTAAAAGAATGCACTACGTGCCAGCATCTGGCTTGTAAAAATAAATACAGTGACTGGCTTTCCCAAGTAACTTGGCCTAATCATCCAGTGCTCCTGAAAAGACCCGTCTCCTGAGATGCAGCAATCTTATGAACGATCTATTCCATGGTCCAGGCACAGAGGGGGCACTTACATGGGTTGAATTACACACCCCAGAGTATCTGCATTTAGAATGAGGACTAACTCTTGACTCCTATAGAATTAGATGTTTTCCTGTGGTGGGTAGATTGCTAATGCTTGATATTCCCTTAAAACACATTTGTTACGACTCAGCTATGTGTAGGCTTGATCATTTGAGGGCAGGCACTAGTAGGGGTTTGATATATTCCCAGATGAGTTTTACATCTTTTACTTAAAAACAAAATGAAGGCTTGGAGTATTTATCAAAATTAAGTGATGCTGATATAAAGTAAATAGATATCACTATCTTTAAATCAAGGTATCAATTATTAACATTTGGGGATATTACTGATAGGCTTATTTTGTTTGCTTATTTCTTGAGACAAGGTCTTTCTCTGTCACCTAGGCTGGAGTGCAGTGGTGTGATCACAGCTCACTGCAGCCTCAACCTCCTGGGTTCAAGCGATCCTCCCACCTGTGCCTCCTGAGTAGCTGGGACTATATGAACACACTGCTATGCCTAGCTTATTTTTTATTTTTTATTTTTAGTAGAGATGAGGTCTTGCCATGTTGCCCAGGCTGGTCTCAAACTCCTGGTCTCAAGCTATCCTTCCAGCTCAGCTTTCCAAAGTGCTGGGATTACAGACACGAGCCACCACACATGGTCAACTTTTTTTTAAAAAAAATACCAAATCAATAAAGTCAACTGAATTGAATTTAACTCAACATCTATTGTGTATGATTTGTAATATTTTTAAATTTTTCCAAAATTTTAAAATAGCCAGTTAGCTGAAAAATAAACTCAACTTTTTGAGACAGAGTCTCACTCTGTTGCCCAGGCTGGACTGCAGTGGTGTGATCTTGGCTCACTGCAACCTCCACCTCCTGGGTTTAAGCAATTCTCCTGCCTCAGCCTCCTGAGTAGCTGGGACTACAGGCACGCGCCACCACGTCCAGCTAATTTTTGTATTTTTTAGTAGAGATGGGTTTTCACCATATTGGCCAGCTGGTCTTGGACTCTTGACCTTGTGATCCACCTGCCTCGGCCTCCCAAAGTGCTGGGATTACAGGCGTGAGCCACTGCACCCGGCCTATTTGATCTTTATTTTCAACAATAAACCCACAAACTTAGTTAAGCAAAATGAGCATGTGTTACTTGAAATTTTAATTATTTTACAAATAACTGTTAACTAAATTTACTGTCGGAAAAAGACATTACTCAATCTGCAAACTTTAAAGCATTAGGTCAGGCAACTAATTTATTTTTATCATTATTTCTTTATTTACAGCCAACTAGAAAATATAAACATTTTATTTTTGCTTTTATAGTTTCCATTTGGAACACAAATGCTCTGGAGCAGAATGTTCCTCTGGCGGCCTCTGATGAGTTCAGATGCTCCGATGACTTTTGTTATCCTTCTCACACCACCGTGACAAGTATAATAGCAGGTGGCATTGACTGAGCACTTAGCAGCTATTCATATTTACTGAGGGCTTCCTATGGACCAGGCACTGTGCTTTGCAACAAACCAGCATATTGGAAGGATCGCCAGAACTGAACACAGATTTAACATATC